>NC_000005.10:154258737-154559054 GCF_000001405.40 Homo sapiens | reverse complement strand
CACTCCAGCCTGGGGGACAGAGCGAGACTCCATCTCAAAAAAAAAAAAAAAAAAACCCAAAAAACCTAATTTTAATTACTCATCTCTGTAAACTGTCGATTCAAGTACAAAACTACATGAGTACCATAAGAATGAATTTTGCAAATATTTGTAAGTAAGCTATTTTGGGGCTGTAGAAATATTTTCTGTTGGTAACTGTTTCTTGTGCCCTATACCAGATAAAAACCACATATAACTCTGTGACATTTTCTTTGTTCTGAAACATCATTAAAAGAATGACAGTAAAAATATATGTATACATATATATATATATATATATATATATATATATATATATACATACAGTGCCGTATAGCTGAAAAGTCAATAGAGTAAACTAGATGGGGTTCTTAAAAAGTACTTAATTAGACCAAGAAAGCAGGAAAAAGAGAACGAAGAACAGAGGGAACAAATGGAAACTGACAACATACTAGACTTAAGACTTAACCCCAAACATTTTTTTTGAGAGGGAGTCTCACTCTATTGCCCAGGCTGGAGTGTAGTGGTGCAATATCAGCTCACTGCAAACTCTGTCTCCTGGGTTCAAGCGATTTTTCTGTCTCAGCCTCCTGAGCAGCTGAGATTACAGGTGAGTGCCACCATACCTGGGTAATTTTTGTATTTTTAGTAGAGACAGGGTTATGCCACGTTGGCCAGGCTGGTCTTGAACTCCTGACCTCAAGTGATCCGCCCACTTCGGCCTTCCAAAGTGCTAGGAACGAGCATGAGCCACCATGCCTGGCCAACCCCAAACTTATTAACAGTTACATTAAATGTACAGTAAGAGGCAGAGATTTTCAAAGTGAATAAAAAGAGGCAAGACTCAACTATATGCTGTTTATAAGACAGTCACTTTAAATATAAATATAGAGACAGGTTGAACATAAAAGGATGAAACACAATATGTCACACAAACTATGCATAAGGAAACTAGTATGACTATATTAATATCAGACAAATTAGATTTCAAGACAAAAAGTATTACCAAAAACAGTCATTTTATAGATAGAAAGTTAAAATCATGATGATGATATAATAATTCTCAATGTGTACACAACCAGTAGCAAACCTTTAAAATGCAAAAAACAAAAAGGGACAGAATCAAAGTGAGAAATAAGAGAAATCCACAAATATGTAGGTGATGTTAATATTTCTTTTTTTTGTAATTGATAGAATAAGCAGACAAATCAATCAGTAAGGAAATAGAATATTTGAATACATGATCAAGCAAATTGATATTTATAGAATACTATACCCAATAACTGCTGAATATACATTTTTTGAAGAGCATATTAAATGTTCACTAAGATAGACTATTTGCTGAGCCATGAAGCGAATCTCAATACATGTCAAAGTACTGACTGAAATCCCACAAAATATGTCCTCTGATCACAACAGAATTAAATTTCTTAAAAGCAATTAAATATATGGAAAATTTCCAAAAATCAAAAACTAAGCAACATACTTCTAAATAACTTATGCTCAAGAAAGAAGTCAAAAGGGAAATTAGAAAACAGTGTGAACTAAACGATAAGGAAAAACAACATATTGAAATTTATGGGATGCAGTTAAAGTTCTTAGAGGGATATTTATAGCTTAATGCTTATTTACTTCTAGCTTTAAATGCTTGCGTTAGAAAAGAAGAAAGATTGAAAATCAATTATCTAAGCTTCCAACTTAAGAAATTAGGAAAAGAAGAGCAAATTAGATGTAAAGTTTGTAGATGATAGAAAATAAAGAGCAGAAATCGGTGAAATAGAAAATGTATAAACATGCTTGTATCAAAATATCTCATATACACCATAAATATATACACCATGTATCCACAAAAATTAAAAAAGAAAATGCATGGACACTAGGAGAAAATCAAAAGAACCAAAAATTATTTTTAAAAGATTAGTAAAATTGAGTACTTAACTAAACTGATAGAGAAAAAAAACACCACAAATTACCAACATCAGGGATGACAGACGAGGTATCCCTAGAGATCCTACAGATATTAAAAATAATTAAAAAGGGACAAACCACTTTATGCCACTAATTCAACTACTTAAATAAAATAGACAAACTCATGTTATCAAACCAGTATAAGAAGAAATAGAAAATTTTAATAACCTTATGTATACTAGAGAGATTAAAATTTTAATTATAAACCTTTCCATGAGGAAAATTCTAGGCACAGATGGCATTACTGGTGAATTACATCAAATATTTAAATAAGAAATAAGGCCAGGTGCAGTGGCTCATGCCTATAATCCCAGCACTTCAGGAGGCTGAGGTGAGAGGACCACTTGAGGCCAGGAGTTCGAGACAAGCCTGGGCAACATGGTGAAACTCCGTCTCTATTAAAAATACATAAAAATTAGCCAGGCATAGTGGCATGTGTCTGTAGTCCTAGCTACTCAGCTGGCTGAAGCAGGAGGATCACTTGAGCCTGGGAGGTCAAGGCTGCAGTGAGCTGAGATCATGCCACTGCACTCCAGCCTAGATGACAGAGTGGGACTGTGTCTCAAAATAAATAAATAAGAAATAATATTATTCGGCCGGGCGCGGTGGCTCACGCCTGTAATCCCAGCACTTTGGGAGGCCGAGGCGGGTGGATCATGAGGTCAGGAGATCGAGACCATCCTGGCTAACAAGGTGAAACCCCGTCTCTACTAAAAATACAAAAAATTAGCCGGGCGCGGTGGCGGGCGCCTGTAGTCCCAGCTACTGGGGAGGCTGAGGCAGGAGAATGGCGTGAACCCGGGAAGCGGAGCTTGCAGTGAGCCGAGATTGCGCCACTGCAGTCCGCAGTCCGGCCTGGGCGACAGAGCGAGACTCCGTCTCAAAAAAAAAAAAAAAAAAAAAAAAAAAGAAATAATATTATTCATATATACATCCTTTCAGGGAGTGAAGGACAGTAGAACACTTTCAAAGTTGTTTTGTGATCCAGCATAATCCTGATACCAAAAATGACAAGAATATAACAAGGTAAGGAAAAAGACAATAGATTAAGATTTCTTGTGAGATACAAAAATCCTTAATCAAAAACTGACAAGCCAAAATAAGCATTGTATTAAAAAGACAATGTATCATATTTTTGCAATTACAAATTTTGCTGCTATGAACGTGTGTGTCCAAGTGTCTTTTTCATATAATGACTTATTTTCCTCTGGGTAGATACCCAGGAGTGGGATTGGATTGCTGAATCAAATGGTAGATCTAATTTTTGTTCTTTAAGGAATCTCCACACTGTTTTCCATAGTGGTTGTACTAGTTTACATTCTTACCAGCAGTGTAAAAGTGTTCCCTTTTTACCACATCTACACCAACATCTATTATTTTTTATTTTTAAATTATGGCCATTCTTGCAGGAGTAAGGTGGTAGCCATTGTGGTTTTGAGTTGCATTTCCCTGATAATCAGCGATGTTGAGCATTTTTTCATGTGTTTCTTGGCCATTTGTATATCTTTTTTTGAGAACTGTCTATTCATGTCCTTAACCTACTTTTTGATGGGATTGTTTGTTTTTTTCTTACTGATTTGTTTGAGTTCCTTGTAGATTCTGGATATTAGTCCTTTGTTGGTTGCGTAGTTGGCAAAGGTTTTCTCCCAGTCTGTGGGTTGTCTGTTTACCCTGCTGATTATTTCTTTTGTTGTGCAGAAACTTTTTAGTTTAATTAGGTCCTATCTATTTATCTTTGTTTTCATTGCATTTGCTTTTGGGCTCTTGGTCATGAAGTCTTTGTCTAAGCAGATGTCTAGAAGGGTTTTCCAATGTTATCTTCTAAAATTTTTATGGTGTCAGGTCTTAGATTTAAGTCTTTGACCTATGTTGAGTGATTTTTGTATAAGGCGAGAGATGAGGATCTAGTTTCATTCTTCTACATGTGGCTTGCCAGTTATCCCAGAACCATTTGTTGACTAGGGTGTCTTTTCCCCACTTTATGTTTTTGTTTTTGCCCATTATATTAGTTTGTTTTTATGCTGCTGATAAAGACATACCTGAGACTGAGTAATTTATATATTAAAAAAAGAGCTTTAATGTAATCACAGTTCCATGTGGCTGAGGAGGCCTCACAATCATGGTAGAAGGTGAAGGGCACATCTTACATGGCGGCAGGTAAGAAAGAGAATGAGAGGCAAGTGAAAAGGAAAACCCCTTATAAAACCATCAGATCTTGTGAGACTTATTCACTAACCCAAGAACAGTATGGGGGAAACCACCCTCATGATTAAATTATCTCCCGCCAGGTCCCTCCCACAACACGTGGGAATTATGTCAGCTACCATTCAAGATGAGATTTGAGTGGGTACACAGCCAAACCATATCACCCATCAGTCAACAAGTGGATAAAGAAAATGTGATATATATATCACATTTATATATATATACATATATATATATGCTGGAATATATATATGCTGGAATATATATATATGCTGGAATATTATATATATACACACTGGAATATATATATATATACACACTGAATTATATATATATATACACACTGAAATATATATATATATATATACACACTGAAATATATATATATATATATACACACTGAAATATATATATATATATATATATATATATATATATATATATATATATGCTGGAATATATATATGCTGGAATAATACTCAGCTATAAAAAGGAATGAAATAATGGCATTTGCAGCAACCCGGATGGAATTGGAGACCATTATTCTAAGTGAAGTAACTCAGGAATGGAAAACCAAACATTGTTATGTTCTCACTTACAAGTGCAAGCTAAGCTATGAGGACACAAAGGCATAAGAATGATACAGTGGACTTTGGGGACTCAAGGGGAATGGTAGGATGGGGGTGGAGGATAAAAGACTGCACATTGGGTACAGTGTACACTGCTTGGGTGATGGGTGCACCAAAATCTCAGAAATCACCACTAAAGAGCTTATCCATGTAACCAAATACCACCTGTTCCACAAAAACCTATTGAAATAAAAAACAAAATAAGATAAAAATTCTTGGTCCCTCCACCCCACTAAAAAAAGATAATACATCGTAACAGAATGGGATGCATCTCAGGGTTACAAGTTTGGTTCAACATCTAAAAGGTAATAAATATAACTCATCACATTAATAGAATAAAGAAGGAAAATCATAGGATCATCTCAATAAAGGAAATGTCTTTGACAAAATTCAACATGTCATCATGATTCTTAAAAACTAGTAACAATTTTCAATGGAAGGGAACATCTTCAATCTGATACAGGCATCTATAAAAAGCTTACGTCTAACATAATAATAAATATCAAAAAGCTGAATGCTGGCCAGGCATAATGACTCATGCCTATAATGCCAACTCTTTGGAAGGCCAAGGCAAGAGGATCACTTGAGGCCAGGAATTCAATACCAGCCTGGGCAACATGGCAAAACCCTGACTCCACAAAAGAAAAATTTAAAAATCAGCTGGGTGTGGTGGTGCATGCCTGTAGTCCCAGCTACTTGGATGGCTGAGGTGGGAGGATCACTTGAACCCATAAGTTTGAGGCTGCTGCAGTAAGGTCTGATTGTGCCACTACACCCCAGCTTGGATGACAGAGTGAGGTCTTGTCTCAAAACAAAAACCAAACAAAAACAAAAAAACCCTAAATGCTTTCTCCCCAAAATTAAGAACAAAGCCAAGATGTTCCCTTTCACTTGTGGTCAGTGTAATAGTGGTAATTCTAGCCATTGCAATAAGACAAGAAAAATAAATAAAAGGCATAAAAGGCCAGACTCAGCAGCTCACACCTATAATCTCAGCACTTTGGGAGACTGAGGTGGGAGGTTTGCTTGAGCCCAGGAGTTCCAGACCAGACTGGGAAACATGGCGAGACCCTGTCTCTACAAGAAATTTTAAAAATTAGCCAGGCATAGTTGTGCATGCCTGTGGTTCCAGCTACTTGGGAGGATAAGGTGAGGTGATGACTTGAGTCCAGGAGTTCGAGGCTGCAGTGAGCTGTGTTTGTACCACTGCACTCCAGATTGGGTGACAGAGAGAGACTCTGTCAAAAAAAAAAAAGGCATAAAGCTTAGAAAAGAAGTAAAATTATCTTTATTCATTAATAATATGCTTATATGTGGAAAAATCTTACAAAATCTACAAAAGAAATTGTCAAACTCAAGACATAGGGTCAACATTTAAAAAAAATCAATTTTATACAGTAGCACAAGTAATTTAAAAATTAAATATAAAATAATATCATTAACAATAGCTCTGAGATCCACAAAGTTCTTAAGAATACATTTATCAAAAGATGTGTAAGACCTCTACACCAAAACTACAAAATATTGATTAAAGAAATTAAAATAGATCTAAACAAATGGAGAGCTATACCTTGTTCATGGATTGGAAGACTCCATATTATTGAAATGTTAATTATCTCCAAATTTATGTAAAGATTTAGCACACTCTTAATAAAAATTACAGCAGATTTTTTTTTTTTTTGAGACAGAGTTTTGCTCTTGTTGCCCAGGCTGGAGTGCAGTGGCACAATCTCGGCTCACTGCAACCTCCCCTTCCTTAGTTCAAGTGATTCTCCTGCCTCAGCCTCCTGAGTATCTGGGATTACAGGTGTGTGCCACCATACCCAGCTGATTTTTTTTTTTTTTTGTATTTTTAATAGAGACAGGGTTTCATCATGTTGGCCAGGCTGGTCTTGAACTCCTGACCTCAGGTGATCCACCCACCTCGGCCTCCCAAAGTGCAGGGATTACAGGCATGAGCCATCACACCCGGCCTACAGCAGAATATTTTAAAGCACATATAGATTCTAAAATTTATATAGAAATGTAAAAAACCTAGAATATTCAAATCAATCTTGGAAAAGGAGAACAAAATTGAAGGACTTATCCAACCTGATTTCAAGACTTACTCTAAAGCCACAATAATCCAGAGAATATGGTAGTGTCAAGAATAGTCCCCCATAAAAGGCATATGTATATATATACACAAACACACACATTATATATAGAGAGAAACTATATATATATAGACTCTATATACAATTTATATGTAGTCAATTATATGTAATTGACTATATATTATATACATATATATGTACATATATCGTCAATTGAATTTCAACAAAAGATACCAAAGTAATCAAAGGGGGAAAGAAAAGGCTTTTCAACAAAGTGTCTGTAACAACTAGATATTGATATGCAAAAAAAATTCATCTCAACCCCTACCTTACACTGTACTGAAAAATTAATTTCAGATGGATCAAAGATCTAAATGCAAAAGCAAAAACTGTAAAGTCTCTAGAAATAAGCACAAGAGAGTATTTTCACAATCTTGGGGTGAACATGTTTCTTGGAAAGGTCTCAATAGGCAAAACCTATAAAAGATTAATCCTGATAAATTTTCAAGAGAATGAGAAGACAAACCACAAACTTGGAGAAAATATTTGCAAAAGACATATCTGATAAAGAACTATTATACAAAATTTAGAAAAAAACTCTTAAAACTCAGCAATAAGAAAATGAACAACTCAATTAAAAAATGGGCAAAAGACCTGAACAGACACCTCTCCAAAGAAGATGGCAGATAAGCATATGAAAAGATGCTCAACATCATGTCATTAGAAAATTGAAAATTAAGACAACAATGAGACAGCACCACCCACTTTTTAAAATGGCCCAAATCCAAAATATAATACCAACAACGCTTAATGCTGGCAAGGCTATAGAGCAGCAAGAACTCTCATTCATTGCTGGTGGAAATGATAAATGGTATAGGCACTTTGGAAGATGGTTTGGCAGTTTTTTTACAAAATTAAACATACTCTTCTCATACTATCCAGCAATTGTGCTCCTTGGTATTTACCCAAATGAGTTGAAAACTTTTGTCCACATAAAAACCTGCACACAGATATTTGTAACAATAGTTCTGGCTGGACATGGTGGCTCACACCTGTAATTCCAGCACTTTGGGAGGCCGAGGCAGGCAGATCACTTGAGGTCAGGAGTTTGAAACCAGCCTGACCCACATGGTGAAACTCCGTCTCTACTAAAAATGCAAAACTTAGCTGAGTGTGGTGGTGCACGCCTGTAATCCCAGCTACTTGGGAGGCTGAGGCACAAGAATCGGTTGAACCCAGGAGGCAGAGGTTGCAGTGAGCCAGGATCACGCCACTGCACTCCAGCCTGGTTGACAGAGCAAGACTCCACCAAAACAAAACAAAACAAAACAAAACAAAACAAAAAACACAGCACAATAGCTCTAAGATCGAAAAAGTGCAGCTTTATTCACCATTGCCAAAACTTGGAAGCAACCAAGGTGTCCTTCAGTAGGTAAATGGGCAAATAAACTGTGGTACATTCTGACAATGGGATATCATTCAGTGCTGAAAGAAATAAGCTATCAAGCCCTAAAAAAGACATAAAGAAGCCTTAAGTGCACATTTCTATGTAAAATAAGTTAACCTTAAAAAGTTACATAACTGTATGATTCCAACTGTATGACATTCTGAAAAAGACAAAACTATGAAGACAGTAAAAAGATCAGTAGTTGCTAGGGGCTGGGGGAAGGAAGGATAAATAGGCAGAGCCAGGTTATTTTCAGGGCAGTGAAACTACTCTGTATGATACTATAATGGTGAATACATGTTACTTTTCATTTGTCAAAACCCATAGAATATACAACACCAAGAGTGAGCCCTAATGCAAACTGTGGACTTTCGGAGATAATGGTGTGTCAGTGTAGGTTCCTCGATTGTCATGGAAGTTACACTGTGGTGTAGGATGCTGGTAGTGGGGGAGGCTGTGCTTTTATGTGGGCAGGAGGTAAATGAGAACTCTCTGCACTTTCTGTTTGATTTTGCTGTGAACCTAAAATTCCTCTAAACAAAGCCTGTTTTAAAAATTGATAAATTTGACTTTATCAAAGATACAAACTTCTGCTCATCAAAAAAGATTATTTAAGGCTAGGCATGGTGGCTCACGTCTGTAATCCAGCACTTTGGGAGGCCGAGGTGGGTGGATCGCTTGTGGTCAGGAGTTTGAGACCAGACTGGCCTACCTGGTGAAACCCGGTTTCTACTAAAAATACAAAAATTAGCTGAGTATGGTGGTGCACGCCTGTAATCCCAGCTACTCAGGAGGCTGAGGTGGGAGGATCATTTGAACTCAGGAGGTGGAGGTTGCAGTGAGCCAAGATCATGCCACTGCATTCCAGCCTGGATGACAAGAGCGAAAACTTGTCTCAAAAAAAAAAAAAAAAAAAAAAGAGAGAGAGATTAATGCCAGGTGCGGTGGCTCATGCCTGTAATCCCAACACTTTGGGGGTCTGAGGTGGGCGGATCACCTGAGGTCGGGAGTTCATGACTAACATGGAGAAATCATGTCTCTACTAAAAATACAAAAATTAGCTGGGTGTGGTGGTGGATGCCTGTAATTCCAGCTACTCGTGAGGCTGAGGCAGGAGAATTGCTTGAACCTGGGAGGCGGAGGTTGCCATCAGCCGAGATTGTGCCATTGCACTCCAGCCTGGGCAACAAGAATGAAACTCCACCTCAGAAAAAGAAAAAAAGAGAGATCACTTAAAAATGAAAAGATGAGCCACAAAATAGGAGAAAGTATTTGTGTAAAACACATATTTGACAAAGGACTTGCATCCAGAATATATAAAAACTCCTACAACTCAACAATAAAAGACAGTCAAATTTAAAACAAAAGGGTAAAAATTTGAAGAGATACTCTGCAAAAGAGATCTAGAAATGCCCAATAAGTGCATGAAAAGATGTTTAACATCAGTAGACATACGGGAAAATCAAAATTAAAGCCAATATGAGATACTCATCACATACCTGAATGACTAAAATTTAAAACATGGAAAATATCAAGTGTTGGTGAGGAAGTGGAGCACTTGAAAATCTCTTGTACTTCTGTTTTGAGTGTGAAAAGGTAAAAACACTTTGGAAAACACTTTGACAGTTTCTTTTGAAGGTAAAATGCCTAACAGCTGGGAGTGGTGGCTCATGCCTATAATACCAGCATTTTGGGAGGCCAAGGTGGGAAGATCACTTGAGGCCAGGAGTTCAAGATCAGCCTAGGCAACATAGCAAGACCCTGTCTCTACAAAACAAACAAACAAACAAAATTAGCTGGGCATGGCGGTATGCACCTGTAGTCCCAGCTACTTGGGAGGCTGAGGCAGCAGGATTGTTTGAGCCCAGAAGGTTGAGGCTGCATTGAGCCATGATTATGCCACTTTACTCCAGCCTGGGCAACAGAGGGAGACCCCATTCTCAAAAACAAAACAAAACAGCCAGGCATGGTGGCTCACACCTGTAATCCCAGCATTTTGGGAGGCTGAGGTGGGTGGATCATGAGGTCAGGAGTGTGAGACCAGCCTGGCCAATATGGTGAAACCCTGTCTCCGCTAAAAAAATAAAAAATAAAAAAAAAAAAAACAAAAAACAAATAAAATAAGCCTATCTATCTATGATCCAAAAATTTCATTCTTAGGAGTGAAAATGAACACACACACACACTCACACACACCACACACACACACACACACACACATACAGCTTGTATATAAATGTTTATAGCAGCTTTATTCATAAGAGTCAAAGCTGGAAACACTCCTAATGTCTATGGTTGGATAAGTGGATACACAATTTCTTATGATACACTATTCAACAATTAAAAAGAATGAATTACTGATATATGCAATAACACAAATGAATCTGAAAAACACATTGAATGAAAAAAGCCAGCCACAAAAGTATATGTAAGATTCCATTTATATGAAATTCTAGAATATGAAAAACTAACTTATGGTGATGAAAATTAGAGCAGTATTTGCCTTTTGTGGGGGATTAACTGGGAAGTGGCAAGTGGGAACTTTCTGGCGTGGTGAAAATGTTGTATATCTTTACTGTGGTAGTGGTTACATGAGTGTAGATGCTTGTCCAAACTCATCCAACTATATACTTAACACTCTACATATCCTTTTGTATTTAAATTATAACTCATCCTACTATATACTTAACACTCTACATATCCTTTTGTATTTAAATTATAACTCAATACAAACAATATAAAGCTAAAAACACTCAATGTAAGAAAAAACAATATGAATATATCAAAATTGATAATTTCATCAATGAAGAATAATGCAGATATAGTAAACAGATGACAGATGGAAGGAAGACAATTTGCTTTGTCAGAAGCTAACAAGAATAGAAAGGAACTCTTGACAACTAACAAGAAAATGAGCCTGAATAAAAAAATTGCCCAATGGCATGAGTTAGCAGTTTACAGTTCTTAGTCAAATTAGGTATGTGCATGCGTATTATCTGACCATTCATTCTTAGTCATAGATTCTTTTTTTGTTTGTATTTTTAATTTTAAATTTATATTTTTAAAAAATAATCTCAATTTTTATTTTAGATTCAGGGGGTACATGTGCAGATGTGTTACATGGGTATATTCCATGATGCTGAGCTTTGGAGTATGATTGATCTCATCACCCAGGTAGTGAGCATAGTACCCAATAGTTTTTCAACCTTTGTGCTTCTCCCTGTCACCCCACTCTGTGTCTATTGCTACCATCTTTATGTCTGTGAGTACCCAAAGTTTAGCTCCCACTTGTAAGTGAGAACATTCAGTGTTTGATTTTCTGTTCCTGCATTAATTTACTTAGGATTATGGCCTCCAACTACATCCATGTTGCTGCAAAGGACGTGATTCCATTCTTTTTTATGGCTGTGTAGCATTCCATCCTGTATATGTACTACCTCTTCTTTAGCCAATCCACTGGTTAATTCCATGTCTTTGCTATTGTGGGTAGTGCTGTGATGAACATACCCTGAGTGCATGTATCTTTTTGGTAGAATGATTCATTTTCTTTTGGATATATACCCACTAATGGGATTGCTGGGTCAAACGGTAGTTCTAAGTTCTTTGAGAAATCTCCAAACGGCTTTCCACAGTGCATAAGTGTTCCCTTTTCTCCGCAGCCTCACCAGCATCTGTTGTTTTTCTCCAGTCATATATTCTAATGAAATTTTCACACAGGTTCATACAGGACATGTCCAGTTATTTCCAAGGCAGTATTGTTTGTGAGGCTGAGTTGGGGCAATCTGGAGTCCATCAGTTAAGGAGCAGATGGTCAAGTGTGCTGGAGGCACAGCATGTAGTAACAACCACAGTTAGAAGATAGAGACTCGTACACACTGCAACACGCATGGGTGTTTAAAACATCATTCTGAGTGAAACAAAACAAAACAAAACAAAAAAACAATAAAATCTGTAACACACTTTCAGGTCAATAAAAGACCATATGAAAACCAAAACAACATTACATTTTGTTAAGGATATATACCCCCATAATCCACAAAATGGACTAAAATGGATGTCTTGGATGGACAGAGAATGGCAAGGGAAATGAGGGTAAAGGAGAAGGAATCAACAAAATAAGAGCAGGACTGCGCAGACCGGGGTGGACCATGTGTCATAAACTCAGGAGTTAGATCAATTGCACCTGAGCACATGCCCTCTCTCTCCCTTACTCACTCTCTCTCTCTGTCACACACACACACACACACACACACACACACACACACACACACAGAGTTTATTGAGGACATGCTATATTCCAGGTATTGTGTGTCACATAAATTAGCTCATCTAGTTTTCTGATAAAGAGGAACTGTTGTCATCACACCTCCCGCCATTTTAGAGATGGGAAACTGAGGCTTGGAGAGGACAGGTAAAGTTCTGAAGGTCACGCAGCTAGTCACTTGCAGAACCAAGATTCAAACCAGGCAAGTCTGAATCCTGCACTATTCCTGCTCACTACGCCTCCAGAGGAACTCTGTGCAGCCCAAGGCCCAGGGCTGTCGACCAAGTCACATGAAGGCACCCATAAAAAAGGTAACCCAGAGTAAGCAGGTCTGTGCCTTCAGCCCAAATAAACATCCCGCCAGCATTTCCTCAAATTCCGCCATCGCAGAGAGGGAACCAGGTGGGAGCCCATGTGGTTTTGATAGAACATCCATTCAAGCGGAGCTTAAATATTATAGCGGCACTGTTTGCACAGTTAAATTTAAGGATCTGTCAGTTTATGATGAATTTTTATTTTTAAGCGTTTCAAGTAAGCTGTAAACATTCACTCCAGACTGAAATTCCCCTCATTTAACACCTGGGAGGGGCAGGACAGGAAAGCAGCGGATGAAAATGGGAATGAGGGGTGAGCATGGTAGAGGGGTGTTGAGAAGAGCCTGGGCACCAGCCTGGGGAGGGGTGTACAGGGACCTCTTTCAACCAGTATCTCCAAGAAGGGGTATGAAGGGCCGGTGCCCCATAATGAGGGAGGCCAACAGCTTCCCCAAAGGAAGCAGGGCCATTCTCTTTGAAACTCACGTTTAGTTTCCCCTTTCCCCCTTTCCAGCAAAGTGAGACAGTAATGATCATTTAAGAATAACAACCCTGCCGGGGGCGGTGGCTCACGCCTGTAATCCCAGCACTTTGGGAGGCCGAGGCGGGTGGATCACAAGGTCAGGAGTTCGAGACCAGCCTGGCCAATATGGTGAAACCCTGTCTCTACTAAAAATACAAAAATTAGCCTGGTCTGGTGACAGACGCCTGTAGTCCCAGCTACTCAGGAGGCTGAGGCAGGAGAAATCACTTGAACCCAGGAGGTGGAGGTTGTAGTGAGCCGAGATCAGGCCACTGCACTCCAGCCTGGGAAATAGAGCGAGACTCTGTCTCAAAGAAAAAAAAAAAAAAAAGAATAACAAACCCTTGAGAACTGTTTGCAGGTCTATTGCTGGAGGAAGGATGGAAGTCAGGAGACGATATGAGTGGTATGGTTGTAAGTTTTAAAACGTTTACATATATGTGGAAAAGGAGCTGACACTTTATAGAACTTTGCATTTTTTGGTATTTTTATGAGATTTTTGAATAGTAAACACATGGCTTTTGTCATCATAAACAAGTTGCTGCTAAATAAACAAAGAATAAATTAAAATGAATAACATGCTACGAGGGATCGCTAACATATTCTCTGCTCTTATGCTGTGCCAGGTCCCGGGCACCTCTGCTATAGGTGTTATCTCATTTAATCTTCACAACACCCTCTGCCATGGCTACTATTTTTTCATTTCTGTTTTATAAATGAGGAAACTGACATTTAGGAAGTGAAGTAACTTGCCTAGAGCTACACAGTTAGGAAGTTGTATTAGTCTGCTAGGGCTGCCTTATTAAAATATCACAGACTGGGTGGCTTAAACAACAAAAATTAATTTTCTCACAGTTCTGGAAACTGGAAGTCTAAGATCAAGGTGTTGGCAATGCTGGTTTCTCCTGAAGCCTTTCTTTTTGGTTAGTAAAAAGAAATAATAACGAATACCTTCTCGCTGAGCCCTCACATAGCATTTTCTCTGTACATATACATACCTGGTGGCTTTGTGCGAAATTTCCTTTTCTTAAAAGGGCACCAGTCAGATTGGATTAGGATCCGCCCTAATGGCCTCATTTTAATTTAGTTACTTCTTTAAAAGCTCTTCCTCCAAATACAGTCACATTCTGAGATATTGGGAATTGGTGCTTCAATTTATGACTTTTGGGGAGTGGGCAGGACACAATTCAGCCCATACCAGAAGTGGAGTTGCTAAACCATAGGGAAATCTTGTTGAAGACTTTTATTCCGTTCAACCCGAGAAGTAGCATCTCATTCTCTCACGGGGCACTTAAGGGCTCACCTCTGGAAGATGGGGAACTGAACTTGGGTTCTCTGGTCTCCTCCCCAGTGCTTGGTAGCAACAGCATGGCCACCCAGGGCACCCCTCAGCCAGCGTGCCCACCTCCACTCTCCACACTGGCAGAGGACTTGCTGCCTGTGGTTGGAGGACGTGGATGAGGGAGTAGCTGGGAGGATGAACAGGGAATAATGACAACAGCTATTGTTTACTGACTCCTCCCCAAGTGTGCCAGCCACTCTGCCAATGTCACTTCCAATCTTCAGAGCAGTCCTATGAGGTAGGTATTACAGTTGCATCATCTGGGATTTTCTGATTGAAAATGACAGAAAAACCAACCAGGACTAATTTAAGCAAAACAAGGAATATATCAGCTATTGGTGCATAATCAACCACCCCAAAATGCAATGTTTAAAACAGTAAGTATTTATTCTCCAAAAATTAGCCGGGGGCGGTGGCATGAGCCTGTAGTCCTAGCTAGTCAGGAGGCTGAGGCAGGTAAATCGCTTGAATCAGGAGGCGAGGTTGCAGTGAGCCGAGATTGTGCCACTTCACTCCAGCCTGGGTGACAGAGCGAGACTCCATCTCAAAACAAAAAACAAAAACAGTTAAGTATTTATTCTTGGTCATGAATCTACAGCGAGCTGGGTGGTTCTTGTGGTTTCCCTGGGTTCAGCCTCTGTGGTCAGCTCTGCTGTTTTTGGCTGAACTCTCCCGTGCATTTCCAGCTAGCAGACTGTAGGTTGGTCCAGGATGGCCTTGGCTGGGACAACTGGGTCTCCACACCTCTGGCAAGCTAGCTCAGGCTTGTTCACAGGTCCAAGAGAGCCAACATAAGTGTGCAAAGCTCTTTGAAGGGCATGCTCAGAACTGGCCCTCCATCACTTCTGCCACCTTCTATTGGCCAAAGCAAATCACAACAGCAACCCAAATTTAGGGAGGAAGGAAATAAATCCCACCTTTTGATAAGAATTGCTGTAAAGCCATATTGCAAGAAGGCGGGAGAACACAGAGAGGATTGGAGAAAGGAGGCCTTTTTTGTGATTCATCTTCCACAGGGAATTTATTAGTCTGTGTATCTATCTGGAAAGGCAAAAGAATCTGGCTTCTGGTACAGCTTAATGCAGACACTCAAATAATATTGCCATCTCCTGGCATGGCTCTGCTCCGTGGGTTGCTGTGTTCTCAAAAATGCCCATTCCTGAACCAGTCACTGTGGGAGGGAGCAGGTAGTGTGAGGGAAGTGCTCAGTACCTTAGTCCCTGAGCCAAGGATAAGCTTACCCCCAACTCATATAGGATGAGAGCAGGAGAGGAAGGGACCTCGACAGGAAACTAGGGATACCAGGTGGAAGGTGGAAGGCTGCTGGGCAAAGCATGGATGTCTGCTACAATTGTTACTTCTACTTTACAGAGGAGAAAACCATGGCTGGGAGAGTTAAGTGCCTTGAGCGAGGTGATTCAGTGTTGGAAAAGGGCATTAATCCATGTCTGTGTCACCCTCCTTGGAGCCTGCACACTTTCCACAACTCCTGGCTGCCTCTGGATCCAGAGAGAGAAGAACATTCATTACACAGGCTGCTTGCTAACTCCCCTCGCCAACTTTGGGTCATCTCCCTGCTCTGACCTCAGAAGGCAGCATCCAAGATGAGGAAGGGGCTCGAAGCCACGTCACTTGGGGAACTGCTGAGGCACTGGGGCTGGATGGTTTGGAGAAGACTCAGGGGGCTGAGAGCTGCCCCAGCATCTGAGCAGCTTCCTAAGAGCCCACACAGCTGCCAAGGGCAGAACTGGGGCCAAGGAAAACAAATGGACCGTAAGGACCCTCTCAGGGTGGAGGGGGTAAGAGGGGAAGGGTAACTGGGAGAAAGAAGAGGAAGGAGGGAATGAGGAGGGGAGGGACAAGCAGGGGCCCACTGGGTACCCTCGAACTTGCCCAGATGATTTCCAGGGGATCTTGTGCACCAGATCCACAAGGTCAACTGTGTGATGCGGGATTTTCAGACAGTGACTTGGCCAAGTCACAAAACCCAGACAGGAATCGCCTCCCCCTCATCCTCCCTCGCCATTCCAGGAGGCATCTCCTAAGTTCCAACCCAAATGGCCTCTGTTGGAGCCCCAGCGACAAGAAAGGAGAGTGGCAAGACCACAGCCTTTGCCTTGGTCAGAGCAGGGTTCGAGTGTCCTTCTCTGTCACTCCTCAGCTATGTAATAGGGAACAGGGTGCTTTACTTCCCTGAGTCTCTGATTCCTCCTCTGAAAATGGGAAAAACCCCAACCTCCCAGGGCTGTTGTGGGAACCCAGTGAGCTAACATGTGCCAAGTGCCTGCACTGAGTGCGAGCCCAGCACATCCTGAATATGGTGCATATGCAGCCCCTCAGGTTCCTACCCACCTCAGGCCCTGCACAGCGCCCCCCGCTGACTCAGAAATAGGTTCCAGGTGCCACAGACAGGAAACACGGGGCCCTGAGGGCTCCCTCCCCAGGCCCCTCTCAGCCTGCCCCTCTCTGTTCCTCCCCTCGCCTCCTGGTGCCCACCGACACACAGATCTCTTTCACCTCCAACTGCAAGAACCCGGCAGCTGATTTAGGAGTGCGCTCAGGGCCCAGAATGTAAACCGTTTCTCACCAGGAATGTGTAAACAACCCATAAAGCAAAGGATTTGGGGCCTGGTCACGTGGCCCAGCTGCCCATAAAACCAAAGCATTGATCTCCGCTCTCCAGCAAGCCTCTAAGCCACGGGAATGATGGAGGGGGTGCGTCTTGGAAACCTGTAATCTTCCACCATACATCTCAGGTGGCATGTTTGAAGTCCTAGGATGAGTTATTTATATTATTTTTGCAACATGTACTGAAAGGGCATTAGCCAAAACTCCTGGCAATGGGGCTTACAGGGGCCTGGCCACTTAAAAAAATAGGGCGGACCAACGGGTCCCCCTAGCAAGTAACTCATGAGGTGGATTTTCTTTGGGTAGCCAGATAATCAAAGCCAGATCATCTTGCCCAGACTTCCCCAAATCCGGGTTGTTCAAGGATCACCTTCCCAACTTCTGCCGTATTGGTGTACCGCTTGATCTGTTATTCACTTCATGCTTTTTATTTTAAATCGCTACTTTTTACTTGGCTTCATTCCAAACAATATCCACAAAATCACATGTTTGCTATCTTAGTTTTATTTTTTCTCTTATACGTTAAAATCTATTCATAATTTTAAATAACAAATATTCACCTTGTACCACGAAAAATCATCTAGCTTACACCAGTGAGCCATACTTCAGGAAACGCTGACCTAGTCAATCACACTCATTGTACAAATTAGGAAACCGAGGCCCATAGAAGAAGGATCTTATCCAATGTCACTCAGCTATTGAGGGGCAGACTGGGAGCAGAAGGGATTCAGAACAGCTACCTATTTATTAAGCATTTACTTGTGCATGTTTCCTGATTCACATAACAATGAGCTAGTGTCTGTCACTGTCCCAGTTTTGCAGATGAGAGAAGTGAAGCCCAGAGAGGTTAAGTGGTTTGTCCAAGGTCACACAGCTAGTCAGTGGCTGAACCAGCATTTTTTTTTTTTTAAATAGGAAGAAGTGAAAGTTGTTTTTATTATTCATATATTACCAAGCAGGCATCTGATGACCTGTGGAATTAGAAGTACCCAGCAGACATTTGCAAGGGGTAGGCACACAGGTCAGCAGATCTAAATGGCAGTGATCTTCCTTTAGATTCTTTTCTACTGAGGTGAACTGCTCAAAAGACAGGGATGCCTTTAGTCCAGGCTAACCACTGTAGCCTCTATTCAATTAACACAGGAAGAAAGACCCTCCTTCCTTCCACCACTGGGACTCAACAGTGTACATTTCCAATCTTAATAGAGCAAAGCCAGGCTTCTGCATTGATGACTGAGGTAGAGGGACAGGAGTGGTCCAGGGTTCTCAAAACACTGATGTTCTGTATTTTTCCAGACTTCCATACGATTGTCTGCCCCAGACTGTAGGAAATGCTGGTTCACTTGCTGAACAGAGTGTCTGTTCAGCAAATTAACCAACATTTTAACTTAGGTGTGCCTGACTTCAAAATCTGGTCGTTTCTGATTTATTTATTTATTTATTTATCTTTCAATAATTTTTGTTTTATACTTTATTTTTATTTATTTATTTTTAATGGGGACAGAGTCTTGCTCTACTGTGCAGGCTAGACTGCAGTGGCATGATCTCAGTTCATTGCAACTTCCCCCTCCCGGGCTCAAGCAATTCTCCTGCCTCAGCCTCCTGAGTAGCTGGGATTATAGGCACAGGTCATCATGCCTGGCTAATTTTTGCATTTTTAGTAGAGACAGGGTTTCGCCATGTTGACCAGGCTGGTCTGGAACTCCTGACCTCAAGTGATCCTCCTGCCTTGGTCTCCCAAAGTGCTAGGATTATGGATGTGGGCCGCTGTACCAGGCCTGATTGATTGATTGACTGATTGATTGATTTTTGAGATGGAGTCTCACCCTGTTGCCCAGGGTGGAGTGCTATGGTGTGATATCGTCTCACAGCAAACTCTGCCTCCTGGGTTCAAGCAATTCTCCTGTCTCAGCCTCCCAAGTAGCTGAGACTACAGGCACACACCACCACACCTGGCTAATTTTTGTATTTTTAGTAAAGATGGGGTTTCACCATATTGGTCAGGCTGGTCTCGAACTCCTGACCTCAGGAGATCCACTCACCTCAGCCACCCAAAGTGCTGGGATTATAGGTGTGAGCCACCGTACCCAGCTGGCTTATTTATTTTTAAAAATAGGGACAGGGTCTTGCTCTGTTGCCTAGGCTGGAATGCAGTGGCACGATCATAGCTCACTGCAGCTTCAAACCACTGGGCTCAAAGGGTCCTCCTGCCTTGACCTCCTAAAGTGCTGGGGTTACAGGTGGAAGCCACTGAGTTGGCCCCAAAGTCTCACTCTTAATTTCCCAAGAGAAAGAGGGAGGAGAGAGGAAGGAAGGAATGGGATGTTTATTTATTTATTCTGGAGAGTAGGTAGAGGGTGGGACTCAATTGGAAAGAATGGGATTTTTTTTAAGTGCTAGCAACTTTTACTTCCATTGCAGTATCCTTCTCTGCTTACCCACTGAGTGTCCTTGTCCCATAAAATTCTCACCATAGCCTAGAGCTGCCACAAAGAACAGTGTGTCTCACTCCCAAAGCCCTGGGCACACAAATGGACAATTCCAGGATTCCAGTGTGATGTTACCAAAGGAAACCCTCCACCACTCATACCCTTAGTGGAACCTGCAGAGCTGTGGTTATGGACACTGGGCTTATACTTGGGAAAGTTGGGTTTGGGATCAGCCAACCTAAAATCAAATCCCAGCTCCTCTGCTCCCTAATTAAGTAAACTGGGCAAGCCACTCAACCTTGCTCATCCTCAATAATGTCGTACTTACCTCATAGGATTCTAGTGAGAGTTTAAATCACTACTACATGTAAGGTGCTTAGCACAGTGCCTGGGACACATGCTTAATATTCTCTATAAAGATAAAAGAGGGAGGGACAGTGAGAAACAATGCCCGTCTCCCGCAGGACCCTGCAGCAGATCTACAGCCACCACACGGGTGGCAGCACAGGGCTATGGATCAAGGACACTGAGGGATGGAGGGAAAAGCATGGGCAGAAGAGCTAGTCCTGAATCCAGCTTGGAGCAGGAGGCCAGGGCCCCAGATGACGCTGGCTGCCCCTGCTCTTCTCCAACTTGATTACAATTCTCCAGCACAATGTACCGAGAATGCAACATCTTGAAATAAAGAGAAAATGTCTGCAACAATCTGGGTTATTACCCCATTCCTGGAAGAACAGGATGTTCTGTAATGCTTGACTAAATGATCCCAGTTGCTCCCAGGGTAGAAACCCAGAGTGGAGCACGTTCAAGGTCTCTGAGCTCGGGTGTGACGTGCGGCTTGCACAGATAGGGGACCATTGACCCTGGGCAGCTTACCTGAACCCTGGGGGACTTGCTCCCTGTGTGTCCTAGGTTTTTATTTATCCTTGTTGCCTACCTGTGAGTAATAAAGTTTTTTTTTTCTTTTTTTTTTGAGATGAAGTCTTGCTCTGTTGCCCAGGCTGGAGTGCAGTGGCATGATCTCGGCTCACTGCAAGCTCCACCTCCCGAGTTCATGCCATTCTTCTGCCTCAGCCTCCCGAGTAGCTGGGACTACAGGCGCCCACCACCACACCTGGCTAATTTTTTTGTATTTTTAGTAGAGACGGGGTTTCACCGTGTTAGCCAGGATGATCTCAATCTCCTGACCTCCTAATCTGCCCGCCTCGGCCTCCCAAAGTGCTGGGATTACAGGCGTGAGCCACAGCGCCCTGCCAATAAAGTTATTTTGCCTGATTTGTGGTTGTCTTCTGTCTCACCAGATGAGAACTAGGAGCTTTTACACTTGGCCATAGAGGAGCCCACATTATTGTGATGGTCACATGGATTTGCTGAGTCTCTTCTCTCAATTACCAAAGGGGGATCACCTGGGCCCAAATTTATTTATTTACCTACTTATTTTTTAGCTTTATTGAGGTACAATTGATAAAAATTGTACATATTTAAAAGTGCACAACTTGATGTTTTGATATACATATAGATAGTGAAATGATCACCACGATCAAGCTAAGTAACATATCCGTCACCTCACATAATTACTTTTTGCGTGTGTGGTGAGAATACTTAAAACCTACCTTCTAAGAAAATTTCAAGTAACCAATACAGTACTGTTAACTCTAGTCACTGCTGTACCTTGGATCTCCAGAACTTATGCATCTTGTGCAACTGGAACTTCATACCCTTTGAACAACCTCTCCTTGTTACCCCTAGCCCCTAACTCCTGGAAAGCACCATTCCACTCTGTGCTTCTATGAATTCAACTATTTTAGATTCCACATATACGTGAGGTCCTGCAAACCATATATTTCATAAGGGGCTAATATCCCAAACATATAAGGAACTCAAACTGCACAATAGCACAAAACAATAAGAACAACAACAGATAATCTGATTTAAACGCTGGGCAAAGGGCCTGAATAGACATTTTTTCAAAAGAAGAACATATGAATGGCCAACAGCTCTATGAAAAGATGCTCAGCATCACTCATCATCAGGGAAATGCAAACCAAAACCACAGTGAGATATCATCTCCTACCTGTTAGAAAGGCTATCATCAAAAAGACAAAAGATAACAAGTGTTGGCAAGGATGTGGAGTAAAGGGAACACTTGTACTCTCTTGGTGGGAATGCAAATTGATACAGCCATTATGGAAAACAGTATGGAGGTTTCTCAAAAAATTAAGAATAGAACTACCACATGATCTGGCAATCCCGCTTGTGGGTATAAGTGTAAAGGACTTGAAATCAGTATCACAAAGAGATGTCTGCACTCCCGTGTTTACTGCAGCATTATTCACAATAGCCAAGATACTAGAACAACCTAAATGTTGCTTCCAACAACATTTGTTTTTATTCAACAAATGGATGAATAAATATAATGTGGAGAGAGAGAGTGTGTGTGTGTGTGTGTGTGTGCATAAAAACAGGAGATCCTACCACTTGGGACAACATAGATAAACCAGAAGGAAATTATGCTAAGTGAAATAAACCAGGACCCCAAATTTATTTATTTATTTATTTATTTATTTATTTATTTATTTATTAGAGATGGAGTCTCACTCTGTTGCCCAGGCTGGAGTGCAGTGGCACAATCTCATCTCACTGCAACCTCCGCCTCCTGGGTTCAAGCGATTTCCAAGTAATTTTTATATTTTTAGTAGAGACGGGGTTTCACCATGTTGGGCAGGCTCGTCTCAAACTCCTGACCTCAAGTGATCCACCATCCTTGGCCTCCCAAAGTGTTAGGATTACAGGTGCGAGCCACCGTGCCTGGCCCCAAATTTAAATGAATATTTTTATGCTCATGGATTTGAGTCCTGGGCTTGTCAGGGCTCATGGTGCTGTCCAAGCTCACAGGGACCAACCTTTAATTTCACAAACTTGAGAACTCTGTGCACATGTGTGTGTGTGTGTGCGTGCGCACACACACACACACAGTTTCATACATAAGTGAGAGGCAGCTTTCTCATGTTTAGGGTTTTGATCTTAACTCTGCCATTATGACTGAAATTACTGACCTTGCTAAATCTCAGTATTTCTAATTGTAAAATGAACATAGTGAAATCTTCTTCTTAAAGAACTGTTTTGAATACTATATGGATAAAATCTATAAAGCACTTTCTACAGTGCCTCACACATGGTAAAGGCTCAACACATAAGGCTAATACGCAATTCCTTGTTTCTGAGAAAAAACTTCATGGCCCGATTCAGGAAATTGATACTGAGAAATGCTTGTTGGGTTCTTGAACAGAGGAAAATAAAAATGTGAACCTTACCAAGTCCATTGCTGAAATCCACTGAATTGCTAAATAAATATTAGCTGCGACATTAGATTGGTTGTACTTCCTCATTCAACACACATTTCTTTGAGTGCCAACCAAGTAAAGGCACGATGCTGGCTCTTGGGCAGTAAGACTAAAGACCCTGGTGTGCTCAAGCTGCAACTTGCAAACACTCCTAGTCTAGAGGGGAAGATCACAAACAACCAAGTGTACAGCAGGAAGCATACAGGGCCCTGTTACTAGCTCTGTAAGTGTTAAGAAGGTGCTCAGGAAAACATAAATTATTCCACCCAGCAGGATCCAGTAAGCAGGAAGGCAGCCTTTTGAGTTGATTCTTTAAAAATGGGAAGAATTTCCTTTTTAAAAAGACAAATTGCCCAGTCTGCATATCCAAATTCCACCCATTGGCCTAGCGTGGTGGCTTACGCCTGAAATCTCAGCAATTTGGGAGACCGAGGCAGGTGGATCACCTGAGGTCAGGAGTTCAAGACCAGCCTGGCCAACATGGCGAAACCCTGTCTCTACTAAAAAATACAAAAATCAGCCGGGCATGGTGGTGGGCGCCTGTAATCCCAGCTACTCAGGAGGCTGAGGCAGGGAGGAGTGCTTGAACCCAGGAGGCAGAGGTGGCAGTGAGCCGAGATAGAGCCATTGCACTCCAGCATAGGAGACAGAGCGAAACTTGGTCTCAAAAGAAAAAAAAAAAAAGAAAAAGAAAGAAAGAAAAAGCAAAAACAAAAAAACAAATTCTACCCATCCTTCAAAAGCCACTTCCTCCCAAAAGCCCTTCCAGGAGCACTCCTAAGTGGAAGTGTCCCTTCCCTCCTCTTTTCACATCATTTTGAAGCCCTTTATCTGCCCAGCGTGTAGGGCTCTTATCACCTACTTGTATTTCTGTGGCTCTTTTTCCTACCTGTCATTTTAATGACAACTCCCTGAGGGCCTTTCTTGCACACAGTGAGCACTAAATAGCTGAGCCAAACTGAATGGAAAGCTGTGTTCTGATGGCCAAAGGCGGGGCCTTGGGTGCCTGGGATGGAGTTCCTGCCTGCACACGCTCTAGTCACAGGCTCCTCTAACAGCAGTCCAGCTCTGCAAGAACAAAGAATATGTGTGTACATGTGAGCTACGGCACCCAACTAACCCTGAACCGTCTCTGCAACCTCACCCTGCCCTGATTATCTCAACACGCGGGTCCCCAGCCTCCCCTGGCTGAACCCACTGAACACGTGGTCTGTAGGGTTACCACGAGATCACGCCAGGTGGGCTCTGCCCTTTAGGTTACTTGGGGGTTAAAGTGGGTGATGGGCACATTCTTTGGTAGGCATTTTATATTCTTCGCTTCATCCTCACAGCATCTCGAAATAGGTGGTATCATCTTACCTCATTTACAGATGAGGGAAAGTAAGAATTCAAAATCACCCCATTAGTAACCTGGGAATCATCTTTGATTCTTCCCTTCCTCCCACTGCCCGCAAACCGACCCATTCCCTATCCTGACCATTTTTATCTGTGGAGTGTTTCTCAAATCCATAATTTTCTCTCCATGCTACTACCACCAGCCCAATCCAAGCCACCATTCCCTCTTGCCTGTGTAAACACCATAACTTCCCAACTGGTCTCCCTGTCACCACTCTGACCTCAGTACTGTAGCCAATGACTTTTTGGCTGAAAATATTTTCAGCTGGGGACAGTGGCTTGCGCCTGTAGTACCAGCTATTCTGGAGGCTGAGGAGGAAGATGGCTTGAGCACAGAAGTTCGAGGCTGTAGTGAGCTATGGTCACTGTACTCCAGCCTGGGCAACAGAGTGAGACCCTGTCCCTAAAAAATAAAAATTAGGCTGGGCACGGTGGCTCACGCCTGTAATCCCAGCACTTTGGGAGGCTGAGGCAGGCAGATCACCTGAGGTTGTTAGTTCGAGACCAGCCTGGCCAACATGGTGAAACCCCGTCTCTACTAAGAATACAAAACTAGCTGGGTGTGGTGGCGGGCACCTGTAATCTAAACTACTCGGGAGGGTGAGGCAGGAGAATAGCTTGAACCTGGGAGGCGGAGGTTGCGGTGAGCCAAGATTGTGCCACAGCACTCTAGCCTGGGCAACAGAGCGAGACTGTGCCTCAAAAAAAATAATAAAATAAAATAAAAATAAATAAATTAAAATAAAATAAAAATTTTTAAAGTTTCAGTGTAATTTGTTTATACATATACCTACAATACATGCATGCATATCCATAAATACAATTTTACACAAATGCCTAAAAATGATCAGAAATACCCTTTATTTAGTCAGTACAGTTTTCTTTCTTTTCTTTTTGGTTTGGCTCCTCCTTTTCCACCCCCTCGCCTCACACAGCAACCCACACTCATGCCAACGACCTGCTGTGTGTCATTCCATGTTTTTATCTGTACTCATTCAATCCTGAGCACATATTTGTATGCACATTTACACATACAGAATTTACTCATTATTGCTTCTTTTTTTAAAATGGGACCATCCTATAAAAACATTTAAAACAATATTATAGTTTTCTGCATCTTACCTTCTTCACCCAACAACACTTCATAGACATCTTTCCAAGTCATCGAGTATAGCTCTAATTCTTTCTTTTTAATGGCTGCATAATATTTCACTGTGTGGATGTATCAGTGTATTCAGTCACCATCTTGTTTTTATTTTTGTTGTTCTGAGACAGAGTCTCACTCTATCACCCAGGCTGGAGTACAGTTGTGCAATCACCCCCTCACTGAAGCCTTGAACTCCTGGGCTCAAGGGATCCTCCCATCTCAGCCTCCTGAGTAGCTGGGACTATAAGAGAGTGCCATTAGACCTGGCTAATTTTTTTTTAAGAGATGGGGTCTCACTATGTTGCCCAGGCTGGTCTTGAACTCCTGGATTCAAGCAATCTTCCCACCCCAGCCTCCCAAAGTGCTGGGATTACAAACATGAGCCACCATGCCCAGCCTGGTCATCTCTTTGTTGATGGTCATTGTCTGCTTTCATTTTTTTGCCATTGGGAGCAATGTGGCACTATTAGGTAGAGTTCTTAGAGGCAGCAGAAGCTGATGCTGTTTAATTGACCTGGAGGCTCAGTTGCTAGGACCAAAGCCCTAAACCATGCCACAGAACAGCCTGATAAGCTCACTGGCTTTGGTCTCACGAAGCTCTCTCCTGCTCCACCCATGCCACCTCTACACCTGGAATTCCACCTTGCAGTCCCTGGGAAACTGCCTCTGGTGCTGCAGCCACCAGAACTGGACTCTTGTCTGGTCCCATGTTAACACAAAATGGGAGAAGTCTCACAGGATGCATCTAATTGGCAGAGCCTGCTGGAATGGCCACATCCTAGCTGCAAAAGAGGCTGGAATGTCAATGGAAATTCTTGAACTGAGGAGGTGATTTCCCCAATTATAAAGAAAGGCTATTCAAAAGATGATGGGCAGCTATGAATATGGCAGTATCTACTGCAATTTTGCTGTACATAAGTCTTTCTTTATTGGGGCATTTTTTATATATATATATTTTTTTAAATTTTTTGAGATGGAGTCTCACTCTGTCACCCAGGCTGGAATGCAGTGGCACGATCTTGGTTCACTGCAACCTCTGCCTCCTGGGTTCAAGTGATTCTCCTGCCTCAGCCTCCTGAGTAGCTGGGATTACAGGCCTGCACCACCACACCTGGCTAATTTTTGTATTTTTAGTAGACATGTGATTTCACCATGTTGGTCTGGCTGGTCTCGAACTCCTGACCTCAGGTGATCTGCCTGCCTCAGCCTCCCGAAGTGCTGGGATTACAGGCATGAGCCACCTCGCTCAGCCAAGGGGTCTTTATTTTTGTGGGGTAGGTTTGCAGGAGTTGAATGGCTGCTTTCCAAAATGTCTGTAACATTGCACGTTTCCACCAGCAATATGTGGGAGTACCACTTTCTTTACCTCCCCACCAGCCATAGGTGTGAGAGCTCTGTCAGATATAAAACTTGATCACGGCTGGGCTCGGTGGCTCACGCCTGTAATCTCAGCACTTTGGGAGGCCAAGGCAGGTGGATTACCTGAGGTCAGGAGTTCAAGACCAGCCTGGCCAACATGGTGAAACCCCATTTCTACTAAAAAACATATATAAAAATTAGCCAGGCATGATGGCACACGCCTGTAAACCCAGCTACTTGGGAGGCTGAGGCAGGAGAATTGCTTGAGCCTGGGACGGGGAGGTTGCAGTGAGCCGAGATTGTGCCACTGCACTCCAGTCTGGCTGACAGAGCAAGACTCTGTCTCAAACAAACAAACAAACAAACAAACAAACTTGATCACTTTGCTGACTGTTAATATAACAGTATATAACTGTTAATATAAATTTGAGTATATTTTTCATGTTTTTGGTCGTTCCGTTGACTGTCTAGTTATCACCTTTACCCATTTTTCTGTTGTGATGGCTTCTCCTTTCAGGCTGCATGCTGGATGTCTTCCATCTGTCCTTCCAGATCAGGCTCTGCTTTCTCCATCTGCTATGTGCCTCTTATCCCATACGGACTGTATAGCCAGCTTCTGGTTGGGTTTGGCCAGTGTGAGGCACACCTGAAGATCACTGGGCAAGAGGAAAGAGAGATTGGGGTATTTACACCCAAGCCCTTTTCCTGCCCTTGATGGGCATCATAAATCGGCTTCATTCCTCTGCAGCTCCTGTCTTCTGGCCCTCCACCCGCCATATAGTCTTTTCCAGGCTCTGAAAACTCCTTGATATCCCAACTCCTTTTGGCCTTGGTGGAAATTATTTCCTTCTGATACCAGCTCTGCGGTTGTGCAGGTCCCTGGATGCATTTGTTAAACCCTGCACACCCCTCTGTATTGTCCCTTCATTATATTGCCTTAAACTACCCCAGTTGATCGTGCCACCTACCTCTTGCCAGGACTGTCGGTGACATAAGATAGGAAACTTTTCTCTGTCTTTAGTAGACAGTGCTATTTTTCAAACTCTAGTGTTTGCCCACTGAGTTTGTTTTTAGTATCTTTTGCCATACTAAAGATTTGATTTATAAATATATAGTCAAATTTAATTTTTAAGTAATCTCTCTTTTCTTTTCTTTTCTTTTCTTTTTTTTTTTTTTTTTTGAGACGGAGTCTCTATTTCCCAGGATGGAGTGCAGTGGCACGATCTCGTCTCGCTACAACCTCCGCCTCCCAGGTTCAAGTGATTCTTCTGCCTCAGCCTCCTGTTTAGCTGGGGTTACAGGCATGCGCCACCATGCCCAGCTCATTTTTGTATTTTTAGTAGAGACGGGGTTTTGCCATTTTGGCCAGGTTGGTCTCAAACTCCTGCCACCCTCCTCGGCCTTTCAAAGTGCTGGGATTACGAACGTGAGCCACCGCCTTTTTTTTTTTTTTTTTTTTTTTTTTTGAGATGGAGTCTCGCTCTGTCGCCCAGGCTGGAGTGCAGTGGCGTGATCTTGGTTCACTGCAACCTCCACCTCCCAGATTCAAGAGATTCTCCTGCCTCAGCCTCCTGAGTAGCTGGGATTACAGGCACCCACCACCACGCCCAGTTAATTTTGTATTTTTAGTGGAGACGGGGTTTCACCATGTTGGCCAGGCTGGTCTCAAACTTCTGACCTGAGGTGATCCGCCCACCTCAGCCTCCCAAAGTGCTGGGATTATAGGCATAAGCCACTGCACCAGGCCAATCTCGCTTTTCTTTGACAAATAAGGTCTTCCCAACCTCTAGACCAGAAGTTGGGAAATTTTTGCATAAAAATCCAGCAAGTAACTATTTCAGGCTTTGAGGGGTGTATGGTATGGTCTCTGTCATAACCACTCAACTCTGGCATCATGACACAAAAGCAGCCATAAATATGCCAACGAATGTGCTTGAATAAAACATTGTTTATAAAAATAGGCAGGCAGAAGGCCGGGCGTGGTAGCTCATGCCTTTAATCCCACCACTTTGGGAGGCTGAGGCAGGCAGGTCAAGAGGTCAGGAGTTTGAGACCAGCCTGGCCAACATGGTGAAAACCCATCTCTACTAAAAATACAAACAAAAAAATTAGCTGGGTGTGGTGGCGGGTACCTGTAATCGCAGCTACTCAGGAGGCTGGGGCAGGAGAATCTCTTGAACCTGGGAGGCGGAGGTTGCAGTGAGCCGAGATCGTGCCACCGCCCTCCAGCACAGGCAACAGTGCGAGATTCTGTCTCAAAAAAAAAAAAAAAAAAAAAAAATAGGCAGCAGCAATTCTACTTCTAGGTAAATGCCCAAGAAAAATGGCAGCATAGTTCACACAAATACTGGTACCTGAATGTTCATAGCAGCACTAATCATAATAGCCAAAAGGAGGAAACAAACTAAATGTCCATCAATGGATGAATGGATACGCAAAATGTGGGATATCCATAAAATGGAATATTATTCATCCATGAAAAGGAGTGAAGTTCTGATACTTGCTACAACATGGATGAATCTTGAAAACATGCTAAGAGAAAAAAGAACAGTTGCAGATGATCACTTATAATATGACTCTGTTCATATGAAATGTCCAGGATTGGCAGATCTATAGAAACAGAAAGTAGATTGGTGGTTGCCTAGGGCTGGGGAGGATAGGGAATGGGGGTTGATAGCTAAGAGGTATGGAGTTTCTTTCTGAAGTGATGAAAATGTTCTACAATTGACTTTGGTGATGGTTGCATGTATCTAAGAATATACTAAAAATCATTGACCTGTATACTTCAAGTGAGTGAATTATATGGTATGTGCATTATATTTTAATAAAACTGTTTTTTTTTTTAAGTCAGCCAGCCAGCTGGATGGGGCCCATGTGCTGTAGTTTGCTGGCCCCTGCTCTATGTTAAACATACAGTGTCCTAGAATATCTTACATTATTTTGTATTATTTTAATTCTTACATTTACATTTTTGATCTATCTGAAATTTTGGATTTTGTGGGTTTTTTTTTGACATTTTAATGACTCATGGTAGGCAAGCTTTATTTATTTATTTTTCCAAGTTTTTTTTTTAATATACTTTAAGTTCTAGGGTACATGTGCACAACGTGCAGGTTTGTTACATAGGTATACATGTGCCATGTTGGTGTGCTGCACCTGTTAACTCGTCATTTACATTAGGTGTATCTCCTAATGCTATCCTTCCCCCCTCCCACCACCCGATTTTGTGGTTTAAGATGAGGGTTCATTTTATTTATTCCAGAGGGTTACATTATCAGGCCAGCACCATTTGTGAAATAAACTATCCTTTTTCCACTGTGATGAGATACTTCTTTTGTCAAATGCTAACATCTATATCCTGAGATCTAATTCTGGATTATTTATCCTGTTCCACAGATCTATTTGTCTATGCCTTTCTAATATCACAACGATCTGATTTTAGTGACTTCATTGCATGTTCTGGTTTCTGTAAAGGAAGTCCCCCCTCATGTTCCTTTCTTTCACACTTGACTTGCAGCCAGTGAGCTTATCAAAATGGATATCACTCCCTGCTTAAAAGCCTTTAATGGATTCCCATTGCTCTAACAATTATGGCCCAAATTCTAATGGGCCCGTGAGCTCTGCCTGCTTGGTCCTGCCCAGCTCTCCAGCTTCTCTTGGCTGAGCACGCCTCACCTGGTACTCTGTACTGCAGCCACGCTGATGTTTCTCAAGTGCTCCCGCTCCATCCAGCCCCAGGACCTTTGCATAGGCTGTTTCCTCTGCCTGGGATGCTTTTACTTTCCCTTTGCCAAGTTAACCTCCCCTCTTTCTTCAACATCAGCTTGATCATCATTCCTGGGGGATGATGGCTATGCTGACCTCCCTGACCAGAACAATTCTCTGTCCCTACATTGGGAACCAATGTGTTGCACTTACTGCACTTACATTACATTTATCTGTATAATATTTTGACCAATGCCTGCCTCCTTCAGCTCCCCATTGCCCTCCCAGTAATTAGCACTGTGTCACACCCATGGTAGGTACTCCAAAAAATTTGAAGGAGTGAATAAGCAGGTAGAGACTGAATTCAGGCACCTGTCTCTCTGTTCCCAAATCTATTCTCTTCCCTTCATCATGCTGTGTACTGCTCTGGAGCAAGCCCTGCATGGGACCTTAGAAGACCTGGGTTCTAGGCTCAGCTCTGCCTGTAATTGAGGCAGTTCCCTAAATCTGGTCTCCAAGTGCCTCTAGTGAGTCTCACAAACACCCTGGGAGGCAGTCGGTGAAGGGATACATTTCCCTCTGATTTCACAGTTGAGGAATCAGAAAGAGGCTAGGGATGAAGTGACTTGCCGGAGGTCACACAGTCAGTCAGAATCAGAGCCCAGAGCCCTGCCCTCCAGGCCCCTACATCAGTGCTCATCTTGAAAGAACCTGTTCCCTGGTTGGGTTTCCCCATTTATGAGATGGTGAAGAGGGGTTTGGATGGGATGGTGTCAACGGTGTTTCACAAGCCTCAGGCACCCTAGGCTTTGCCATATCTGAGTTCCATCTGTATTACTAGTTACTTAAAATTTTTATTTAAAGGCCTCCTAGGGGAAAAAAAACCTTTATTACCTTTATCTTTTAATTTATTTTTTGAAAAGAAGCTTCTAAAAATGAAGAAAACTTGTATTACTTCTGTCATTCTATTGTAACCACCCCTGGTCAGTTGCATTTTTATCTAAGACATATTTGTGTTAGTTTGTTCTCACACTGCTATAAAGAACTGCCCAAGACTGGGTAATTTATTTAAAAAAAAAAAAAGAGGTTTAACTGAGTCACGGTTCCACATGGCTGGGGAGGCCTCAGGAAATCTACAATCATGGAGGAAGGGGAAGCAGTCACCTTCTTCACAAGGCGGCAGTAGAGAGAAGAGTGAGCAAGAGCAGGGAAAACTGCCTTATAAAACTATCGGATCTCATGAGAATTCACTCACTATCTATCACCAGAGCAGCAGGGGGAACCGCCTCCTTAATCCAATCACTTCCCACTAGGTCTCTCCCTAAACACCTGGGGATTACAATTCAAGATGAGATTTGGGTGGGGACACAGACCCAAACCATATCAACATTTGAGAATGGCTCACCTGGGAACTATTTCAAATCCTCTCAAGTTTCTGTGTTTGGAAACCCCGATCTGGGGGTGGTTGAGGTCGGGCACCCCTCCATGAAGCTGTCATTGGTTCGGTCAACAAATATCTGTTTAAAACCATGATGTGCAAAGCACCAGGCCACACCCTTCCACAACACGGTGGGGCAGGAGGGGGCCAGGCCTGTGATCGTCTTGAGAAGGTGTTGGGGGCTACAGTGTCTGACTATGTGTCTGTGTCAGAGCATGCCTATCTGTTGAGTGTGTCAAGGTTGATGTCTGTGTGTCTGTCTGTGTGAGAGTTTATGTGATTGTGTGAACACACTGGCATACAGGCCCTTTCCCCTGGGCTCCCACCACAGCCCTTCCTTCCCCGCCCAGTGCGGGGTCAGCTCATGTGACAGCCCTGGGTTGGGGCCTGCTTTCTCTCAGGGCCAGAGCTGTTGAGTGAGAGAGACAAGGCGGGCCACCAAGGTGGGCACTTCAGCCCCATCAGATCTCCTGGAGGTCAGCAAGCAAAGGGGGCCATCAGGAGTCCTCAGTGGGACTAAGCCACCCTGGGACCTAGAGTTCTGGAATATTCCTGATCCTTCTCATTCTACCAATGGGGAAATGGGCTTTGAAGGGGGAGGACTTGCCAGAGACATTGAATGTGCAAGTGGCAGGGCCAGGCTCAGGATTGTCATCGACCCCTCTGCAGCTTCTCCACAGGTTTCCAGGAAGCAGCCATGCACTGTCTACTGCAAAGGCAATTTGACATGAGGAGAAAACAAGAACTTTAAAATAATACAAATAAAAGCTAATGTGGGCCAGGCATGATGGCTCATGCCTGTACTCCCAGCACTTTGGGAGGCCAAGGCAGGCAGATTACCTGAGGTCAGGAGTTTGAGACCAGCCTGGCCAACATGGTGAAACCCCGTCTCTACTAAAAATACAAAAATTAGCCGGGCATGGTGACGCGCACCTGTAATCCCAGCTACTTGGAAAGCTGAGACAGGAGAATTGCTTAAACCCGGGAGGCGGAGGTTGCAGTGAGCTGAGATCGTGCCACTGCACTCCAGCCTGGGTGACAGAGTGAGATTCCATCTCCAAAAAAAAAAAAAAAAAAGCTAATGTGTGCAGAGCACTCTGATGTTAGGTACTGTTTTAAGCACTTTAAATTTACTAACACATTTAGTCCTCAGATAACTATGAGGTAGATGTGCATATTATCATTTCATTTTCCAGATAAAGAAAAAGCACGGCACAGAGAGGTTAACTAACTTGACCAGGATCACACAGCTGGTAAGCTGCCTTCATGACCAACATTCCACCTCAACATTAGGCAAAGAAGGGGCAGAGGGCCGTGGATAGAAAGACACCTTTCTTCAGCTGGGAGCGGTGGCTCATGCCTGTAATCCCAGCACTTTGGGAGGCTGAGGCGGGCGGATCACGAGGTCAAGAGATCAAGACCATCCTGAACAACATGATGAATCCCTGTCTCTACTAAAAATACAAAAATTAGCTGGGCTACTGAAGCTATATTCAGTAGGGACTTTCTCCTCCAGACAGCATGCACATTTTGATTTTACCTGTCCTCAGACTGACCCTTTGCTCATTATAATAGTAAAAACACACCCCTGGGTGGAGATTTAAGATGCTAATGAACTGTACAGGCTACGTATGAAAAAGTATGTGTGGCTACTGAGCATGTGCACCCAGAGACCACCCAGAACATGCTTACTATAATAGTAACACCTCTTCCTACCTCCTTATGAATAATGCTGGAAGATTCCTGTAAAGGGAGCTTCCCTAGTGCCAGTCTTGGCTGACTCATCCTCGTGAGCAGCCCACCCTGACCTTTCAAAATATTCTTTTTCTTTTTTTCTTTTCTCTTTTTTCAGACAGAGAAGAAAACCAGTGTGGCAAGGGGAGAGGGGTTGGGAGCTGGGGTCCCAGTGGCAGGCAGGGGCAAGATCCCACTTTATCTCCCAGGTCATTTTTAAGGAATCTGCTTTTTTTTTTTAGACAGAGTTTTGCTCTGTCGCCCAGCCTGCAGTGTAGTGGCATGATCTTGGCTTACTGCAACCTCCACTTCCCGGGTTTAAGCAATTCTTCTGCCTCAGCCTCCTGAGGAGCTGGCACGTGCCATCACAACCAGCTAATTTTTGATTTTTAGTAGAGATGGGGTTTCACCATGTTGGCCAGGCTGGTCTTGACCTCCCGATCTCAAGTGATCCACCTGCAAAATATCTTTTTATTTTTCGAGAAATTACTCTATGATTCACCTCCTTTGCTGGGTGTCTCTTGTTTAAATTCTTTTAAACTAAGAAGACAAGAACCGAGGTCTTATACAAGCCATCAACATAAAGGCACACAGTTAGTAAGGGGTCAAACAGGCACTCGAAGCCAGGCCCACATGCTCTGAAACCTGTGATCTTATCCGCTCAGCTCTCCTTCCTCAGTTATCTCTGCATCTCAAAACCATGTGCGAGGAAGACAAGGCACAAACACTGTCCCATTTTACAGAGAGGAAAGGGAGGCAGCCTGCTTGAGAGCACACAGCTGGTGAACACAGGGCCTGTGCTCAGAAACTCAGGTCCACCTGATTCCCTGGCCAGTGCCTCTTTTCTTTGTTCCTTCAGGAATATTCCAGAAAAGGCTCCAGTTCTATGGTTGTCTATGGTCAGCAATGCACTGCTGCCAGGGATTCTTTCTGAGCAAGATCTTATTTCTTATTTTACTGGAGCTTCCCACAAGCCTGTGAAGGTCAGAACATGCTCCATTTCACACAGGGGCAATCAGAGGTCCAGAGAGGGGAAGAGACTTCCCCAAGCCTTGGGCCAGGGTTCCTGTCTCTAAGTCCAGGGAGAGAGGCCCAGGGCAGGGTGTCCTGCAGGGACAGGCTCCAGCTAGCCAGGCTCTCTCTGCTCTGGGTGAAGTCATCGCCTTATCAGCTAATTGCCACCCTGAGGCCTAATCCTGCACTCAGCTGGAACCTTCGGGAATGGTTTCTCAGAGATGAGATGGGAGCTGTTATTGTCCAGATGAGAGGGCTGGGGGGCGGGCAGAGGGAGGGGGCAAGTTTACACTCATAATTCCCCTTGCAGCAGTTTCTCAAAAACCTCTGGAGGCAGAGACATTTCTGGGGCCTTTATGGGCAGGACTGAAGGTTTCTGCTGCTTTTCTGCCCAGTTGGCTGAGATGCCTGCCTTGTTAACAGAAACAGCGTCAGGACAAGCCAGCTTCCTATAAATAGACAAAGCTGGGGTGAAATAAATACGGGTGGGAGCTGTTTGCCTCTGACACAGAGGAGTTGGTCATTGATGATGGAGATAAAATTTGAGGAAAGAGCTTGGGAAATGTTAGCATGGGGTCACCTTGGCTAGCTGGGGAGCCCCCTAAAGGACTGGGCATTGGTGGGACATGAATGGGGCCAACACACAGCTGTTGTTCAGAGGAGGGACTGAGAGTCAGAAGGGATGATGACAGTCAGGTGACAAAGATCCAATGCCATGGATTGAGGGTGACCAATGTGCCAGGCGCCATGTGCTTTATAAGCAGAGAACAGCTGCTGAGCCTGCCGTGCGGTTGAGTGTTGGAGTCGCACAGACATGCCTGGCTCTGCTGAGCTGGTTGCTTTCCCTTTCTGATACCAGTTCCATCACTGCTGTGATGGGGATGAGAATCATACCTCCTACATTGTAGAATTGTGAGGATTAAATGAAAAGAGGCAGAGAAAGTGCTTAGCACAGGAGTGGCACACAGCGAGCACTTAAAATATGAGCCATTATTCTCACTCAGTGTAAGGTGCTGTGCTATGTGCTGGGCTTACAGCGGGGAGCAAGCCACACCCAATCCCTGACTTCTTAGTGCTGACAGTGGAGCCTGGAAGACCTGGGGAAGAGACTGATGTGATGGGACATGGAAATCATACCAGCGAGATGCAAGATGTAGGAGGAAAAAAAGACAAGTCCCCACTCCCCAGATATAGTCACTTAGAACCAAGAAAGGTGTGTTTTGGCTCTGAATGTTACCAAAACCAGGATGGCACCCAGTATGTCACTCTGTTTGTTTTATTTAACCCTCAGAACAATTCTGCACTATTCCTACTGATAAATGAAGAAGCCGAGGCTCAGGGAGGTGAAATGACATGCCTAAGGCCACACGGCTTAAGCACAGCAGAGCCAGGATGGCCTGATACCATCCTCTTATCCACTGCACTCTACAGCTTGACTTGGCTGCTGGCTGGATGTGTGATCTTGGGCAAGTCACATCTCCTTTTACCAGCCTCAGTTTCCCACCAATCAAGGTAGAATGTGAGGGTCACATAAAGTCATGGATATGAGAGTACTTTGGATGTCGCAAGATGCTGTCTGTGGCTGAAGAATTATTAGCGCACATGGGACAGAAAGCACCAAAGGGCCCCTTATCTGCGATGACCACTCCATGGCCCTCTTCCCCCATAGGATCTTCTCCAAGTCAGGATGCTGGGTCACCCCAGGCCTTCTTTACACCTGCCCTGCAGGAAGGAGAAGCAGATGGAAGATTTTAAACAGCAGTATGGCTGTTGCAAGGATGTCACTCTGTGACAAAAGTGGTTTTGGCCCGTTTTACAGATAAAGAAAATGAGGCACCGCCAAGCAAGTCAACTGTCCAGAGGACAGTTTGTGGCCACAGGGGAACTCGAGAGCCGATCTCAGTCCCTGGACACCCCGTGCTGCATTAGTGGGGGTGCCACCCCTGATAAGCAAGCCATAGGCCAGCAGCACTGGAAGAGTGGGGGGCCACGGTACTGCTTAGCTCTGGGAGTTGGGTGGAGGAAGATAGGTCCCTCCAAGCCTTCCAGCTCCCTCCCCCCACCTCCCCTTTGTGGGGGTAGAGCTAGCTCTGAAGCGTCAGCCCCTCCCCCCTCATTCAAACCCTGTAGGCCCTTTCACACTTCATTCTCATCAGTTTGTGAGATTTTAATCCTTTCTTATGGGACAGAGGAGGAGTCTGGGGCCAGGGTGGGCTCAAGATGGAGACAGATAGGGGTTGGGGGTTGGGTGATGAAGCAGGACTATAATCTAGCCAAGCTGACATCCTCACTTTTTTTTTTGAGACGGAGTCTTACTCTGTCGCCCAGGCTGGAGTGCAGTGGCGCGATCTCGGCTCACTGCAAGCTCTGCCTCCCGGGTTCAAGCAATTCTCTGCCTCGGCCTCCCGAGTAGCTGGGATTACAGGCGCCTGCGACCACGCCCGGCGAATTTTTTGTATTTTTAGTAGAGATGGGATTTCACCCTCTTTGCCAGGCTGGTCTTGAACTCCTGACCTCGAGATCCGCCCGCTTTGGCCTCCTAAACTGCTGCGATTACAGGCGTAAGCCACCGCGCCCGGCCATCCTCACTTTTTTGAACTGTTGGAACGACTGAGACCCAGAAAGGTGCTAAGTCTTACAGCAACTCAGATGCAAAACCAGCCCCAAGCCGAGGTTTCCTGAGCTCCAAGTCAGACAACCCTGCCCTCCTCCGCTTTGTGCTGTGACCTACAAATGGCAAGTCTTGGCCACAGGCAGGCGGGAGACAAATAAATGCGAGCGAATGATTGAATGCTGGGCGCTGCTCTGGAGGGAGCAGGGGGATGGGGAGCTGATTCCCCTACAGGAGCCCGTAGGCAGGGCTTAGCCCCTCCCAAACCAACCCTTCTTCCCGTGGAATTAGTTCACCTGGAATTCTCCTTTTCCCCAGAGAATTGTGCGCCACCTAGAGGATACCGGGAGCTCAGCGCCCTCGTCTCTTGGGGAAAGTGCGGCACCCCTCTCCACTCCCCCACCCACCGCCCACAACTTCTAAAAAGCCCCTAACCCCTTCTAGCCTCTTCCCTGATGTCAGGAGGGTTCTGGCCAGGATCAGCTGCAGTGAAAATCTAGCAAATGAGGACATCCTTGCAGCAGAAAGGACTTAAAGTAGGATATGCCACATACTTTCCCACCTCAGGATTTTTCAGAGGCCATTTCACATTTCCTTTCCCACCTTCTTGGTTTCCTTACCTGGAAACAATGCAGACAGAAGAAATGACCGTGGTGTTCCTGCCAAAGATGCGTAGCCTGGCCCTAATCATCAAACGAAACCCAATTAAGGCCCATTCTTCAAGCTAGTTGGCCAGTGAGCTCCAAAATGTCAAGATCACAAAATTCAGAGAAAGTTTGAGGACTTGTTTGAAGGAAACCAAAGAATGTGGCAACTAAACACAGCACGTTGTTCTAACCCAGTGAGAATCTTGTAGGGGATCTGAGGATTCGATGGTAGGAATGTGTCGATATTAATTTCCTGATGGTGATGGCTGTATTACGGTTTGTAAGAGATTGTCCTTGTTTATTGAAAATAAACACAAAGATGTTCAGGTGAGTTGGGGCATCATATCCGCAACTTATTCTCAAAGCATTTGGGGGAAAAGCACTTCTATGTACCATGCTTGCAGCTTGTCTATAAATTTGAGATAGTTTCAATGTTTAAAAAATATGTAGCATTAAAAATAAATATAGCCGAGGTCAGCGGTGTACATCTGGAGGTCAAGTGCACCACTACATACCCAAGCGGTCCAAGCTGCTTGGGAGGCTGAGACAAGAAGATAGCTTGAGCCCAGCAGTTCCAGGCCGCAGTGCGCTGTGATTGTACCTGAGAAGAGTGACTGCACTCCAGCCGGAGTGACATAGTGAGACACCATCTCCAATAAATAAATAAAATAAATTTAGTATCAGGGGAAAATGCAGACAATAATACCCCTATCTTCAGATTGGCATGGTGGTGAAATAAAAATGTGTAATCATGATACTTGCAATTTGAGCCCTGATGAAAAGCTTTATTTCCTCCTCATATGCTCTGTCTAGGAAGTTGATATCATCATCCCCATATTTCAGATAGAGAAACTGAGGTTCAAAAGATTGAAGAGACTTGCCCCAGGTGGCTGCATTTGCAGCCTAGGGTCTCAGCACCTCACATTGCTGCCTTTCCTCAACTCAGTGCCTACCCATAGCCTAAACACTACACTCTCCTTTTCTCCTCTCCACCAGTCAAAGTCTTCCCGAGTATCACAACCCAGCTTTAGTGCCAATTTCCCCAAAACATCTTCTCTGATTTCCTCTCTACTGGATATGACTGTCCATTTTCTGACCTCAAGAAATTGCAGTGAGCCGAATAATAAGATAATAAGACTGACCTCAAGAATAAGATCAGTCCTCCTCCTGGTCAGTTACTCATTCATTAAATAAATATTTGTACAGAGCCTTCTATGTGGCAGGCATTGTGCCAGGGGCTGAGCATGCACTGATGTGTGACCCTGGCCCCACCCAGAGACTGAGCGTGTACACACACAGATACACACATCATTACAAATTTGATGTTGGCCACCCAGGCAAGAGTAAGGTGCTGTGACAAGGGGTGGTCAGGGAGGCCAAGCTCAGCTTGAGTGTGAGAAGGGCCACCTGGATGGGGCAGGGAGAAGGGAGCACCTGTGGGAAGGGCTGGGAAGGGCATGAGGTAGGCTTGCTTGAGGAGCTGGAAGAAAACCAGTGTGGCAAGGGGAGAGGGGCTGGGAGCTGGCGTCCCACTGGCAGGCAGGGGTGAGATCCCACTTGACCTCCAAGACCATGTTTAAGGAATCTGAAATTTTTTTTTGAGACGGAGTCTCGCTCTGTTACCCAGGCTGGAGTGCAGTGGCACGATTTCGGCTCACTGCAATTTCTGCCTCATGAGTTCAAGTGATTCTCCTGCCTCAGCCTCCCGTGTAGCTGGGACTACAGGCATTTGTCACCATGCCTGGCTAATTTTTATATTTTCAGTGGAGACAGAGTTTCCCCATGTTGGCCAGGCAGGTCTCGAACTCCTGACCTCAAGTGATCAGCTCACCTCAGCCTCCAAAAGTGCTGGTATTAAACAGGTGTGAGCCACCAAGCCCGGCCTGGAATCAGATTTTGATTCAACTACTAAAGAAGTCACAGAGGGTTGTGAGCAGGAGTGAGCCATGAAATTTACATTTTAAAAAGATCACTCAGGGCTGCTGTGGAGGATCAGAGGGGACAAGAGTGGAAGCAGATGGGTCCTTATCTCTCCCTGTTTTCTGGTCGAGTCCGGGTCTTATCTTGCTTTCTAGAGAGCTCCTTGAGGCCAGGGAGGGCATCTGTCTCGGAGCCCAGGCTGTCCCCTCTGAAGCCTGGCCGGAGGGGCTGGGTATCCTGGCCTATCCCCTATCTCTGGGGACAATCTGGGACCCACTCTGCTCTCAAGGCTCTGTGGCCCCAGCACGGGTGGAATGTTTGACAGAGGAGCGCACGTGTTCTCCAAACAGACCTTGATTCATGTTTCCAGGAGAAACTTGCAAACAGACTTCTGCTGGCCGCATCCATCAGAGGAGAGATGGGCTCTGTAAACAAAGGCCTGCAGGCTGTCTCCATCTTTCAGGCAGGCACCCCTCCCTGCAGGTCACTGGCAGCTCCCAGCTTCACCCCAGCCAATGGGGCCACAATCTGTGCCAAGACCCTCACTAGAGCCTCAAAGACACACTGCCCCTGTTTTACAGATGAGAAAACAGAGGCTCAGAGATGTTAAGTCAGTTGCCCAAGGTCACACAGCACAGCCAGTTCGTCAACCCCAATACTGTAATTACTACGCCATATTCTCCTGCGAACAAAAACAACAGTAACTCACACTTATGAGCACTCATTACGTGCTATGCACTTCATGGAGGTTGACTCGTGTTGTTCTTCCCCTGTTTTTTTCATATGGGGAAACCAATGCACAGAGAGGGAGGTCAAGTGATTGCTCAAAGTCACACTGAGATAAGCGGGGAAAGTGGGACTTGAGCCCCAGCAGGGTGAGCCCAGAGCCCCACGTGCTTCACGCCCTGCCCGACTCTGCCTGCTGCTTCCCTGGCCTTCTGGAGCTAAGGACAGGCTCCTCCCTGTCACCCACTTTTATCTCTGCTTGAGAGGTGAAGAAACTAAGGCCCAAAGAATGGACATGACTGTGCCCCTGCCCCTGGCATCTATGGCAGGGTGGGGCCTGGAGCATGAGGTCTGCGAGTTCTCCTTCTTGGAGGCTAGGATGGGAGCTAAGGGGCCTAGGTTCTAGTCCCTGAAAGGCTGCTGTTTTGCTCTGTGACCTGCAACACAACACAGCTCCTCACTTAGCTTCAGTTTCTCCATTTGCTCAATGGGAATGACAATTGCGGCCCTTACCCACCTTACAGAGCCTGATGTGAAACGAAGTGAGGGAAGGATGGTGGGATGGGATGGTTTTCCTGGCCCGGATTCCTGTCCCATGAATGGAATGTCTAAGCAGCATCATTTTAGGGCTTAAAGCCCCAGGGGTAGGGCTGAGCGGGGCCTCCTCCATTGGGAGACCCCCCACCTTGGGCTCCAGCCCAAATTGCCAGACACAGGCCTGAGAGGCGGACTCCCCTCTAGGCAGGGGTGCCCAGGAGCCAGCCGGCTGGCCATTTGTCCACAGATGGGTGTGCAGATAACAGGCGTCTGGAGATAAGGCAGAGCCTGCTCCCGGCCTAGTGGAGAGCCAGGCTGAGCCACAGTGGGGAGGGAGACTGGGAACTGGGGACAGGGAGGTGTCTGCCAAGATGCCCTGAGGCCTGACGCAGAACTCTCTGCTACCCTGTAGCACAGAGCTGATGGCCTGCTGTCTTCTGGATCTTTCCCCAAAACAAAACAGAATAAAGCAAACAAATAAGCAAAAAATATACTTTTTTTTTGAGGCAGGCTTTCGCTCCGTCAACTGGGCTGGAGCGCAGTGGCACCATCATGGCTCACTGCAGTCTCAACCTTCCTGGCTCAAGCAACCCTCCTGCCGCAACTTCCTGACCAGCTAGGACTACAGGCATGGGTTACCACGCCTGGCTAATTCTTAAATTTTTTGTAGAGACAGGATTTTGCCATGTTGCCCAGGCTGGTCTCAAACTCCTGGGCTCAAGCGATCCTCCTGCCTCAGCCTCCCAAAGTGCTGGGACTACAGGCATGAACCACCACACCGGGCCAAAAAAAACATACCTTTATCAGAAGTGCTGCTTACACTGGAGAGAGCCCTGAGCTAGCACCAAGTGCCACTGACTTACTGGACAGGCTGTGTCAAGTCACTGCCTGACTCTGAGTCTCAGTGTCCTCATCTCTGCAGTGAGCACAGTGATCTGCTGCCACCTCCAGCCAGATACAAAGGAACGCACATAATAAATAACTAATCCCATGTGATGCCATGTGGTAAGTACTATAATCATCCCCACTCTGCAGATGAAGACATGGAGGTATGGAGGGATTAGGCCATACATCTAGTAAGTGGTGATACCAGCATTTAAATTTAGGCAACCTGGCCGGGTGCGGTGGCTCACGCCTGTAATCCCAGCACTTTGGGAGGCTGAGGCAGGAGGATCACCCGAAGTCAGGAGTTCGAGAACAGCTTGGCCAACATGGCGAAACCCCACCTCTACTAAAAATACAAAAATTAGCCAGGCATGGTGGTGGGTACCTGTAATGCCAGCTACATGGGAGGCTGAGGCAGGAGAATAACTTGAACCCAGGAGGCCGTGGTTGCAGTGAGCCAAGATTGCACCACTGCACTCCAGCCTGGGCGACAAGAGCGAAACACCATCTCAATAAATAAATAAATAAATAAATAAATAAATAAATTTAGGCAATATGATTCTAGCAGCAAGCTCCTAAGTGTTTGAAATGTCACTGCCAGTGTTATTAAAGGAATAAAGAGGGCCAGGTGTGGTGGCAGGCGCCTGTAGTCCCAGCTACTCTGGAGGCTGAGGTAGGAGGATCGCTTGAACCTGGGATGCGGAGGTTTCAGGGAGCCGAGATTGTGCCATTGCACTCCAGGCCTGGGTGAGAGAATGAGACTCTGTCTCAAAAATAAAATAAAAAAAATTTAAAAAGGAATAAAGAAAACTGCAGTTGGAGCCTATTTGGGTTTTTAAAATATACACACTTGTGGCTGGGATTGGTGGCTAACGCCTGTAATCCCAGCACTTCGGGAGGCCAAGGTAGGCAGATCACATGAGGTCAGGAGTTCGAGACCAACCTGGCCAACATTGTGAAACCCCTGGCAGGTATCCGTTAGATGACAGTAGTAGCACACTCTCCAACCCCAGCTGTGACAACCAGAAATGTCTCCAGACATTGCCAAATGTTCTCTGAGGGGAACCCCTGCTCTCCCTGAAACCCTGTTTAGAAATCACTAACCTAGAGGCTGTGACTAAGAGGGGTATTCACTTTCTTTTTTTTTTTCTTTTCTTTTTTTTTTCTGTGACAGAGTCTTGCTCTGTCACCCAGGCTAGAGTGCAGTGGCGTAATCTTGGCTCACCGCAACCTCTGCCTCCCAGGTTCAAGCAATTCTCTGCCTCAGCCTCCTGAGTAGCTGGGATTACAGGTGCCCACCGCCACGCCCGGCTAATTGTTGTGTTTTTAGTAGAGACGGGGTTTCACCATCTTGGCCAGGCTGGTCTCGAACTCACAACCTCGTGATCCACCCGCCTGGGCCTTCCAGAGTGCTGGGATTACAGGCATGAGCCACTGCACCCAGCCGAGAGGTGTTCACTTTCTAACCCCTACGCTGAAAATTTTGCCACATGCAAGCACGTTACATTGAAATAAAAGAAAAGAATACATACAAAAAAAAAAAAAGAAAAATTATTGGATGGTGGAAGGATGGGTGGCTGGATAAATGAATATCAGTTGAAGTAGCCAGATGGAAATCAAAGCCAGGGCATTCTGGGAGAATATTTTGAGCCACTTTCTGGGAGAACACTGTGAGCCAATTTCTGCATTTTACAGAAGAGGAAAGGGGGACTCACAGAGGGAGGGGCTTATCTGCACTCCCAGAACCAACTGGTGCAGAGTGAGATGAAGGTCTGGATACATTGGCTCCAGACCAGTGCTCTGAACCCAGGAAGGTGAAAAGGCAAATGAGAGAACAACTTCGCTGACAAAACTCTTGCTTTTGCAGTTGGAGGCTCCAGGGACTTGGCAGAGCTGCCACCCAGCGTGTTGCCTTTAGATGATGCCTGGAATGTTCAGGAGGCAAGGGACTTCACTGGTAACTTGGCCCCATGGAGCCCTCGGTGTAGAGAGGGATGTGCATATACATGGCAGTTTGTGCTGAGGGCCAAGCAACGGGGAAGGGTCTTTTATGGCTCAGTGTGGTGGCAGCATGATGTTGCAGGCTGGGAAGGCTGACAGAGACTAACCCAGATTGGGATAGCCCTGGAGCACCAGGTGGAGGAGAGAGAGGAGACCTAGGGTTGTTGAGAGTAGGATGGCTCAAAGGGAGAGCTGTGGCCATGGTTGTGAGAGGAGGGACTCTTCTAGAGATGACTGTGGTGAGGGTGACAGTTCTCCATTGTGAGTTTGAACACATGGTGAGGGTGAACATTCTCCATTGACAGTTCTCCATTGAACACTTAACTGTGTGCCCAAGATCCCACAATGTGTTCTCAGGGTGGAGGCAGTATTCAAACCTGCGTCCCTCTGGCTGAAGAGCTTGTGCTCCTAAGCATGCTACTCTATCCGTGGAACACCATGCAGCCTTTAAAAAGGACAGAGGAGCAGCACTACTCACAACAGCCAAGAGGCGAACACAACTTGTGTCCATCCGTGGATGAATGGATAAACAAAATGTAGCAAATACACACAATGGAATATTATTGAACCCTAAAAAGAAAGAGAATTCTGACACATGTTACTGTGGACGAGCCTTGAGGACGTTAAGCTAAGTGAAACAAGCCAGTCACAAAAAGACAAATACTGCCTGATTCCAGGTATGCGAGGCACCTGAAGTAGTCAAACTCATAGAGAGAGGAAAGTGGAAGAGTGGGGGGCTGGGAGGAGTGGAGATTTCTTGTTAATGGGTACAGAGTTTCAGTTTTGCAGGATGAAAATAGTTCTGCAGATTGGTTGCACAAGATGAGTTGTACTTAATGCCACTAAATTATACACGTCAAAGTGGTTAACACACTACATTTCATGCTATTTGTATTTAACCACAATTATTTTTAAAAAAGGAAGAGGCAGAACATGGGGTGAAACAGTCAGAGTTCCCGTAGGGAAACAAAACCACTATTATTTCTCAAGTAAGGGCTTTGCTCTAGGAATCACACCCTTCACAACTGGGAAAATGGAAATTCAGAAGGGACTTCGAGGAGAAGAGGAACCCAGTCCATCTGAGGAAGGAGTATGTTCAGTGCCCAGGCAGGACTGGAAGCAGATGCTCCTGGAGGGTCTATGGAAGGAGGTGCCCATAGCTACCTGGAGGAAAGACAACAATAGAGATGGGATCAGAAGTGAGAGTTCCCGGTTACCTTCTGTTCAGAGACAGCCATGAGCAGACCCCCAACAAACTCAGCTTCAGTAACGGAAGCAACTTGGAAATCATGGGACACCACAGGCTTTCATGTTACCCTTGTTTTATTTTTCTTATATATTAAAATATGTTTTTAACTACTCAAATAACAAATGTTCACTCTGTACCATGTAAAATCATTGCACCTACCATGCTTTGGGAAATGCTGACCTCATTAAATGTAGGGTAGGTTTGATGCCCTAAAGAAGGCAGTAAAGGTGTGGCTAATACCTGGCCTTTGGTTTGGGGCAGATTTCCATTAGGATGTCAGCTCTCCCAGCACGTGATAAATGCTATATTAGTGTTAGCTGTTATTACTATATACTATAAAATAAAACCATTACACACTGTAAAATGTAAAACAAAAATGAACTTTTTTTGCATTTAAAATGCATATCTTATATTTATGCTTCATTAGCCTCACAATATCTCTAGAAAGATTTATGAGATATTGATAGCAGTGGCTGCCTCTATGGAAGGAAATGAAGGGCTGGGGGCGGGGTAGGGGAAGGGAGTTTGCTCTACATTTCATGCTTTAAAATTGCTTGACTTTAAGCTTTACAGATGTATAGCTTTTCATTTTTTTAATTTTTTATTTTTTTTTATTTTTTTGAGACAGAGTTTCACTCTTTTTGCCCAGGCTGGAGTGCAATGGCACAATCTCGGCTCACTGCAACCTCTGCCTCCTGGGTTCAAACGATTATCCTGCCTCAGCCTCCTGAGTAGCTGAGATTACAGGCGCTCGCCACCACACACAGCTGATTTTGTATTTTTAGTAGAGAGGGGGTTTCACCATTTGGCCAGGCTGGTCTCGAACTCCTGGCCTCAGGAGATTTGCCTGCCTTGGCCTCCCTTAGTGAGCCACCGTGCCCAGCACAAATGCATAGCTTTTTAAAAAGGTGCTAATTCTAGGTCTGGGGCAGGAAATGTACAAGATGAGCCTGGAACTTCTTATAATTAATAAAGAGCAGGAAGTTCCCAGAGACTCCTAGGGCAATGCTAAACTGAAAAGGTCAAAGGAGTGTTAACAAGAATAAATAAGTGCAATAAATCTACAGTTCATAAAGAAACAAAAATAGATACATATACACCTCCCTCATTGGTCACCATTGGAGGATGCTGGGTTTGGCTGATTGTAAAAATGGACCCCATTTTTCCCTCTTCCCTGAATCTATAGGGAATTCGGCAGCTCCTCCCATCAGGAAGTGAAATCCATTTCCCCACCTTTTGACTCTGGGCTTGGCCTTGTAACTTGCATTAGCCAGTGGTTGCTGGTGAACATGACCCAGTGAAAGGTTGAAATGAGCTTGCAGGGTTGGGCTTGTTCTTGAGTTCCTGCCCTCATCAAGAGAACATATGCCAGGGAAGCCTGCTGGCCCCAAAATAGTAAGACACATGAAGCCAACCTGACCCCAATGGCAACCTGGAGCCACGCCCCACCTACTTCAGCCAAACCCAGCTGCCCCACAGAAATCTTAGAGAGAACCAAATTCTTGTCATTGAATGCCACTGAGTTTGTTGCTCAGCATCATTGTGGCAATAGTTGACTGATACAGGTTATGATAATGGTATTATAGTTTGCTTTAAAAAGAGCTCCTACATTTTAGAAATATACATGAAAATACTTACAAAATGAAAAAAATTAATAATTTTAAAAGAAAAATTGTTCCCCATTGTCAGACCACATGTCAAGCCCTGTATCGTGCCTTGAGTTTACTAAAGTCTCTGTGTCCCTGAGGCACTTGGCACCTCTCCCACAGTGATTCTGATCCTAGGGGTCTGGAATCCTAGAGTGTCAAAGTTGGGAGGGACACTGTGGACTATGGTGTCCCATGTGCCCGTCTGGGGAGTCTGTGGACCATAGAGGTAAAAGGCTTCACCAAGGCTACCCTGAGCTGGGACTCCTGCCCAGGACTGCAGACACCTCTGCTTTCCAGCCCTCCACCCTGCTGAGAGCAGGAGACCTCGCTGGCTCTGGTCATCGCCTCTCCTTCTCAAGCCCCACTCTGCCGTAGACTAGAAAAATCCAGAATTTTCAATGAGCCCCGAGAAATATCTTCCAGTCTTCACCCTCTGGCTTTACAAAAGTCCCATCAAAAAGCCAATCATTGGCCAGGCACGGGAGCTCACGCCTGTAATCCCAACCCTTTAGGGGGCAGAGGCGGGTGGATCACCTGAGGTCAGGAGTTCGAGACCAGCCTGACCAACATGATGAAACCCTGTCTTTATTAAAAATACAAAAAATTAGCCGGGTGTGGTGGCACATGCCTGTAATCCCAGCTACTTAGGAGGCTGAGGCAGGAGAATCACTTGAACCCGGGAGGCAGAGATTGCAGTGAGCCAAGATTGCACCACTGCACTCCAGCCTGGGCGACAGAGTGGGACTCCATCTCAAAACAAAACAAAAAACAAAAAAAAAAAACCACATTAAAAGCCCATTCAGATCTTTGAGAGCCTGCTGTAGTATCTGGATGCTCCCAGTCCCAGAAAAAGGGATGGTGAGAGAAAGCTGGTTCTCAATCACAGGCCCAGCTGTTCCCTCCTGCCACCCCTCTGTTCCCCCAGATACCCCACTGAGCCCAAACCATCACAGCAACACCAGCCCCTCCCACCCTTCCTGGGCTTTTGAGCTGTACAGGCTCACATCCATTGGAATAGCATTCCAATTCCCTGGGGCTGGAGGAGCCAAAGACTCTCCCAGCTTTGAGATCCCAAGGAGCATTCCAAAGTCTCCTAGGGTGTCAGAGGCTATCTTTGCAACCCACCTACCCAAGCTAGAAAGCAGGCTGTCTAGGTTCCCTCAATGCCAGCTACCCTAACTTACCCTTCCTCACTGTCTGCTAGGCAAGGCATTTCCCCAGGGGGACCCAGGGCAGCTTGGCTGGAGCAAGTGCTTCACTTTCTGTGGTTGGGCAGTTTGGAGTTCCTCTCTCCCCTGAGTGCCGCCCCCAACATCTGCACAGCCACCTTGCTCAGCTCCAGGTGTCTGCTCAAAAGTTACCTTATTCTGCACCTTGAAAACTTGATGCTGAGTGAAAGAGGCCAGTCACCAAAGATGACACATTGCATGATTCCACTTCTATGAGATGTCCGGAATAGGCAAATCCATAGCAACAGAAAGTAGGTCAGTGGTTGCCAGGGGCTGGAGCAAAGGGGGAGTGGAGAGTGACTGCTGATGGGTAGAGAGTTTCTTTTGGGGGTGATAAAAATGTTCTGGAATTAGATCGTGGTAATGGTTACACAACCCTGTGAATGTACTAAAAACCATTGAGTTGTAGATTTGAATTGTATGGTATGCAAATTGTATCACAATAAAGATTTTTAAAAAAAAGGAAAATAGAAATGAATTGGTTTTCTTGATGAAGCTCTTGCCAACTGTATTTGAAACTGCAGTCCCTCTCTGCCCTTCACACGCCCCTTCATTGGGCCTTATTCTTCTCTAACCCATCTATCACCACTTGCCATGTTATCTACGGTTTTGTTTATTGTCTTGCTCCTCCACTGTGGTAAGACAAGCAGCAAACTCATCTGTCTTGCTCACCATTGAGTCCACAGGGCCTAGTACAATGCTTGATGTGCAGTAGGTATTCAGTAAACAGGTGTTGAAGTCATTACCCACTCTGATCACTTATCAAACTTCCCCAGCAGTTGTACCCTACCTGGGGGTCCCTGAAAAATTATGCCTTTCAGGCATCTCTGAACCAAAATTTTATAGCACATCTTCCTTCATAATCCGTCTGCCCCCTCCCTCTCATTCCTTGCCACCCACTCCCAGCCGGCCTAGTTGCAGCAAGGAAAGTCTCCTGAGAGACTCTGTGCCTTCCTCCCATTTCTACACCTGCCCACTGCATCTCTCACCTTGATGACTGCAATAGGCGACCTAACCTCTCTCTCTCCTGCCTCTGCCACACCTGGCCTTCTCCTCTTTCCACACAGCAGATAGAATGACCTTTTGGCAAATGCAGCTCCTATTGGCATAGTCCCTTCTTGAAACCCTTCAGTGACTTTCCACTACTCTCAGGGCAAAGGCTAAAAACGTCTCAGCCCAATGTTGAGGCCCTTCGTGTCCTGGCCCCCTCCACTGTCATCTTCACGTGCTCCTCTCATTTACTGAGTTCCAGGCACACTGAACACCTTGTAGGTCTTTGAACTAAAAGAGACCCTCTTGCTTTTGCTATCTGCACACTCTGTTCCCTCTGCTTGGAACACTTGTCCTGCCCCACTCTGCCTTCAGGCTCAGTTTAAGTGTCGCTTTCTCCAGGAAACTTTCCCTGACTCCCAGTGGACTCAGTTATGCCCTGGGGGCCCTGTGCATCCGTGTTTGTCTTTTTGTACTGTATTTGTCTGTTTACTTGTCTGTCCCCCCAGTAGGCTAAATGCTCTGTCGAATAGGGGTTTTGTTCAGCACAGGGCCCAGCCAGTTTCTGGTGTATATTAGGTGCTGTCTTAGTCTGTTTTGGGTTGCTATAACACAATACCACAGAATGGCTAATTTACAGAGAAAATACATTTATTTGGCTAGTGCTTATGCAGGCTGGGGAGGCCAAGGGCATGGTGCCGGCATCTGACGAGGACTTTCTTGCTGCATCATCCCATGATGGAAGGGGAAGGGCAAGAGAACATGTGTGCCAGAGAGCAAGAGGGGCCAAATTCAATTTTATAACCTACTCTCAAGATAGATCACAAACACACTCCCATAATAATGACATTAATCCATCCACAAGGGTAAAGCTTCATCACCTAATCACCTCTTATGGGACCCCACTCCTAACATTGTTGCATTAGGGATTAAGTTCGCAACACATGAGCTTTGGGCGTCACATTCAGTTCATAGAATTCAGTCAACAAATAGATGAATGAATGCATGTATCCTTTCTTCCAAGCTGTTGCTCGTGCCATTCTTCCTGCCTGCAGTGCCTCCCTCCTCCTTTCCCTGTTTCCCAATCCTGCCAGCTCTGTCAGGTGCAGTTCAAGTCCTACCTCCTCTGAGAAGCCTTCCCTGATGACTCTAGCAGAAATTCAATTCTCTCCCATCTGCACCCCATGGGCCCTTGGGCCCTTGAGAATTGGGCCCAAGCATGTTCTGTCTCCCCTTTCACACTGCAGCAACTTGAAAGAAGCAATGTGGTTATACCACCTCAGAGGCTCTGGCCACAGGGAGAACACAGGAAGGGGCTGAGGGCAGATACAGCACTTGGGAGATGCATTTGAGGATGCTCAAGCCAAGTGCACGTGTCATCCAAGACTTCATGTGTCTGAGAGTCAGAAGGGATTACAGTCAGAATAGATCTTTAAGGACTATTACTAATGACTATGGAGCACGCACTGTCTGCCAGGCCCTGGCTAAACTCTTTACAACAGCATCTCATGTGATCATTACAATTGTCTTATGTGGAATGTACTATTAGGGCCCTCATTTTACACATGGGGAAAGTGAGGTTCAGAGAGGTATAGTAACCTACCCTGGGTCACACATCGAGCAAATATCAAAGGATATATATATATATGTATAATTTTTATTTATTTTTATTTTTTATTTTTGAGACAGAGTCTCACTCTGTCACCCAGGCTGGAGTGCAGTGGCACAATCTCGTGTCACTGCTACCTCCATCTCCCAGTTCAAGTGATTCTTCTGCCTCAGCTTCCCAAGTAGCTGGGACTACAGGCATGCGTCACCACGCACAGCTAATTTTTGTATTTTCGGTGGAGATGAATTTTACGCACGTCCGTATAAAAGACCACGTGAGCAGGCTTAGTGTGAGCAACAAGGCTGTTTATTCATTTGGGTGCAAGTGGGCTGAGTCCGAGAAAGGAGTCCTAACTCCACCGCCTATCCCAAACCTATAAGAACCAATGATAATCCCACCAGCCTTCACTGACTCCTTTCTCGGACTCAGCCCACTTGCACCCAAGTGAATAAACAGCGTTGTTGCTCACACTAAGCCTGCTCAGGTGGTTTCTTATACGGACACGTGTAACAATGGGATTTCACCATGTTGGTCAGGCTGTTCTCGAACTCCTGGCCTCAAGTAATCTCCCTGCCTTGGCCTCCCAAAGTGCTGGGATTACAGGCACAAGCCACTGCGCTTGACCTCAAAACAGAGATTCTTAATTTCTCTCAATGACTAAGGCATGCCACCTCCACAGCATCACCCACAGATAAACATCCAGCCTCTGCTTGCATCCCACTTTTGTCAGGGATCTCCCTACATGGCAGCTCATTCTTCCATTTATTCATCCAGTTAGGGAATATTTATTCAGCAGCACTATGTGAAGGAACTGTTTGCCACTGGGGATAAGGGACGCACAAGATATCTGCTCTCATGGAACTTACATTCTAGAAAGCAGGAGTAGTCAGAGGCCAATAAGAAGTAAAGATGACAGCGGTAAACCCTAAGCTGAATTACTCAGGCTGATGACGGGATAGCGTTGTTAGGGTGAGTTGGGAAGGCCTCTCGGAAGAGGTGATACGTCCAGCTGAAATGTGAATGACAAGAAAAAGCCAGACTGGAGCTGTGAAAAAGCATTCCAGGCAGAGGGAACTACAAGTGCAAAGGCTACAAGGCGGGAATGCGCATGGCGTGTCGGGGAGCCAAGCAAGCAGAGTTGAGGTGTGAGTCGGGGGAATGGTGTAGAGATGAGTGTGGGGCAGGCAGGAGTCCAGGGCCTGTCAGGTTTCCTTGGCCAGAATGATAGAATCGACTTCTGCAGGTGGAGCTTGAATCTTTACCCCCGAGAGCCCTGGCTTGGTCTTCATGGCCGTCACAGAACAAGCCTTCCCCTCTCTCAAGTGCCAGCCTACCAAGTGCCTGAAGGCAGCTCTCCAAAATGTGTCACTCTCCTAAGTGGGTCCCACAGCCCTGCTTTCTGCTCATCTGCAGAGCAACCATGGCTGGGTTCAGGCTCCGCCCCTGGGACTGGGTGGGCAATGCTGGGGAAGTGGTTCCCCATGCTGCAATCTGTGCTCACGTGGAACTGGTTTCCTTGCGGAAAGAGCGCTTGTCAAGGATTCAGACGACAAGGTTTAAGTCTGTGAGACCTTGGATGGGTATGTCATGTTCTCAGGGCCTCAGTTTCCCCACCTGCAAAATGAAGGAGTTGGAACTTGCTCCCTGAGGGCTTCCCAGGCCTGAGATGTGTGTCCATGCCTCCCTGCTCAGAGGCCTGGCTCCAAGCAGGACTCTGGGAGGCAGGCAGCAGGAGGACTGGGGAGGTCGCTGCTGCCTCCCACACCCTAATGCCTCTGCCTCTGAGACCAGAAGCAGGGTTGCAGGCAGGACTCCAGCTCTGAGGTTAGCAGTGGCTCTGTATCCTGCAGACCCTGTTCCTGGGGAACCTTCTGCCAGGGTCGCCAATTTTCTCCTGCTTTCTTTAGCAGCCTGAAGCTGGAAGGAAGCTAGTGGAAGGTTCTGCCCCTGACCTAATGGGTAACTTCAGGCAGACCCTTCACCTCTCTGGGCCTCTGTGTCTCCAGCTCTCACCTACCTGGTGTCTAGGAAAGGCTGCCTCAGTGGGTCTCAAGGCAGCAGCAGGGTTGCCATGGTGACAGGCTAACCAGGTCCTGCTCCCAGAGGCATCTGCCGGGGTCACAGTGTGCACCAGGTAGGGTGATGGTGCCTCAGCAGGGCCCTTTATCCAGAGAGAGACTGCCACAGTGGCCTGCAGAGGGAGTGTGCTTTACCCACAGGAGCAGGCCCGGGTCGGGTTGCAAGTCTGGTTAATGCCTCTGTGCATTAGGCCTGTCGCCCGTTGACAGGATTTTTTGTTTAATTGGAGGCATAAGAAAACAATAACATCTGTCGGCATGAGGAGAGCTGCAGGAGCACGGCAGGGAGAGCCCTTAGCGAGGCGGAGAGGGGAGTCTGTGGACCGGGCCCTGCCACACTGGCTGGGTATCCCTGGGCAGGTCTCTTTTCTGTGGGCTCCAATCTGAGCTCCAGCTGTTTTCTGTGGGCTCCAGCAATGAGTAGGTTGGACGCACAGCTAGCTGACTCGAAGTGTGGTCCAAAGAGTACGCTCATCAGAATTTCCCAGGGAACTTACTGAATGCAGATTCCCAGGCCCCGTCCAGCTCCTCTGACCCAGAATCTCTGAAGAAAGAGGCTCATGAATCTGCTACCACATCCTGAGTGTGTCTTGGCAGGACCTACATCGAGGAGTGAGAGCTGGCCCTGCCATTCCCAAGCATTCAGCACAGGGTCTGGCTCACAGGAAGTGTTAGCTGTTCCTAGGAGCAGAAAGTCAAAAGAATATGCACCAAAATATTCACAGTGCATATCTTTTCCTTTTTTTTTTCTTTTTTATTTATGAGCACTTGCTAATTTTCTACAGTGAACATGTATAGCAGTGCAATTGACAAAAATAATTGTGGGGAAAAATGAGATGGCTCCACAGTTTTCATGATAGCCTTGGTAGATGTTCATGTAATATGTATTTAAATTGTTGTCTTAATTGTAGGCCGGGTGCGGTGGTTCATGCCTGTAATCCCAACACTTTGAGAGGCCAGGGCGAGCAGATTGCTTGAGCCCAGGAGTTTTAAGACCAGCCATGGTAAAACTCTGTCTCTACAAAAAGCAAATTGAAAAAGTAGTCAGGCATGGTGGCATGTGCCGGTAGTCCCAGCTACTCAGGAGGCTAAAGTGGGAAAATCGCTTGAGCCTGGTAGGCAAGGTTGCAGTGAGTGGAGATCATGCTACTGCACTCCAGCTTGGGTGACAGAGTGAGACTCTGTTTCAAAAAATAATAAAAATAAAAATAAATTGCTGTTTTAATTGTACAACTTCCAGACTACAACAGTATTGCAAGCTTACTAAAACAAGTAAAACAATAAAGCATAAATGTGTGCACATGCCAAGTTCTGATCTCACCCCCCACCCATCCCTACCCCTGAAGTGACCATTGTTAACAGCCCAGTGGGGATCATTCCACACCATTTCTCTTGCTCACACACAAGATTGACATCTTCTTGTATGGTCGGTTTGGCCCTTGTTATTGCTGCTGTTTTTACTGAAATCAAATCAGCTTGTACACTCTTCTGCAACTTGTTTTTCTTTCTTGGCAATATATCATGGACAACCCTAGAGAGAAAACAAACTGTATCTCGTTTCTTTTTTGACTAAATAAATATTTGATTTTCGTGGGCTGGGCATGGTGGCTCATGCCTATAATCCCAACACTCTGGGAGGCTGAGGTCGGTAGATCACCTGAGGTCAGGAGTTCAAGACCAGCCTGGCCAAAATACAAAACTCTACTAAAAATACAAAACTTAGCCGGGCACGGTGGTGCATGCCTGTAGTCCCAGCTACTTGGGAGGCTGAGATGGGAGGATTGCTTCAACCCGGGAGGCAGAGGTTGCAATGAGCCGAGATCGTGCCACTGTACTCCAGCCTGGGTGACAGAGTGAGACTCTGTCTCTAAAAAAAAAGAAAAAACAAAGAATTTTGATTTTCTTTCTTGCCTCTACAAATGGAAAGAAATGAAAATAAAAGCTACTCAGTAACTTCAGCATTCCAGTTTGGAACTTTGAGCTAGATCATTCATATTTATCCCCCTCCAACACACATGCACACGTACACACACACACACCCATGCCCATAGGCGTATACACACATATACACACATGTGCCTTCTTTCCTCTCCTTGCATTGTTGGTGAACATGAAGTCTCACCCCATGAACCCTTACTTCTGGTCAAGAGCAGGGCATAGGTCTCAGTCACCTTAGATCCTCTTGGCAGCACAGGGCTCAACTCACACTATGAACTCAGGCCCTGCTTTCTAAATGAGCATCTAAAAACATGAGCAGTCAAAGGCAGAAGTCCCCCCAGAACCAACCCCATCTAAGGACCTGGAGGTGAATTTTGTGGTGTGGGAGAAGGGTAGCTTTCACTTCCTTTTTTTTGAGATGGAGTCTCACTCAGTTGCCTGGGCTGGAGGGCAGTGGCGCCATGTCGGCTCACTGCAAACTCCACCTCCTGGGTTCAAACAATTTTCCTGCATCAGCCTCCCAAGTGGCTGGGATCACAGGCACATGCCACCACGCCTGGCTAATTTTTGTATTTTTAGTACAGATAGGGTTTTGCCGTATTGGCCAGCCTGGTTGGCTTTCACTTTCACACGGCAACCACGCCAACCAGCACCTCCAACCCAGAGTTGCAAACTGAGACCACATTCAGCTACATATGGGTTTAGTTTGGCCAAATCAGCATTAAAAAATGTGTTTTAAGTTAAAACATTTGAAAACTGGGAGTTTGATGTAATAATCTAGATTCCTGGCTTTTCCTGAAAACTCACAGGATTTGGCAGCTCTGAGTCCACTTTTCCAAATGGCCACAACTGGCTGTGGCTAGTACTGCCTTCCAGCTTGACCTGTTCCAGTCAATTACTGCACCTGCCTGGCCTCTGCAGGCCTGCCCCTAACAATGCGGAAGCAGGCCCTTGTGGGGAATCTCTTGTGGGCCACCTGGAGGAAAGACAGAGAGCACGGGACAGTCCTTGCCATGGGCTTCCCCTGGCTATGTCATTGGCTGAAATATGTTCCAAGCCATCCCTGTGTGACAGGAAGTAACACAACAATAATGAATAACAACTACAATGTATTGAGTACTTACCAGATGCTGGGCACCAAGCTAAGCAATTTACTTTCAAGACCTCCTTTAATCCTTTCAACAATCCTGTTTAGGCACTATTGTCTCCATTGAACTGATTAAGAAACTGAGGCTCAGAGAACTTAGGTAACTTGCCCAGTTGACACCACTAGCAAGTGATGGAGCTTGAGTGCCAACGAAACTCTAAAGCCCAGGTACTTAGCCTTCCAGGCTCACTGCCTCAGGAGCAATGGCGATCTGCTCATGGGCATATTAACCTAACAAAGAGTGGGGAGTAGAGAGCTGTGGGCCACAGCAGCTTGCTCTTCCCACTTGGAGATAGCACATTGGAGTTGTTAAGAGCACAGTTTTGGTATTAGATAGACCTGAGCTCAGAGCCCAACTCCTAGTAATACCATTTACTAGCTGTGCTACCTAAAGCAAGTGACTAAACCTCTCTAAGGCTCAGCTTCCTCTTCTGAGAAATGGAAGGGATAATAACACCTGTTGCTTTTGGAGGGCAATTGGAGCGTTGAGATATTGCATTTAAATCCTATATTTGTACAGTTCTTTGGTGGCAGCCATCAGAAACAGTTTGGCTACAAGGTCAGCAAAAAGGGATATTGTCAGAGAGCAAGATGTGGAATACACAGAGAATCCCAAGAAAAACTGAAAGAACCAGGGATGCTCCAGGAATCAAGATAACAGGAATAAGGAATAATCTTGTTGGGAGCTACCACCAGAACAGTAAGGTTTCAACCTCTTTTTCCTCCTATCTTTGATGCAGTTTCCTGGGAGATGGGCCTCTTTTGGGTCACATTCCCACCTGGGTTATGTCAGTTTCTCTGGAAGCAGAGCCTGAGACAAGGATTCTCATGCAATATTCTGTTGAGAGTGCTGTCAGGGGAAGAGGAGGTAGCAGAGCAGTACTGGGCAAAGGAAGAAGAAGCTGGTCAAGATGTGGTTTTAGGGTGAGTCTAGTCTCTCAGCCTGATGCTGGGGGAGTATGAATTGCACCGGTGAATTTGTCCCACCTAGAGGCAAGGGGGCTGGGTTTACTCCACATTAGTTAGTCATTGACCCCAGGCCACTCCCAGGGGAAGCGGTGTAACCTTTCAGGTAGCCCCAGGTAAATCACCTCAGGCAATTCTCCAAGGAAGGGGGCAGCTGTGAGCCATTAGCATCCAACACTTGCAGCATAAAGGGTGTCTGGGCAGGCCACCAAAGCCATCTGCTACACTACCCATTACTGAGTGTCCCAGCCAGCCACACAAAATGAAGGAGAGGTAATCATCTAAAAAGAAATCAGGGTGCTTTGCAGAAGAGGAAGAGATGGATACAGAGAGCTGGAAAAAAAAGCAAATATTCACTACACATGATTAGCCCTGAGCCTGCCCCGTGTAGAGCAAACATTAAATTAATGGTGGCTATTATTATAAGTGTAACAACATATTAAAATTGAAATGTCCAGCTGAGAGGTCAACATAGAAGAGATGCCACATTCCAGAGTAAAGAACAAGACCATGGTGCAAAATTTACAAAGCTGACAAAGATTGGCTGCTCTCAACCCCTTATGGTATTGTGTGTGGGTTTTAAAGGGTTGGAAGTAGTTGGGGATGAGGGAGAAATATTTGTTTCTGTTTTGTTTTGTTTTGTTTTGTTTTGAGACAGAGTCTCACTCTATCACCCAGGCTGTAGTGCAGTGGCGCCACCTCGGCTCACCACAACCTCTGCCTCCCAGGTTCAAGCGATTCTTCTGCGACAGTCTCCTGAGTGGCTGGGATTACAGGCACATGCCACCATGCCTGGCTAATTTTTTTTTTCTTTTGTATTTTTAGTAGAGACAGGGTTTCACCATGTTGGTCAGGCTGGTCTTGAACTCCTGACCTCAGGTGATCTGCCCACCTCGGCCTCCCAGTGCTGGGATTACAAGCATGAGCCACTGTGCCCAGCCAAGGGAGAAATATCTGAAGTAGCAGTTGATGTGTTGTGAGTTACACCTTCTCTCAAAAATGAGCAATGAAGAATATGTCCCCCTTCATCTCAAGAAAGGAGAACAGTGCTTTAAAGTGACCACTCAGAGCTCTGCTATGGTTCAAATGTACGTGTCCATCCAAAATTCGTATGTTGGAACTGAAGCCCCAAGGTGATGGTCTTATGAGGTGGGGCCTTTAGGAGGTGATTAGTATGAGATCAGTGCCTTATAAAAAGTCTGGAGGGAACTAGCTAGTAGCTTTTTGCCCATCTGCCTTCCACCAAGTGAGGACACAGTATTTGTCCCCTCTGGAGGAAGCAGCAACAAGATGCCACCTTAGAAGCAGAGACCAGGCCACCACCAGACATTGAACCTGCTGTTACCTTGATCTTGGACTTCCAGCCTCCAGAACCGTGACAAAGAAATGTCTGTTCTTTATAAATTACCCAGTCTCAGGTATTTTGTTATAGCAGCAGGAATGGCCTAAGACAAGCTCGAGGTGTGTCTCCTGTGTTTTGGTGGACACAACAGGTTGCTATTTGACCCTGCCTGTTCCTTTTAGAGGGCAGCCTTTGTGCTGGTCAACTGCTGTGACAATGGCGCAGAGGTGAAGTGGCTGCACTGGTGCTCACCCCCAGAGCTTACTAGAGCCAGATCTTTGGATTTTTTGTGAACTCATGTGGGACAGCTAGAGAGGGTGCCAGCAGGGGGTTATCTTAGGGTTTGTCCACAAGGGACTCCTGGAGGGGCAAGCAGACAGCCAAAAGGAGCTGGAGGTCTTGCTAGACAGATGCCTAGGGGCTAAGGAAGGAGAAAACCACTAGCCAGCATAGAAATATATTCACCTTGCAAAAGGACTGCAGGCGAGCAGCTTCTCTAACCCGTCTCTCACTCCAGAGCTCCGAAGCTAGAGAATCAGAGATCAAGGCTGTCAGATTCTTCAGGGAAGGATGCATGCAGGGGAAGAAGCCTAGTGTGCCCCTCCCTGACAGGCTTCATAACTTACCTGCAAAAAGTGCAAGCTGGGGAGTCAAGGGCTAGCAGGGAGAAGGCTCAACTTTAAGTCAAGTTGGAAGGTTTGATAATTTGGGCAGAGCGATGAACTGAGACTATAGTTAGTGACTGGCAGTGGTTGTAGGACTTTTTATTACCTAAAGTGACCAGGAAATTGGTGACTCTGTCCACATTTGCATACATGGGCAGGATAACTAGACTCATAGGAAGTGCAAAAAGAGAAAAAAGGAGGCAAAATTCAAGTTTCTTTCACACTGTAGCCTATATGTTCTTTGTGTTCAAATAATGGCTATTTGAGGAAAGACATTTGGAACCACATTTTAAATATATGACCTTGGCAGATTGGGGCCTAAGTGAGTGCTAGGTCTGAAGGTCTCTTAGGAAAACTAGGCCCGGCCATTTGGGATTTGGTGAGCCTGAGCCCAAGGTCACACTGAGTTATGAGACTTAGACTCCAGCTTGGGCCCAACAGTCCTAAATCTGCATAATGCCACCTCCAAAGGGTTTGTGCATTTGACACATGTCACACTCCCCAGGTGAGAGAAGGGGAGGTGTCTGCATAGGAAAATGATGTATTCAAGGTCTCCAGGTTGGATCGAAGGGGTTTTTTGGCTCCCTGGGCTCCTGAACCTGGATTCTCTCATTCTGGCTGTGACATGATGGCTCCCAGTGTGGTTGCTCTGATGTAATAGGCTGTGAGGGAGGCCTGTGGGTTTCTCACAGCTGGGGCAGGGTGCTGGGGATGACACACTAGGCTTCCCAAGGATAGTCACAAAGTGTGTATAAATGAAGTGAGAATCTCATTCTGGAACCAGTGAACTATCCAGAGCTGGAAGTTTCCTTAGAGTTGTCTAGTCTCTTCACCACATTTTACAGACAGGGAAACTGTGGTGCACGTAGGGCCTGGCACACACAGGGACTCAGTCTAGGCTCAGGCATGAGTAGATTTTAGCCCTGGCCCTTCCTCTGGAAGTGCATTTAGGAGATGCCTTTGGGGCAGAGGGAAATGTTCCCATCAAGGAACCAAGGAAGGACAGTTTAGGAGGGCACAGGGCAGGGTTAAGGATAGGCATTGTTCTCTTTGGCTTTCACAGTAGGGTGTGTGCAGGGCAGATAAGGCCCTCAGGAAGGTGTCTGAGGAGCTGTGATGAAGAAGGTTGGCTCCCATGCTGAGGAGTCCCACGTTACTCTGCAGGCAAAGGAAAGTCCTCAGAAGGGGCAGGGTGACAGAGAGATGTAATAATAACAGCAAGTGTTTGATGAGTGTTTATACTATGCTAGGCACTGTTTTAAGCCCTTTGTTTTATTTTTTTTTATTTTTAGTTTTAGAGAGATGGTCTTGCTTTGTCACCAGGCTGGGATTGCAGTGTTCTGATCATGGCTCACTGCAACCTTGACCTCCTGAGCTCAAGCAATCCTCGCACCTCAGCCTCCCTAGTAGCTGGGACTATAGACGTGCACCACTATGTCTGGCTAATTTTTAAATTTTTTGTAGACTCAGGGTCTTGCTATGTTGCCCAGGCTGGTCTCAAAACTCCTGATCTTGAGCTATCCTTCCACCTTGGCCTCCCAAAGTGCTGGGATTACAGGCGTGAGCCACTGTGCCCGGCCCTATAAACACTTTAATGTGTATTATTTCAATTAATCTTCACTCAAGCCCGTGAAGTGGGTTCTGATCTAAAACACCCATTTAACAGATGACTGAGGCAGAGAGAGAGGTTAAATCATTTGCCTAAAGTTGCCCGTTGGTTGGAGTCAGGATTCCAGTCCCCAAAGTCTGCCTCAAGAGCCCACCACACTAAAGCTCTGCCCCACCACCTGTGAATGTTGTAGGAAGAGCACCCTGGTGGTCAAAGGTGCACCATCACAGATGGAGATCTGGGGCAGGAAGAATGGCTAGGAGCCTGTGGAGACTCCTCCGATAACCAAGGCAGAACTCTGAGGGCCACAGAGTTTGCCAGGATTTTCTGGATCGGAAAAAATGACACAATCAAAGAATCCGCTCATTTAGCGCCTCATGTTTATAGGTGAGGACATCGACGCTCAGAAAAGCAAGACGAATTGTGCCCAGGGACAAGCTGCTTGTCCAGGCTTGAATCCTGATGACAGGACTCCAGGGATGGGAATTGATTTTAAAATATTAATATGTTAGGCTGGGGGTGGTGGTTCACTCCTGTAATTCTAGCACTTTGGGAAGCCAAGGTGGGTGGATCACTTGAGCTCGGGAGTTTGAGACCAGCTAGGGCAACATGATGAAACCTTACCTCTACTAAAAATACAAAAAAATTAGTTAGGTATGGTGGTGCATGCCTGTAGCCCCAGCTATTCAGGAGGCTGAGGTGGGAGGATCACCTGAGCCTGGAAGGTGGAGGTTGCAGTGAGCTGAGATCGCACCACCGCACTCCAGCCTGGGTGACAGAGTGAAACCCAGTATCAAAAATATATATATATATATATGTTAACAATACTTTCTGGGGACAATGTGATTTTTTTTTTTTTAAAAAAAAAAGCCTTTAAGCCAGTGCAGTGTTGTGTATCTACAATGCTAGCTACTTGTGGGGGCTGAGGCAGGAGGATTGCTTGAGCCCAAGAGTTCAAGTCTGGCCTGGGCAACATAACAAGACCCTCTCTCTTTGAAAAAAAAAATAAAAAAGTGTTTAAAATGAACATATCTTTTGGTACTATTAGGAATTTGCCCTAAAGAATATATATGCAAAGACATGTAATATGATGTTATTAATAATAATTTAATAAAAATTCCCAGCAATAAGGGGATTAGTCAAGGGAATTATGATGTATCTACTTGAAAAATACTATACAAACTTTAGAAAAGGAGATTATGTTATAGGTTAGGAGGTCTTAACCTGTGATACAGCAATGGGTTTCAGGAGACAGAACCTCCTAAAATTGTGAAAGGTGGATTTGTACGGAAGTGGATCTATAGCTGACTTAAGATTTTCAAAGGGATATGTGACCAAAATAGGCTAAAAACTACTATTAGAGAAGAATATTGAAAAAACCTTATATTTAAAAACGTACATGAAAGAGCATCAACCATTACCAATTCATGGTCAATCTTGTTTATCTCTACTCCCACCCAATTCCTCCTCCTGTATTATTTTGAAGGGAATCCCAGATATCATTTTACTTAGAAACAGCTCAGGATATATCTCTAAAGAGGCTCTTTTTTTTTTTTGTCATTGAGAACTATTTTAATGCGGCTATGAAAAGGGAAAAAAGTGTCCAGCTCTTAATTTCTTAGATATTGAAGAGGACGTTGTCATTTTGTTTATCAAACATAAGGAAAATTGTTCACCATTTTGAAGCTCACCCTAGACTATGAAAATTATATTCACTGCAGAGCAATTACTTCTGTCATTACCTGAAGTTATCAGTATGTATCTTCCTTGTCATAGGATGCATCTCTCAAAAAGCCTCCACTCCTTTTCCTCACATCTGTAATCATCATGAACCTTTTAGTTCACTTCTAGATCCATATTTTGTGTTTTCTAAAGCTTCTGACATTATCTTACTTTCTGACCCTCTTATCCATATTTTTAAAAACAGGAACATTGTTGAGATGCACCCTTTTTGGTTAATAGATACATTCCTAAAGAGCTTTTAATTGCTTACGCTTATCTTTTAGGAATAACCATCACTTTAACTTTTCCTTAGATAATATATTTTGAATTGTTAGAATAATTTTGTTGCATTTCTCTGAGATCTAGTCTGTTTCTCCTCATTATTTAAAAATGCTAAAACTTATATCTCACGTTTTCTCTAACACTGACTTAATACCTAACAGGGTAGAAGCAACATTCATTCTTCTGATTATATATATGAATTCAAGTATTAGCTTTCTTGTAATAACAACCTTTTATTACTATTCTAGAGACTGCAATACCGACAGTGTAGGCCAACCACCAGCTTGATATCAAAGTATAACATTATAAAGTTAGTAGGGTAAAACATCTGTAGGGAAAACCCAGTGAAGAACCAGAGTATTTGGTTCTCATGTCTGTTTAATGAAGGGACTAGATTTTGTAATCTATCCTTTTAGAAATTATATAACTGACTAATATGGTTTAATTAACATTAGTAACATCTCATGACCACTGACTGCTGAAAGTTCTGAAAAGGGTTTTGTTTTGTTAAAATGCACATTTGAGGGAGATTCACTCCCCTGACTTATGAGTAAAACAAAGACTTCACTGGGTGACCTAAATGAGACTTAGTGGAGAAAAGTTGCCATGTTTGGACAGAGATAAATGATATTCATGTTGTATGGTTTTAATATACTAGTACATTCTAGAATGTAAAAGGATTAATTTAAACTCTACAATTTACATCAATATTTTGAATATGTAAATTTTTTATGGGAGACTGTATTACATTTTGCTGAAATTAGAACAAAGTAAAGAGAAAGGGCAAGAAAGCAACATTGCTGATCTCTCTAGTATGAAAGATTTGGAGGGAGTGTGGCAATATATATATAAATGAAAAAATGTAATTGTGTTCATCATATTTAAAAATAGAATATGTGACTGGGCACGGTGGCTCACGCCTGTAATCCCAGCTCTTTGGGAGGCCAAGGCGGGTGGATCGCCTGAGGTCAGGAGTTCGAGACCAGCCTGACCAACATGGAGACACCCCCTCTTTACTAAAAATACAAAATTAGCCAGGCGTGTTGGCACATGCCTGTAATCCCAGCTATGCGGGAGGTTGAGGCAGGAGAATAGCTTGAACCTGGGAGGCGGAGGCTGTGATAAGCTGAGATAGTGCCACTGCACTCCAGCCTGGGCTCCGTCTCAAAAAAAAGAATATACTAAAGAACTGTGATATAAAAGTACTCTGTTAATGTAAAAAATAAAGCAAGTGTAATTCTTTTAGAATATAAAATTTGAGCATTACCTGCTGAGCAGTTCCCAAATTAAGTACAAGGAATGTATATTCATTTTCTGCCATATACTGTATGTAACAGGGAATACCTTGCTAAAATGATAAATACTTAGGATATAGTGGTAATGGCTTTCACATTTTTATAACATAACTCACTACACGCCATTCTTGTAGCTGCCCACTCTTAGAAACTTTGTTGCCTAATATTGAGGAAGCGGCTTTAATTTCTTCCATTTGGCAGTGTATGTCTATAGTGGAGCATGAAATTGGCTATGCATTGCTATTGCCTGCTGAAGTTTCTCTTCCTTGGCTCTTCTACAGTGGCAAATTGTTCTCTTTTCCATGAAGCTACTGAGAAAATCATTTATTTCCATTTTTCCCTCCACAAAGTCTTCCACAATATTATCAGGTTCTTCCCCAGCTTCATGTGCAGCTACTTTCAATGTTGCCTGTAGGGCACTTGCACTACAGCTCTCACTAAGTTCACACTGCCTTTGCATCTTCTTTTTGAAAGCAGACTTCATTTGTTTAAGTAATTCATACTTATCTAAAACGGTTTGCCTTTTGGCTCCCAAGCTGGGCTCCAAAAGGATATTTTTTTCTTGCTAGTTCCTCAATACTTTTTACTAAGTCATCTTTGTCAGTAATAATTTGTTTTAGTTGAGACAAAGTCAGAAACTGTTCTAGTAATACCTCCTCTTGTTCATTCATATCTGTGAGTCGTGACACGCTTAGTTCTGAGAGTTCTGGAAATGCATCAGAGACATCTGGCATCTTGTAACCAAAACCATTTTGGCTTGTCAATATTGAAGCATCTGTTGTGGAAATGGGTAATGGCAGATTTGAAAGGACACCAAATGAAGGAGCGACGGGCTTGGCTGTGGTATGACTTGTTGTTGAAGAAGAAACAGTATTAGCAACAGATAAAGAAGTGATAACTCCTCTTTGTTTCTTCTGGGGGATATGGAGGAAGAAATGGAAAACATTGAGAAGCATAAAGCGGCATCCCACTTGGGTTACTGTATAGGTAAGGAAATGCTGTTGCAGTAGGAGCTAAAACTGGAGGATTCTTCCAAAACTCATCCAACAGACTCTGAATAATTTTTCCAAGATCTGGGTGCATTGTAAAATTGTTTGCTAATGGAGAAGTAACATACACTCCTTGTTTATCCATTAAGTGATGTCGTATTGGTGGAAAAACACTGATCACTGGTTTTTCCTGAGGAAATTGTGGAGGAAGCAATATATGTTAATTGTCAGGTTGTTTATGGTGAATGGCAATCTGTATTCCACATCTTTCTGTATTTTAGCTATACTGGAGTGTGAGTTCCGGAGGGACTCGATCAGGCGTTGCTTCTGCTGCTGGAGGCTGGTAAGGCCACCGGGAACCCGGCTGCGGAGGAGGAGGCGCTCTTTGTCAGGTCCTCGGGCGGAGGCTCTGGAAGGCTCTGGCCTGCTTCTCCCAGCGGCTCGGCCCAGCGGTTCTCCTGCGACAGAGGACCGGGCTGGGACGTCCGTGGCCCAAGCGCTGGGGACCGCGTCTTCTCTAAGCCAGCCCTGCCTGTGCTTCCCGGGTTCTGGCGGACATGTTATGAATGGCGGGCAGCTGGAGAGGGGAACTTGCTGCCCAGAACAGGCAGTCCCACCTTCACCGCCCAGACGCCCAAGCCGGCCAGTTAGGCAGCCTGATCGCCCAGCGCTCCACCACCTGTGACGCCGTCTCTAAAAGGACTCTTTTAAAAAAGCATAGGTACAATGTCATTATCACACCTTTAGAAAACCTAACAATAATCAATAATTATCAAATAGCCACGTAATATGAAGTAAATAATATTCATTGACACCCCCACCCCTGAAAAAAAAAAGCCGGCCACCCATTGCTAAGTGAGAAAAGGAAAACAGAATAGACTCTGACCCCATTTTGGCAACATACACATCCTAATGGTAACAGTTATTTGGGGTTAGAAAGATTATGGATGGTTTCTTCTTTCTCAGGTTCTCGCATTACTTTTTTTTTTTTTTTTTTTTTAATTTTTTTGAGATAGAATCTCACTCTGTTACCCAGGCTGGAGTGCAGTGGTGCGGTCCCAGCTCACTGCAGACTCAAGCTCCTGGGCTCAAGCAATCCTTTCACCTCAGCCTCCCAAGTACCTGGGACTACAAGGGCACACCACCACATCCAGCTTTTTTTTTTTTTTAATTATTATTATTATTTGTAAAGATGAGGCCTCCCTATGTTGCCCAGGCTGGTCTCTAACTCCTGGGCCCAAGCCATTCTCCTGCCTCGGCCTCACAAAGTGCTAGGATTACAGACATGAGCCACCAGGCCCAGCCCATATTACTTTTTGAATTAAAAAAATAATACAAAGGGAAGAATAAGATGGTAGACTTCTTTTTCAAAGTCAAAATCCTCTGATTTAGGATCTAAGTATTAAGGGTTTATCCTGTCCCATCTTGAAATGAAGAAGACACAACCACCCAGAGAAGTTAAGGGTTTTGGCCACAATCACAGAGTAGGGGGAGGCTGTGAAGGAGAGAGGGGTATCCTGCTGGCTTCCCAGACTCTTGGAGAAAGCAGAGACAGAGGTCCTGGGACACCTCTCAAGCTCTGGTCCCTGTTGTCCCACTACCTTCACCCTCTTACCTTCCCATCTTTATCAAGCCTCACACGTTTGGGGCACTTTGTTGCTGGAGTTGACAGACCAAACGAAACAGAGGGGGGAGGCAGATAACCAGAGCCCTTTCTTGCCACACCTAGTCCTGTTGGCTTGTCAGGTCTGGAGGAGAAGGCATCTTGTTTCCCCAACACATTCCAGAGTCATGTCCCCCTGGCTGCCTGGCCTCCAGGCCAGGTCCCCCCAGCCCCCAAGACTTTCATGGTTGAGACAAAAAAGGAATGAAAGACTTGACATTGTTACACTCCTCTCTCCAAAGTCCCAGTTTTGCTGTGTGCCCTTGGGCAAATCCCTCTCCTCTCTGGGACTGTGTTTCTGCACCTGGACAGGGAAGTGGCTGGGATGGATAATTTCTGAGACATTCACCCTCCTTCCCCACCCAATTCTGATTTCATTCAGAGTTTCTAAATCTATCAGATATAGGAAGGAGATCCACCACACTTCTAAATGTCAGCTCAGAATCTCATGGCTTGGCCGGGCGTGGTGGCTAACGCCTGTAATCCCAGCACTTTGGGAGGCCGAGGTGGGCAGATCACGAGGTCATGAGATCGAGACCATCCTGGCTAACACAGTGAAACCCTGTCTCTACTGAAAATACAAATAATTAGCTGGGCGTGGTGGCGGGTACCTGTAGTCCCAGCTACTCGGGAGGCTGAGGCAGGAGAATGGTGTGAACCCAGGAGGCAGAGCTTGCAGTGAGCCAAGATCGTGCCACTGCACTCCAGCCTGGGCGACAGAGCGAGACTCCGTCTCAAAAAAAAAAAAAAAAAAAAGAATCTCATGGCTCATGCCTATAATCCCAGCACTTTGGGAGGCCGAGGTGGTCAGATCATCATCTGAGGTCAGGAGTTCGAGACCAGCCTGGCTAACACGGTGACAACCCGTCTCTACTGAAAAAACAAAAATAGCCAAGTGTGGTGGCAGGCGCCTGTAATCCCAGCTACTCAGAAGGCTGAAGCAGGAGAATCGCTTGAACCTGGGAGGTGGGGGTTGCAGTGAGCCGAGATTGGGCCATTGCACTTCAGCCTGGGCAACAGAGAGAGACTTTGCCTCAAAAAACAAAAACAAAAACAAAAACAAAAAACAAACAAAAAATAAACTACCCATGGCTGCCTTTGGCCATGGTGTGAAGGCCAGTCACAACTTTTCTGACGAAGGGGACAGGAGGTAGACATTTTACTTCAAGAGCCAGTACACTCACCACCCCCACACACACTTGAAATAAAAGTTTCATGCAATAACACACCCTTTCTTCATAAGATGCACTCTGATAATTTTTATTTATTTTTTTAGTTTCTGATTGCAATTCATTAAGATGTTTTCACAATCCACAAAACAGCCATCACTTGCACTTTGAAGAACACTGATTTATACAGCTATGCCCCAATTTCTTAGCAAGGTAGTACCAGCCAAGACAAATACAAGTAAATATATATATATTATATATGTGTGTGTGTGTGTGCATGTGTATGTGTAAATTATTTTTCCCAAACAGATTTCATATTAACTGTCTTGGCTTCTCAAACTTGAATGTGCATATGAGTCCCTTGGGATGTTTTTAAAAATGCAGATTCTGATTCATTAGGTGTGAGATGGGGCCAAGATTCTGCATCTTTGACTAGTCCCCTAGGTGAAGCATCTCAGATATTCATTTCACTGGTCTAACTGTTCTCACCGATGAAACCATTTTTTCTCGTGTCTTTCCTTCTTTTCTCTCTCCCTCTTTTTCCATCCTTCTGTAACTGTGTTTGGAGACTCAGTGGGTTCAAGTTGCAGCTCTGTCGCCTACCAGCTGGGGAAGCTTGAACAAGTTATTTAAATTCTCTGTGCCTCAGTTACTTTACCTGCAAAATGGGGGTAATAACTGCACTTTCTCCTGAAGTACTTTTGAGAATTGAATGAGATGATCCCTGTAAATTACTTAACGCATTCATTCAACAAACATTTATTGAATATTTATTACCAAATAAATGCTGTTGTTGCCAGCACTTATTTCCTTGTCCTAGGCACTTTTCCTCACTGACTGTCTCCTTTCAAAGGAGTTATATTTTAAGTTGTATATTTAGTTTGAGTATACATTTATTTTTTAATTATAGAAATTATCATCATAAAAAGCAAAATACAATATGGCAATAAGTTTGGAAAATGTAGGAAAGACAAAAATATTATCCATAATCCTGCCACCCTAATATGACAACAATTGCTTTGGGTATCTTCTTTCTTTCCTACGTGTATTTTGACAGAGCTGTAACAGCCCAGCGTGTTGAATTTTGTGTCCTGCTCTTTTACTTATCATTAGATCATATTCATTTTCTCCCAACAAGTTCACTCTAAAAATACACATGGAAATAGGTGCAAAGTATGATTTCTGGAATCCAAGACTGGATGCAAACCTCAAATCATCCCAAAAAACTTGGCTGAGGTCTAACTCTGCACAGTGTTAGCACTGGCAGTAGGCACGTGACTTAGGACCCTACAGATGACTTAGGTTTGCACAAACCCGTAAAACATTGGGTCCCTGGGGCGTAACATGGGTCATATAATGAGGGTGCACAAAGCTGAGAAAAGAAAGCATGGCCTTCCTTATGAAGGAGGCAGCAAGGAACTTAACTAAAGTGGAGAATCTGTTTTGGTTCCATTTTGCTAATTTGGGTGAGACTTTTTTTTTTTTTTTAAATTCCTGAAGCTGATAACTGAAAAAAAAAATTCAGCTGGTCAAAGGTAAATCATGGTAGAATCAGCTTGGCAAACATAATTGTGCTCAATGTGAAATGGTCTACTGGATTGCTTCCTTGCACAGAAAAGGGACATAAAAGAAAAATCTGGTGACATCTGAATAAGGTCTAAAATTTAGTTTAATAATAATGTATTAATGTTAGTGTCTTAGTTACGATAAACATACCTTGTTTGTGTAAGAAGGTGACCTTAGGAGAAACTGAAGGGTGAAGTTTATACAGAAACTCTCTGTGTTATCTTTACAACTCTTCTGTATAGAATTATTGCAAAATAAAAAGTTTATTGGAAATGTATGGATTTGATGTAAATTGTATCTCAATGAAACCATTACCAAAAATGTATTTACAATGATCAAACGGTGAGTATGTGTATTAAACATCTATTATGTCCCATCTCCTCCTAAAAGATTATTCCTTCCACATCTTCCTAAGCACCCACTGAGTGGCAGGGTTGTATTGTATGATTGACACCTGGGTGACCATGTTGCCAGTAGCATCTCCCCAGAATTGTTTGTATCAAGCAAGTTACCATTCATTCATACATTCAACAAACATTTATTGAATGATTTCTTTGTGCAAGTACTGTGCTAGGTGCTGGGTATACATCAGTGAATAGAACAGATTCGGCTCCTCTCTTTATGGGATTTATAACCTTATTGTGACAAGTCAAATTAGATGTAACCTGATGAGCACCTGATGCTACTATTAAAACTGATAAACATGAGCTCATGTAACAGAGAGGTGTTTTTTTGTTTTTTTTTTTTTTTTGAGACAGAGCCTTACTCTGTCACGTGTGATCATAGCTCACTGCAGCCTTGACCTCCTGGGCTCAACCTGTCCTCTTACCTCAGCCTCCCAAAGTGCTGGGATCACAGGCGTGAGCCACTGTGCCAGCTGCAGAAATAATTCTTAGGATACAGTGTTTGTGGTGAAGGAATGAAACAGAGCACATTGTTTGGGTGGTGGGTTCATATTCTTCCTTAATTATTATTGCTATTTATAATAACATTTATGATAAATTATTGTGAATAAATACAATAAATAATAATATAATATAATAAATAATTGTTATTGGCCAGGTGCCGTGGCTTATGCCTGTAATCCCAGCACTTTGGGAGGCTGAGGCAGGGGGATCACCTGAGGTCAGGAGTTAGAGACCAGCCTGGCCAACATGGCAAAACCCTGTCTCTACTAAAAATACAAATATTAGCTGGGCATGGTGGTGCACGCCTGTAATCCCAGCTACTTGGGAGGCTGAGACAGGAGAATTGCTTGAACCCAGGAGGCGGAGGTTGCTGTGAGCCGAGATCACGCCACTGTGCTCCAACCTGGGCGACAGAGCAAGACTCCATCTCTTAAAAAAAAAAAAAGTTATGTATTGTAATTAATTATTGTTGTGATATTGTTGGAGAATTTAAAATATTTTTAGCATTTTACTTACCCCCACTTTACACACACACACACACACACACACACACACACCCCTTTAATTGTAGTGGTTGAAAGCAAGGACTTTAAAGTCAGGGAGACTTGGGTTTGAATCCTGTTTCTCCAATGTCTTACTTGAGGAAACTTGAGCATTAACTCTATATTTGTAAAACGGAGGTAAAAGTGCTACTGTGATGATTAAATGAGAAATGTGTGTAAAGTGTGTCACACATAGGAAGACCTTAACCAGTGATCATTTTTTAGTGCCCTGTGAGGCAGGGTGGGATGGTGGGGAGTGGTCTGCTTCAAGGTTTCAGGAAAGAATTACACATTTGTGAACTGAAAAACCCAACTATTCGGTTTCTGGTTCTGTGCAATTTTGCTGGAGACTGAAAAAACTGACTCAGACTGTTCTGTTTGGTACAAGGTGGGGACTGCCCCACTCAGTTTCAGCCCATGCTGACAGCTGAGCTGCCTCGGGCAAGGACAACCCTAAACTATTATCAGATAGAGCAGGCAGAAAGCTGTCAGATCAAGTGACAAGACATAGAGAAAAAACATATACATGTTTGAATGTCAGGAGTCCAAGTGACAAATATATCTGAGTTTGTGCAATTATATATTTTTTCTTAGAGCAGAGAATGCAAAATAGAGTATTAGGGTTGATGGCGACTTTAGAGGTCATCTAATCTCAGTGTCACTTAACAATTGTTTCTTTCATCAAATACTTTTGTATGCCCTACTACATGCCAGATAGGTGCTGGGTGGTAGAGAGGACAGTGAAGATAGAGCTGCTCCTTCTAAGAATCCCTAGGCTTTGGCAGAGAAAACTAGAAAACTACAGCCCAAAGAATGTAAATAGCTTGTAAAGATCAAGGAAATGTTTATTTCCTTCCTATGTTTCTCTATATTTTCTGATTTTTCCACAATAGACATGTATCATATTTAACTATATATGTATATTAACTTGGATAGAATCCCACAGCTAACAAGGAAAATAATTTTCTTTGGTGAATAGATCACTCTTGAGTACCTACTATATCTATATAAATCACATTCTCAGAGGCATGGTTCCTGCATCAGAATCTGCTATTGAGTTTTCTTGAAAATGCAGATCTCATGCTCACTCCTCACCTACAAGGGTTCCCTGCATTTGAAACATATTCCCCAAAGGGATTGTGACACCCACTAAAGTTGGAGAACTAGCACCTATTAGGCTAATGGCAAAGAAAGCAGCAACGATTTAAAACTGGCCCCAGAAATTTAAATTAATGAACGAAGTTAATGAAAACAAACACATTTATCTTTTATTAGAATAAAGCCAACTCCTACCTTTTTTCTCTCCAGTGCCACAGCTAATTGCATTCATTATGTGTTTTTAACAGGTGCTATAAATCAGAGTGCTCATGAGAGAGGAGAGCACTGAGAGCCTGGGGAGAGTGGTGAGGGGGAGGGAGCATTCTCCATCTCACAAAATGAAATGCAATACAAGTGGCATATTTCCGTGAAGCAAGCAGCCCAGAGCTCTTGTGGCTGAGCACTTCTCCCCTCCTGCTTGATTTCCAGGCCCCTCTCCCAGCCACCCCGCTTGCTGTGGGTTGCATAACAGTCTTTTCCGGGCCCTACAAATCACAGCCCTGTCCTAATTCTTGAGCAGGCGCCCTTTACACTGCCCAGCCCCACAGCCCTCAGCATTTTGTAACCTCTCTTTTTTCCAGGTTATCATCATCTGTCAGATCTGAAGTTAAACAACAAAAAACATGTCAGTTGAATGGCTGGGAGAGACACTTGGCTGTTTATGAGAAATATTCCATTACAATCTGACGCAAAATGTTAGGATGCATCTGCCAGCACCCAGGCTCCATAGATCTCCTCCAGGCTCAGAGAGGGTCTCTTCGGCAAGCAAGCTGATTAGTGTGTGGTTCCAACCAATGTTTATCCTCTCTGGCTCTGTGGCAAACGCCCTTGGAAAAACCTGGATCCATTGATGCTTGGTCGACTGGTACATTCAGATTCACTCAATTAGAACACCCAGTTTGAGACATAATGGGTTTTGGCGAGCTCCATAGACTGATAGGTTTTTATACACATGCACAGAAAGATTTGATTTCCTCTGCGGAATTTATGGCAGGGGAGAAGAGGTAATTACATTAATTTCTGGTCTGGTTTCTGGGGCTTTCCCTTCTGTTCTCTCTTCTCCTGCCACTTTTTTTTTTTAAGTAGACTTTTTTGGGACCTTGCTTGTATGGATGAAAATGAATTTAATAACTGCCAACAGTTGGTTTGAGTTTGAGGCTGGGTTCCACTGTGACTTCTTGTTCTTTGAGCCGTGCTCTGGGTGAGTTTTAGGAAGCTAATGTGGACAATCTTGTATCCTCTGGTGTGTGTGGGTGAGATGTTGGGGGTGTCCATGTGGCTAGGGAGCAATGTTCACACTGGGAAGAGGTGCTCAAACCCAGGCTTTCTGGAAGGGAACTTGCTCTAATAGTTGATAATGAAGTGAAAACCAAAGTGTGCTCCCGTTTCTTCAGTCACCATTCATGAATCGCCACTTTTTTTTTTTCCCTAATTTCTGTTTTTTCTGTCGTTCACTTCTCTTTACACCTCTCCCTTCCAGGGCAAAACTCAGCTGCAGCGTGGAAATAGTAAGGCAGAAAGAGGCTGAAATCCAGAAGGGTGCTGGTAAGATTGACCATGGTAATGAAGAGGATCAGCACAGTTTACCGTGTTTGCAGTGTTCTTACTCCACTCCCGTCTCCTTTCTGATGCCAAGGCTCTTCTATCCATCCTTGACTTTTTAACAAAGGACTTCCCTCATTAAACTGAAGAGACAAAGGAGACTCCTGAGGGATTTAGAAATTCAATGGAAAAAGCAAAAAAAACAAAACAAAAAAACTCTCAGAGCACTTAACTTCTCTCCCAAAGGACCAGAGAGCCTGCCAATTCCCCAGCAATGCCAGAGCTAAGCATTTTCCCAGTGTCAACATTAAATCCCTTTTTTGTTTTTCTCTTTTAAAGTGTGTTTACAATTGACCATTATGGGAAAGATGATGGATGTGGCCTGGCCCCGTTTAAAATAATAAGGCTAATAATGATACAGTTGTTTCGTGCATACGGACTCTTTCTGAAAGCCTGTGAGCAGAAGGAAAGGGTTGAGGAGCCCAGTGTTTTCAACTTAAGTGTAGCCAGCTGCCGATCATCCCCACGACCCATTGCTAGCTATAACACTTATGCTCCGGCAGACTTCGGAACCTCTTGGCTCCTGCATGCTCTTTTGGAGAAAAGAGCACAGAAGTTTTGAATGAATCTCCAGACCCTGTCCCTGAGATAGCAAGGCTTAGATGGACAAGCCTGGAGTGGACAGCTTGCATTGTGCCCCATGGGGACTCTGCCAGAGAAGCGCATGATCCTTAAGACAGAGATATGGCTCAGTCCTGTATTCCAGGAGAAAGTAGACTCAATGTTTGCTCATGAAATGTCCCTGCGTCCAGCTCTGCTGGTCGTGTCCCTGGCGAAGACTCCCCACCTATGTAGCCAGCAGCATCTGTCCTTGGATACACCATCCCGGCTCTAGCTTTTCCCCAGTAATCAGCTGGCTTTCGCTGGCAGGAGGACCCAGGAGATAGGTAAAGTGGGTTGATTCAGTCCTTGCTGTGGAATTCAGATTAGACTGGGAAAGGAAAAAATTCTCCTGACCAGGGATGCAACAGTCAGGCAGTGAGAATGACCTTCGTGACAATGAGCCGAGATAAGCCTCTTGGCATGAAACAGCTCGGCAGGCAATGATCAGTGGTCTAGGGATTGGCTACAAGTGGCCCGACCCGACCCGGGGAGCAACCGAGCACCAGGAAACTAACCAGCATGTGAGGAACAAAAAAAATCTCCCAATATGCCGAAAACAGCCTGGTGCACAGCAAAACTTCGTTAACAGGCGGCCTGGAGCTGAGTGCTGTGAAGCTGACCAGAATGAAATTGCCCTGAAAGCAACGGGACTGGGTAAAAGAAACCGGAGTAAAATCCACCTGCCTGCTAGTGTGCAACTAACCACTGCGAGGGATGGGAGAAGGGAGGGTCTCGGAGGGCCGCAGGGTGGACCGGGAGGAGACAGGACTCCTGGTGTTCTGGAGAACCTGACCGAGCTGCTTCGGGGATGGGGGAGGGAGGTGTCCAGTGCCTTTTGATTTACAATCGCTGCGCCCCAAGCGATCCCATAAATTTGGGGGCCGTTTTCACCAAAACCGTGAGTTACGATTTTTCAAATAAATACATTTTCCAATCAGACCGGGTTCTGTTTAGGTTGAACGCGTCCCGAAGCAGACATCTCTCTGTGCGGAAAATACACAGAGGAGGAAACGGAGCCGGGACGAAGCTCAGACGACATAAAAACTTATGTAAACACATTGTCATTTACGGGCTTCGGAAGAGAAAGAGAATGAGGGGAGGAAGACAGAAAAAGTTGGGGGAAACACATACATGTTTAATTCTCCCTCGAATCCTCAGGTCCTAGCCCAGAGGGAGGTTAGAAAATGTAATATTCTTTTTCCATAAGCTTGATTTATGTTACTCATTGGACAATAGGCAGCAGCAGGTTTACCTTAAATAGATTTTGTATTTTTGAGGCCTGTTACAGGCCTGAGAATGAGCACAAATGACCCCCCCCCCTCGTACACACACACAGCCACACACATATATGCATAGGCACTCTCTCCTAGTTTTTCTTTAAGAAAGAGCGTGGAGGAGATAAACCAAAATGAATTATTTTAGCAGGGGAGGGTCGTCGATTTCTATCTGTGTGCCCTTGGGCAAGTCTCTCCCCATCCTCTGGGCCTGTGTTTTGCCCGTAATCAGGGGCTACCGTTGCGCAGAAAAGCATTGACACATAATTCTGTGCACAATGGCAAGAACCTCCTGGCCAAAATGTAAAGAACGTCACTTCCTGCTTGGACCCTTTCTGGCCTGACCACCCTCGTCTCAGGAAAGAAGGTAATAAGGGGAGACAGAGGCTGCTGTTCACCCCAGGTCCCCTCTGGAGATCTGGGCTTTAGCCGCGCGTCTGCCACTCATCGGCCGTGTGCCCTTAGGAAAGTTCCTTCCCCTCTCTGGGCTAGTTTCCCGTCTGCAAACAGAACCTTGGAGCTCCCAGGAGCAATCTACTCCGTGCCTATCTCTTCCCTGCCCCGACTGTCCCCCATCCCTGGGAGCAGGCTGGGCCAGATTGGAAAGTCCTAGGTCCTCTTCAGACATGGCAGAGAAATGTTTAAGGGATTTGCGCGCTCAAGCTGCGGGGTAAATGGTCCGCGGGCTGATTTATGGCGCGTTACTGCGCGACGCGATTCCCCAAGACAGCGAGAATATTTTACACCGCGCTAATATAAACAGGCGGCCGGCCGGGTCCTTTTTATGGAGTTCCTGTAATTACCCGGGCCCTGACAGGTCCTTGATTTACTGCCCTATTTAGATAAGGGGTCCGGTGCGGGGATTGCCCGTGGCGTCAAGGTCACGGGACTGCGGCGGGAGAAGGTTTTGCGGTAGGCGCCGCGGCCTGGGCTTCCAGAGGCCTGCCAGTCCGGGGGGCGCGGATAGGGGTGAGGGTAGGAGAGGGGCTAGGGCAAGAGCGAGACCCCACCACTGCAGAACGTCCAGGCTTGAGGGACCTTCGCATTGCCCGGGTACAGCTGTCCTACTGTTATGGTTGGGGGAACTGAGTCCCGTAGGTGACAAGACTGCACCCCCCACCAAGTCATTTAGGGAGGGACATGGGGGTGGAGGGTGGAATCTGGAACTGGAATTCGGGTCTCTGGCAACATAATTCCTACACCTGGCGATGTCTCTGTATCTCCAGTCTTATGATGGCTGGGTTGTGTAGGGTCAGTAGGGAATGGGAAGGAACCTAAGGCAGTCAGAAGCAGCTAGGTCAGGTCAGAACAGAGCCCTGCAAGGAGGATTCAGTGTCCTGGTCCTTCTCCCCATCCAGAGCTTTGTAGTCATGTGGCGGCATGTAATTCCATTTCCGCCCCTATGAAATTAATATTCCTAAAAACAGAGCCACCATTTATCCAGGTTTACTGTCACTGTGCTAAGAGCCTCGCCTTGTGCTTACTCTTACGCCAGCCCTCCACAGAGGTTATTATTGTCCTCCAATTTACAGAAGAGAAAACTGAGGTGTAGAAGCTTCACACAGGGAGGAATGATGTGCACAGTTTTAACTCAGATGGGCCCGATTCCATAGCAAGGTGGAATGTGTTTTATGTGCATAAGCCCTCTACTTTGTAAAACAGGGTAAAGAAGAGTTCCTGCCGGGTCTCACCACTACAACTGGGGGAAGAAACGAGAAGCCTGCATTTGAAAATACTAAGAAGGCCAACCCCCCTGAAGGCACTCTTTAGGTGAGCAAGGTTCGTTAAGAGGAGGCTGCAGGGGCAGTGTGGGCTAGGACCCTGGGAGTTCTAGTCCTTGGTCTGTTGAGGTAGGCAAGAGGAAAGCGGAGTCCTTCTGTAGGGATCCCTGAGCTGAGCACTAAGTCCCAGGAGGAACCAGGGCAGGGTCCCTGCAATAGTGAGGAGCTGGGAATTCCAGAATTCCAGACTATCAATCCTATTCCCTTCTTCTGCAACTGGGGAAACTGAGGCTCGGACTGGAAAGGAACAAAGAGGTGCTAGATAGGGAAAGCCAGGACTCTTGCCTGTCACATCTCTTGCCTGCCAGCCTAAAGCAATTTTAGCCAAAATCCTAGGTCTCAGACCTCCTCCTACAATATAGCTTGGGCAGAGATAGAGAACAACCTTACAAGGTCCCCACCATCCCGGGAGTTCTGCTGCTCTCCACGGACTACAGTAAAGCATTTTGGGGTCTCTGAGAAGGCAGTCTAGAGCCTAGTTGTACTGCAGTCTCCCCCGACGTCATCCTGCTGGGGGTTGCCCCAGCCCCAAGCCTCAGGAGATCCCTTAGGGCTGAGTTTCTGGTGGGGGCACCGCTTGAAAAATGACACTGAATACCTTCTCTAGGTTGGGGAACAGTGCTTTCCACATCACTGGCAGCTGGAGACACCCTGCTCTTTAAGACCCATGGGGGGCTGCCAGGTAGTCTCAGGGGCCCTCAAGGGGTGTCATAGGACTGGGACTCCTCACCCAGTACTGATAATGCATTCCCCACCACACTAACCAGGCCAGATATATGGGGGATGTATACAACCTTGAGTGATCTGTGTAACATCATAAAAGCAACTAGGACTCATATGGGCAGGCGCGTGGGCCACACATTTGTATGTGTGTTATGTGTGAGCATGTGAGAACCTCTATTTGTGAGCACCTGTGCATATGTAGTAGATATTGTGACTGTGTACTTGTGCACTGAAGGCTTAGCGGTGACACTGAGAATATACAAAATGTATGATGGGATTTTGGAAGTTTGTGTTGCGAATACAATTGTGGAGAATCTTAGGAAGATACAAGCTGGTTTAAATTGTGGCAATGAGATTATGTGTGAAACCCTGCATTTGTGTAGTATTCAGAATTTATGTGTTTCTACCATATGACTTTGGTCTCTGTGCATGCCTGAATGGAGGATTGGGAGCGGCTCCCAGGTGTAACACATCTGAAGCGTGATGAGTATGTACCCTGTGGGTGACAGAGAGACAATGTGTAAAATCCTAGGAATGCATGAATGCTGTGTGTACCGTGGCTGTGCGTATTACTGTGAGAATACACATACTTTTGGGCGTCTTATGAAGATACGGGCTTTTGTGTACGGCGGCAAGGTTTTGTGAGCCCTTGTGCATGTACCTGTGAATGTATAATCTGAGGGCCTAGTGTGCCGCTCTGAGAGGCACTGTTGCAGATTGTACTTGGATTAGGACAAAGACTGGGCGTGTGTTGAGGATTGTGTGTTGAGGTCCTTCTCTCCACAGCGTAATTACTCTCTACCTGCGCTCTTTCTAGAATGCCTCCAGGCCAGGGAGGCTTGGGACCCCGCAGAGCCGCCGCAGCAGCGGGCCCCCAGCGCTCCCTCCCCGCGTGCCTCCGGCTCCGCGCTCTGCCCTACCCCAGCGCTGCTGGCGCCAGGCGCCGGGGAGAGCGGGGGGTTTCCAGCCCGCCTCGGGCAGGAAACCAGGACCTCCCTGCACCACCCCCCCATGCACCTCCAGGGCCCACAGCCCTGCTGAGCTCCCACAGGTGGAACCAGCAGGCCCAGGCTTTTGTCTCCGTCACTCCTGTATGTAACCCCCCACCCTTCATTCACTCTCTTGTCCAGGAGTGGAATTCCACTCATCCACTCCCTACCGGACCTCGAGAAAATCGCTCTTCTTCTCTGGGCTTCACGTTCCATATCTGTTCAAGGAGAGAATGGGCCTTTCTCCCTCTGTCTTTGGACTAGTAACTATGATAGGCACATAGTAGGCATCAATAAATAATTGTTGAATGAATGGGTGAATGATTTGCCTTCTAAAAAGAGCACTCACATTAACTTCTCCTTTCCCCCTCCCCTCGACTTTGCTTTGAAGAGAGGCACACTCCCTCTACCACACCGAGGGAGGGGGCGTTGAGCTGAGAAAGGTTGAGAGAATGAGGGACCCAGGTAGGTGGACATCGGCCAAGAAAGGAACCACAGCGGGAGGTAAGACCGAGAGTCCCCAGCTTGAAGCGTCACCACTCCGGGATTCCCAGATTCCAACGCGAGCCTGGGGAAAGCCCACAGTGGAGAGAGTCCGGCTGGCAGGGAATGGCCCTACCCCCGGGGTGAAATCTCGGAGGGTCGTGCAGCCGAGTCGCGCCTCTGCGCTGATGCGTGAGAGATGCCGGACGTCGCGTTTGCCTGTGCGAGCCTCGCGGATGCTGTGCAGTCTTGGTCCCCTCTGCGTGTGTCTAACGCCGAATGCTGGTGTCTCGAGGTGTGAGCTTCGGGGCCGGTGTCTTTAAAGAACCAAAGATTCTTAAGGAGTGATGATCTGGGTAGAGCGGCCCGACGTAGCCGCGCTCCCAGGTCTCGGTGCGAGTCCTGCGGACAGACCAGAGGAGACCTGCTGGCCAGATGCCCCGGGCCCAAGGCGGACGCCAGACTGTCTCTGCGCCAGCCGGGCTGGCCTTCGGAATGGATCAGGCACCCGGGAGGCCGGAGTGGATCTCAGACCCTCAAGCCGGGAACAAACCCGTCGATGCCCGTGGGCCTGGAGTCCGCCTCCTCCTTCCCGCCCCACCCCTACCCCTGCCTCCGAAAGGCTTCTTCGCTGGTCAGTAGCTGCGTGCCCGTCTGCCTGAGGCTGGGTCAGAATTGGCGGGCTGGTAACGACCCCGTGCACAAGCGGCTCCCAGTCTCTCCAGAAAGGGCCGATGACTAAGGGGTGGGGGTGGGGGCGGAGGGCTGGAAGGTGTTAGGGAAGAACGTTAGCGGCCTATCCTGTCTTCAGCAGCGCCCTCTCATCTTCTAGCTCTGACGCCGAGCAGAGCAGTTGGAGCTCGGGACTGGGAACTGCTGGAATTCCTATTTAGACTTCTAGACAGTCTAGAAACAAGAACCTTTCTTTCCCTGGGCCTCAGTTTCCTTGTCTGTAAAATCAAAAGGCGGGCTCTAGGTGTAGGCCTTCTTTTCGCTTGGTGATTCTGGATTCCTTTCCTTGGATCCGTGGGGAGGGGGTGGCAGCAACAGTCCAGGGCGTTGGCCGTCCTGTGCCTCAAGTACGTAGTCCCCGTGCCCGCCCCCTCAACACCCCCAGCAGCCCGCCCCCCTAAGCCCGCAGAGCAGGGAGCTGAGTGGGAGGGGCAGAGGCGGGGCCGGTTCCCAGTCCCTGCTGGCGGACTAGAGTGGCGCGGGCTGAGCGTAAAACCTGGGATAGCCACTCCCCCTTTTCCTTATCCCCGCCCCCCTGCCATTGGCTCCCGGGAGAGGTTGACATCAAAGCCGCGGTCTTATATAAGCCAGATCCGCAGGGGAGTCCGCAGAAGGGTTAAACAGGTCTTTGGGCTTCGGCGACCTCGCCCGCGGCAGAAACCGGTAAGAAGACAGTGGGCTGCGCGTCTCATTTTCAGCCTTGCCCGGACTCTCCCAAAGCCGGCGCCCAGTAGTGGCTCCAGAGCCCACAGGTGGCCCCCGGCAGTCTCTGGGGCGCATGGAGCGGCGTTAATAGGGCTGGCGGCGCAGGCCAGTAGCCGCTCCAACATGAACCTCGTGGGCAGCTACGCACACCATCACCACCATCACCACCCGCACCCTGCGCACCCCATGCTCCACGAACCCTTCCTCTTCGGTCCGGCCTCGCGCTGTCATCAGGAAAGGCCCTACTTCCAGAGCTGGCTGCTGAGCCCGGCTGACGCTGCCCCGGACTTCCCTGCGGGCGGGCCGCCGCCCGCGGCCGCTGCAGCCGCCACCGCCTATGGTCCTGACGCCAGGCCTGGGCAGAGCCCCGGGCGGCTGGAGGCGCTTGGCGGCCGTCTTGGCCGGCGGAAAGGCTCAGGACCCAAGAAGGAGCGGAGACGCACTGAGAGCATTAACAGCGCATTCGCGGAGTTGCGCGAGTGCATCCCCAACGTGCCGGCCGACACCAAGCTCTCCAAGATCAAGACTCTGCGCCTAGCCACCAGCTACATCGCCTACCTGATGGACGTGCTGGCCAAGGATGCACAGTCTGGCGATCCCGAGGCCTTCAAGGCTGAACTCAAGAAGGCGGATGGCGGCCGTGAGAGCAAGCGGAAAAGGGAGCTGGTGAGTCCTGGGGCTTGCATGCTCCAGCCAAGGGTGCAGGAGCGGTGAGCAGCCTCAGGCCATGCAGGTAGTCGAAGGAGGCTGTGTTGTCCTGTGTCCGATTTGGAAAGGTTGGGAAGAGTTCTGAGATGGTTGGTCACAGCGTGCGATCCTGTGCATGGAGGGAGGCAGATTCGTCATAGAATTCATTTGTAATACGGGAGAGTGTTTGTAATACTGAGTGAATAATCTGTTTGGAGCCTCGGACCCTCCAAAAATGCACACACCACAGGTTTTGCTTCCAATTTGGAGAAGTCCTGATTCATTCCTGGGCTCTCCTGGAAGCCAGGTTAAGAATATGTGTTAAAGTTCTTTACTTTGAGTTTGAATTTATGTGCCCGGGCTCGGTTCCTGTTTTCAAAGGGCCTTTGCTGGACCGGCTAGTCTACTTCCATCATTGTATAAATAGGGAAACTGAGGGCCCAGAGTGGGTCGGGGCAGGAAAAGCACCTATCTGAGGAGTCCAGGGTGGAGGTGAGGTAAAACAGATCGGGTCTTCTACTCAGTCCAGGGCCAGTTCTGGTTCTCCCCATGGACTGGTTCTGAGGACGACTTCAGTGGCTTTGCATGTAAATAAGAGCCACTTCTTTTAGCTTTGGAGAGCGCAGTCTCGTCTTGGCCTTCTTGATCCTCTCCGGTTAGGGTGACACTTCCTGGCACTCGGTCTGGCTGTCCGGGGCTGGGGGCTTCTGAGCGCTGGGTTTTCAGGCTGGCCAATCAGTTTCTCTAGGTTGGGGGGCTTAAGGCCGTAGCGGAGTGGAGCCAGCTGAAGCGCCCCACCTGGTTTATCCAACCTGCGGGGGCCTGTGGTAAACTGACGAAAGCTCATCCAGGGACGAGGGAAAGATAAATAGGCATCGAGTCTCTAAACGGCTGCCCCGGACTGGGGATGGTGCAGGCCGGCTTCTTTCGAGGTGCGGCGCCTCGAAAGAAGTTGTTATTGGGCGGATCCCGGCCCCCACGCGTCGCCGCCTCCTTCAAGTAGCACCGCTTGGTTCCTGCTGAAAGAGCGGGAAGGAGGACGCTAGGCCAGCTCGACTCCCCGCTCTTTTACCTCCGTATCTGAGGCTCCCAGCTCCGGCTTAGGGGGCCCCAAGCCTGCATCCAAGCCCTGATGTTTAAACCAGGTTGGGAGGCTGGCGGAAGTGTGTGGGGTGCAGCGAGAGCGGGAGAACCGTGGATTTCCACCCCTCCCTTCCAATATCCTGGGATCTCCCTTAGGTGTCCTAAAGCCAAATCAACGCGCGTCAGTTTCACCAGACGCAGAACATTTTCCTTACCAAACCTCCCGAAGCTGCCCAGCCCATCCCGGGTCCCAGGAACTCCGCGCATAAAGGCAAATTTACGAGCCTGTTTGCCTATTTCGCAAACAGAAATCCGTCACTTATTTAAAGACTCCCAGTTACTGCTCCCGACACCTTCCCCTCCTCCTCATCTTACCCCATGCCGGGCGATCGGAGCAGAAAAATTAAAACCTGTCTCTCCCGCCTCTTTTCTTCTGTGTGTCCTTTGGCAGCAGCAGCACGAAGGTTTTCCTCCTGCCCTGGGCCCAGTCGAGAAGAGGATTAAAGGACGCACCGGCTGGCCGCAGCAAGTCTGGGCGCTGGAGTTAAACCAGTGAGCCGAGGCCCGCGCCGAGGACCTGGCCAGGCCAGCCACTCCTGAAGCCCCGGGAGGAGAGGAAGGCAGCGGCGAACGCCAGGCTCTGGGCTCCGGCGACTGGTGCTACGCATCCCGCGGAGCTTCTGCTGAGCGCCGGCAGGTCGTCGGCTGCAACCACACACTTGGATCGCACGTGCAATGTCCTTTGATTTTTTTTAATACATTAAGAGAAAGAGAAATATATATATATCCACCCCCAGCCCAACCGAGGGCGGCCCTTGGCGGCAACATGCAAGAAGGAGGGACTGTCGAACCCAAGGGCTCAAAGACGCACTCTTCCACCCTTTTGGAGCGAATTTAGAACCTCAGCCCTATCTCCATTTCCCTATCTGGCTCTTTCTCTCTTGTCCCTCCATATGATCCGCCCCGACGCCGTCTTCTCTAATTAAAATGCAATAAGGAATCAATTCTTTTCTGCCTGAGAAAGAGAACCAGACGCAGGAAGATGAAAGGCTGCCCTTTGTTCTTCGAATCGTGGTGGTTTTATTTTATTTTTCTTTTTGTCGCTGCACTTCCTGTTTAGTTCCAAGGGAAACACTTTCTCTCTTTCTCTGTCTCTCTCTTTTCTTCCTTCTTTTCCTTCCTTTTTGTTTCTATCTAAATAAAAGCTTTCCCTGTGTTGGAAAGTTTTTATGTATTTAAACTACCTACCATGCCTGTTGTGCTCAGGTGTTTGTTCATCCTGCCATCCCCAACCCTTTTCTACCTCAAGTCTGTGTGACCACTCACAGCCCCCCTCCCTTCGCCAAAGCAGTGTCTATGCTCTTGATTAATAAAACATTTTCTGAAATCATCTGAAGCCTGTGTCATGTCTCAACCGGGGTCCCTCACCGACTCCCATGGCTTCTGCTAGGTGGAAAGCCTCTGTTCCTGCTCCTCTTCTTTTGATAAACACGAAACCAAACTTGAAATCAAGGGAAGCCGGCAGATAAAGAATGTATTTCAAGAACAAGAGCAAAGTTCTCTTTAGACTAGAACGGGAGGTGGGGGTAACTTATGGGAACGGGGAAGAACAAAAACGGAAACGAATTAGTCTCAGAGGGCCTGGGCTCGGGTTTTTGTGCGTTGAGTATTCGTGCTTGTCTGGAGGTTAGTATGCCCACTGGTGTCTGCAAAGAGTGGTTTGGAGTGTTTATTGGGAGGGAAGGGGGCCTAGCACACAGGTGAATCCTATCCCTGGGGCAGGGTAGCTCAGGAGAGGGGGTGTTGGTGGGGAATATGTTCATGTATGTGAAATTCTCAACATATAGATGTACATGTGACAGTGCAGCAACTCATACGGAGCCTGAGGCTGTGCAGGGGCCAACAAGGGTCTGCTTAGTACAGCTCCAAGCACACAGTAAGGACTTGACAAGTCACAGCAGCTATTATTATTTTATACCTGAGTAAAATAAGCTTGTGAGTGCTTATATGTTAAATTGAGGTATTTAGGTTTCTCTTTAGCAACGAAGCACTCGACAGAAGGTTGTGAGAGCATATGGATTTGTGCAAAGGGATGGGGTGTATGTGTGTATGCGTGCTCATTCGGGCACTTGTGCAGGAGAGCCAGTCTTTGTGTTCTCTCATGCGCACCCATGACTAGGTGTGGTGGGTATAAATTCGGTGCATTTGCCAAGGATCTTGGATGCGTATTGGGCTAAACTGGGGCGGGCAAACGCAGTGGTTTATACTTCCAGGAATAATAATGTACGAATACTTTGGTTGCGTGCAACTGTGTGCTAGGCACTGCGCTAAGCACTTCTGTGTCTCCCAACAGCTCCCATGGTTGCCCCACGGAGCGCACGCTCTGCAGCGCCTGAGGGTCTGCGGCGCTCACTGCGAAGGAGGAGGGGAGACCCGTGAGGCTGTCTTGGAACTTTCGCTCTGCGCACCTGGAGCCTGAGCGCTCGGCTTGGGAACAAGAAAGGAGACCTCAGGCAGCTCCGGGGCAGGGCCTCGTGGGGCACCAGGCGTGCCCCAGGCGCCTTGTCCCAGCGTCGGGGTGAATATGGGACCCCATTAGTCTTGGCTGTAAACACCGTAGCAGGGGCCGAGAGGCCACGCGGGCCTTTCCGGACGCGAAGGAGTTAATAAAAGGTGTTTTATGGGCGCTAGGAAACAGTGGGGGAGGTGTGAGCTTCTCTCTCTACTCTCGCCCCCCTACTTTTTTCTTTTTTCCCTCTCGCCACCCGCCGCCAGATCAAACAGGCCCGCGATTTAACTAGGGCAACACTTGGCGGTAATGAGCCTGTCCGACGCACCCCTTCCTCGGCCTCAGTACCCGGCCCGAGGCCCCAGGGCCCTTGGGGAGGAGCAGAGAGAAAAATCAAAGTTTCTTTCTTGTTGTTTTGTTTTTCTTTTCTTTACCTTCTTTCTTTCCGTTTCTTTCTGGGAGTCCGTTTAGAAATTCCGGCGCGCATGGAGAAACAGACTCAGGGAGGGAGGTGATCTAAGCCCCACAGCACGGAGGGAAGCTTATCTAGATTCGAACCCAGGACTCCAACTTCGCTCACACACAAACCTCTGGCTATACACAGGTCCCAGCTCCCAGGACTATTTTTAGCACCGTGAAGTATCCTAGGCACGGGAAGAATGCGCACCCTGGTCTAGCTTTCTTATAGCCGGGGAAAGAAGAGGGGGTGCTGAGGGAGACCCGCCAGCGGCCGCCAAAGCCAAGTCTGGCATAACCAGGCCTCTTCAGAAAACCCAATCCTGCTGGCCCCAAACCCTCTTTGGGAAGAGAGCCTTGGAGCCCTAAACTCGGTCTCAGAAACGTGCAGTCCCTGAACCCGGGAGCCGAGACGGAGCCGGCGCCCATTGAGAGGGTCACTGGATAGTCCCCCACTCTCCCCACGCCTGACTCCAGCGGCCTCCCACGCCCACGCCACATCCCCAGCTCCCACCGCACAGCTGGAAAAGCCGAGCACAGAGAACGGCTCGGAGCTGCCCCAGGTTTCACAAACCATTCTGTGCTGAGGGTCTGCAGACTAGGGGTCCAGCCCTTCTCGCTGCCACCCTGGCTCTCCAGGCTCCCACCCCTCCTTAGCCCTCCCTTCTTTGAAAACATCTTTAGAGTCTAACGTTTAGTTTCTTCTTCTCTGCCCAGGTTTCAACGAGGTTTGTCAGACACCTCAAATCAGCTGTGGCAGAAGCAGGGTCATTATTTATTATTTTTGAATTAAATACATCTTTTTTAAAAAATGGGAAAAATGGAATGGTTACCAACTTAAAAGTAAATTCCAGGAGTTTACTGCAAGGAAATATTGATGTTACAAAACGTTAACTATAGGACTATTCTATTAAAGAGTGAAACACGAGAAAGAACCTGATGTCCTATAATTACAGAACTGGCTCAATAAAGCCATCAGTACAAGTGGGTTACTATTCAGCCATTAGAAAAAATGTGGGAATTGACATGGAAATTGTTCACGATATATTAAGTGAGAAAACCTCCTCCCATATTACACCAAACACTGTCCATTGTGACCCTTTTCATGTAAAAATAAAAAAATATTATTCGTGGAGAAAAATTGGAAGAATATACATCAAAACTTTCACACCTTTACCTCTGACTTGTGGGAATAAGGGTAATTTTGACTTTTCCTCTTGCTTAGCCATATTTTTCTTAAATGTCTTATAATGAATAAGTATTACTTTTGCAATAAAAATTAAGCTGCAATTTCCTCTGTTGCCAGCATACTTTCAATACACCATTTATTTAACATACATTTATTGTGTGCCCACCATGTGCTAGGCACTGTGGGCATAAATATAATGAAAAGATCCTAATAACGATCAATTAACATACAACAGAAAATATTTGTCCTGAAGAGTTTATTATTCCTCGTACACAGCAAATAGTCTTTTTTTCTTACATTTAAAGTCTATTGATGAATGGAATAGTAACAGCTAACATTTATAAAGAAAAGTATTTAAACTCAGCATGCATTATTTCATATAAGCCTCACAGGGTTCCGTGAGGTCAATATTGAGGGAGCTGAGGCGTAGAGAGGTGAAGGATTTTGTCCAAGGTCACATGGATGGCAGATAGGACTTGTATCAAAGTGCAAACATGGCTACCTCCAGAGACCTGTTTCCCCCACATCTCGGAGCACCTCCAGGTGTGTGTGTGTGTGTGTGTGTGTGTGTGTATACATACATATGTGCCCAAATACAGTTTCTCTCAGTCTGATCTTCCTTAGTCCCCAAAGTAAGGTAGAGAAAAAAAGAAGGAAGGAGTTACGTGAAAGGATCTGGGATTCAAATTCCAGCATTCTCCTGGAACCCTCTTCCCCTGTCAGGGCTCTGAGTGGATCCCATCTAGAAAATGAGGAAAAGGGTAGGCTCCAAGGTGGTTTCCTGTTAGTAACATTCTGATTCCAGGAATCTACTTTCTCCTGGTGAGGAATTCAGCACGTTATTCTTTGCAGTAGTCTCTGGTGTTTGCCTGGCACATTTACCTTACCCGGGTACTTCCACTTTTATAAGTGCATTTTCCTCCCCATAATCTGGAAGACAGCCAAGGCAGGAATGATGCTCCCCATGGACAGATGTGGGAAAGGCAAACCCAAGAGAGTTGATGTGACCAGTTCAGGGTCACACAGCCAGTCAAAGGCTGAGCCCGGATTAGAAGGTGCGCCTCAAACCCAGGGTTCTTACGGAAAAGGCACTGGATACCTTCTGTCTATGCAACCATTGGTTAACCTTATAGTCTTGCTAAATCTTCACAAAAGAAACGAAACTAAGAAATCAGCCAATCTCATTTTTAAATGAAGAGTGACTGAAGAGAAAAAATATGCACGTTCTGAAGTGTCTGAAACCAGCCTCCTGATTTAAACCTGATTTGTTAGAAACAAAATTTTTTCAGCTGAGAGAGTTTTTACAGCTGAGCTCTCCCAAACTCATAAAAAACTAGGTTTATATGGGAAATCGTGAAAGACTCTTAACTATAATACACAGCATCTAATGTAAGCAGACGTAGACACTATATAAAGCTCCTACAAATGTTATTAAAACAAACAGAAATGCACATTTATCCCCACAAAATAGACAATGGAAAGCATCGGACTTTAGAGGAGTCCTGAAAGGCTTATGTTCACTGAAATGTGAACACACCCCATAACACTGAGACCTCAAAGGTCTTTACCCACCATCCAAGCATGTCCCTCATTTACAGAAGGAGAAACTGAGGCTCACAAAGGAGAGGGACTTGCCCAGCATCTCAGGGAAGTTGTGCCCTTCTCTTCCCTTTGTTTATTTAATACCTTCTACTTTTAGTGCAGGGAACAGAACAATACAAGGGCCAGGAGTCCCTGCACAAGTTACTGAACATTTCCCAATCTCAGTTTTCTTCACAAGTTACTGAACATTTCTCAACCTCAGTTTTCTTATCTACAAAATGAGAGCAATCATTCCCCCAACATCCTTGGGTCTGTGAGGATGGAAAGAGATAAGGCATGCAAAGCACTTAGCGCGTTGCCCATGGTAGAGCTATTTTTATTATTTTATTTAATCCTCATAACAGTCTTGTGAAGCATTGAGGGTTTCTTTTGGTTTGTTTGCTGGCTTTGGAGACTCAGGGCATACTTCCAACAGATGCAGAAGATTTCAGTGACTTTCTCAAGGACACACACCCAGTGAGCAAATTCCTGCTTCAAAGCCCTTATAGTCCACATCATTAAGGTAACACAGGGGGAAGGCAGCCTGTAGCCGTTGAATTTCTGAAACTGTTTCAGGCAGCACTGTACAGTACAACTATCATGCAAGCTATAAGTGCGAGTCACATAGGTGATTAAACATTTTCTAGTAGCCACAATAAAAATGAGAAGAGAAACAGGTGAAATTATTTTAATAATGTATTTTGTTTAACTTAATATATCCAAAATAGAATTTCAACATGAATCCATCTAAAAATTATTAGTAAGATATTTTACATTCTTTTTTTTTCATACTAAGCCTTCAAAACCAGGGGCTTTTTTTTTTTTTTTTTAAGTTGGAGTTTCATTCTTTTTGCCCAGGCTATAGTGCAGTGGTGCCGTCTCGGCTCACTGAAACCTCCGTCTCTCAGGTTCAAGCGATACTCCTGCCTCAGCCTCCCGAGTAGCTGGGATTACAGGTGCTGACCAATATACCTGGCTAACTTTTTGTATTTTTAGTAGAGATGCGGTTTCAGCTTGTCAGCTGGCTGGTCTCGAGCTCAAATGATCCTCCCACCTTAGCCTCCCAAAGTGCTGGGATTACAGGCGAGAGCCACCGTGCCTGGTCCAGGCACATAACTATTAAGTGGCAGGGCTGGGCTGCAGACCCAGATGCATTTGACTCGAAAACCTGCCCTTTCAGCCACTCAGTTCCGTGACTCCCAGAGACAGTAGGGGGACTATAGCTGGGCAGTAAGATGTGGAGTGCCTTTTGGAGTGTCCCACCTAGTTCCAGTTCCAAGTCTACTATGAGTCAGGTGACCTTGGTCCAGTCATCTCCTTGTGCCCCAGTTTTCTAATCTCTAAGATGGGCTAACAATATCTTTCCTCCCCGCAACAGAACTCCTGTCACGCTGAAGTGGGAAAAGATCTTTGAAAGTGTTTTGAAGGCTGGGTGCGGTGGCTCACGCCTGTAATCTCAAGACTTTGGGAAGCCAAGGTGGGTGGATCACCTGAGGTTAGGAGTTCGAGACAAGCCTGACCAGCATGGTGAAACCCCATCTCTACGAAAAATACAAAAATTAGCAGGGCGTGTTGGCACATGCCTGTAATCTCAGCTACTTGGGAGGCTGAGGCAGGAGAATTGCTTGAACCTGGGAGGTGGAGGTTGTAGTGAGTTGAGATAGCGCCACTGCACTCCAGCCTGGGCAACAGAGTGAGACTTTGTCTCAAAAAAAAAAAAAGTGTTTTGAAACAGAAAACATATTAGCACAAGAGGCCTGGCCAAGGTCAACAGGGAGGTCTAGACTGGCCCCCCAGGCCTGTACTCAAAACTAGGTGAGTTGGTGAAATGAGCTGCATGGCAATGGGCAGGTTTTTTAACCTTTCTGAGACCCACAGCTCACTTCTGTAAAAGGGAAGGCAGAGGCCAGGCGCAGTGGCTCACACCTGTAATCTCAGCACTTTGGGAGACCGAGGCAGGCAGATCACAAGGTCAGGAGTTGGAGAACAGCCTGGTTAACATGGGGAAACCCCGTCTCTACTAAAAAAATACAAAAATTAGCCGGGCATGGGGGCGTGCACCTGTAATCCCAGCTACTCGAGAAGCTGAGGCAGGAGAATTGCTTGAACCTGGGAGGTGGAGGTTGCAGTAAGCTGAAATCGCGTCACTGCACTCCAGCCTGGGTGACAGAGCAAGACTCTGTCTCAAAAAAAATTCTCAAAAAAAGAGAGAAAAAAAAAGGGAAGGCAGAGTAGCGTCTAGAAGCGTTTTGAGGACCTGGGAAGCTCTTAGCCTGGCCTGGAGCAGGCCGGTGGTAAACACGAGCTGTTCTTGCTGCTGTTGTGGTTGAGGTTGAGCTGCTGGGCCTGCTTGGGAAGCGACAGAGTGTGGCAGGAAAGGCGAAGACAGCGTGGCCCTTCAGGGCACCCTGAGACCAGGCTCTTGGCTGAGGGTAGAGCGCAGGCTGTCCGACGGTGAGGCGTGGGAGGTGTGGCTGGAAGTGCAAGAACAGCTAGTGTGGCAGGAAAAGCACTAGCCCCAGAAGGCAAGAGAAGGGGGTTCAGTTTGCTGTGTGACCTTCGGTACTTCCTTGCCCCAGCTGGACTCTGTAAAACAAGGAAGGGGGACCAGATCTAAGTCCCTTTCTGCATGGACTCTCTAGGATTTTTACAACGGTGTGAATCGAAGTATTCACCAAATACAGCATCTCTATGAGGGACAGAAAATACTCCTAGGGCCTTCCCCTGTGGCCTGAGGCTGCCACCGATTGAGGGGAGGGCGCCACCTGGTGGCCATACTCCCTCTTCTGCACTCTCAGCGCAGAGAAACCAGACAGGATCCCAGACTCCTCCTTGCAAGGTGAGCCCGGAGCCCCAGGACTCCCTTTCTTTAACTTCCTCTGGCAATTCAGGGGCGTAGAGAAGGGACTCAGCAAGTTCACAAAACCAGGAGTCCTGGGTGTGAGCCTAACTCCTGAGGGACGCTGGGGTTTTGTAACCCAAGATCTCTGAGGCCTTCTTACCTAAATATGCCTTAGGGACAGGGATCTGTGTTTCCTTACTATGTGAAATCTGAAATGCGCCACACTTTTTTTTCCTGTTCCTTTGAATAGAAGCCACTGAACAAACACAGTCCTCTCCTAGTAACTCAGAATATTTCTGCCACTACTACACAGGGCTAATGGAACACAGAGGGCAGTTTCCCCCTGCACTAAATAACCCAGGTTGCTGGGATCCTGAGTTCTTCCAACAGCTTTTACCACTCTTCCATCTTCCCAGCATGGTCAATATTCCACTTCATTCTGTGGTGTAGGTTGCATGGTGCACAGGGGAGTCAGACTGACATAGGCTCAAATCCCAGTTCACTGTGAGACCCTGGGTGAGTCACCTGACTTCTCCAAGCTGTAGTTTTCCCATCTGAAAACTAGCAATGATAATAGCTTCTTTGCAGGTCTGTGTGAGGATTAGGACCATATACAAAGACCCTAGCACAGTGTCTACTTCCCAGTCGGTGCTTAACAAATAATAGCTATATTTCTGCAGCTGGGCCATCCTGACCATCTTTTCATATCCAGCTTTGGAAATATTCCTTGATAGAAATACGAATAGCATACATTTGAAAACTATATTAGCCACCAGAGATAGAACACCCTTCGCTGAAGATGAAGGAGCCCCCTTGGAACTGTTTAAATTGACTCAGCCAAGTTCAACTTCATCTAGTTTAGATAAACCCCAGTAGGCAGGCTGCGGTCTTGTGAGTAATTGATTCCCTCAGTCCTCATTCTTTGGGCTTCAGTAAGTTTCATTAGATACAGCTTCACCTTCTGGCAGTTGCTAGTGCGCGTGGCTGAGTCTGAGCTCTGCTGAACCTGTCCCAGCCCAGCTGACTGGATGGCTCCCTTTGAAGCCTGGTCCACTCCTGCATCCCCCATCACTTAGGCAGGAGAGGCTCTGGTTGGGCACAGGTAACCTCCCACTGCTCACTTAACAAAGGCCAATCTTGCTAGTGGCTATGAGCCCTCAGGAAGTCTCTTTTAACTGTTTTAGCTTAATTAAGCTCATTACATTTGCTAACCCTCATTGGCTTCTCTAAGACTTCAAGTGCCCGTTATGCACTGCTCCTTCCTCAGAAGTAGGGTTGACGCAGGGCTCCGAGCTTTCATCACAGATTCTATGATTTTAGTAGTTGAAGGACTACTTCCCACTCCTGTCTGAGTCTTAGCTCCTCTGAAATTCCTGGCTCCTGGAGGACAGAGTCCGTTTCCTTTGGCACCTGGCCCACAGCAGATACTCAAATACTTTTGTGACCATATTTCATCAATGGGTTGTTTTTTTTAATAATAGCAGGTTTGATGACTCCAAAGTTCAAGGTACTCATTCCAGCATGAGGCTTTCTGCTCCTCATTCACTGTCACATCAGCCTGGACTTCCCTTCACTCTCATCTCATCAAACCTGTTTCCTTCAAGGGCCTGCTTAGGTGCTTCCTCTTCCGGGAAGCTCCCCTACTTTTCAGAATGCCTTTTCCTTGGTATTTTCCCCTTACTCTGAATCACATAGATAGAGTGTGGCTACACATGAAGTTAGCAAGTAGATGCTTTGATTTACCTATAAATATGGTCATAGCAGGGTTGGGCATGGTAGCTCACGCCTATAATCCCAGCACTTTGGGAGGACAAGGCTGGCAGATTGCTTGAGCTCAGGAGTTCGAGACCAGCCTGGGTAACAACATGGCAAAACCCCATCTCTACAAAAAATACCAAAAAAATCAGCCAGGCATGGTGGTGGTGCACGCCTGTAGTCCCAGCTACTTGGGGGACTGAGGCAGGAGGATCACTTCAGCCTGGGAGGTTGAGGCCACAGTGAGCCAAGATCGCACCACTGTACTCCAATCACCTGGTGACAAAGTGAGACCCTGTCTCAAAGAAAAAAAATTATATATGGTCATAGTTACAGATATGTGTGTATAAATATACATGTATACTATGTATATAAACATATATCTATACAGATACATATTCCATATAGTTGTATATAGATACTCTGTATACATATGTTTACATATATAGTATTTCTAAGCTGATATGCATATCTTTCTATGTCATTAAACATTATTTTACAATTATGACATATGTATAATGCTTTCAAGACCAGTCTCCTAGTATTTGATATATAGGCTGTTTCCAGTTCTTCACTGTTCTAAACAATGCTCTTGCGAAATATTATCTTACTCAAGTATTAGGCAGCATGACATAGTGGACGCTGGAACCTGTGTGACTCATCCCCACCGTTTCCTGGTGACCTTGGGCAAGCCACTTCACCCTTCTAAACGATTTTTTCATCTATAAAATGGGGATAATAATAATACTCATCTCATAGGGTTATCAAGGCATGTACAGTGCTTACTTACCATTGGGACTGTCACATTGTAAGTGCTCAGTGAAAAAACAGTACCAATTCGGGAGGCGGAAGATGAAGATTTTCTCTGTCTTCTCCACTACCAGTGTGACTTTGTATATCACTGTTTCATAGCGTGACAAAAACTCACAGAAGTGATGGATGACAGCGCTGTACAACACTTTAAGTGCTGCTCAAATTTAAGGTTGTATTATTGTTGTTGCTTTTACTTCTCTTACTACTTTCTATATGTTTCGGGAATATGTAAAGTAAACTATGCAAGCAGGTAGTAAGTGCTTTGAAGGCACTTAAAAATGCTTTGCTATTTTACAGTTACGGTGAAAATGATTTGTGTTCATTATAACCAGTTTAGATGATACCAAGAAAGCACAAAGAAGAGAGTCAAATTTACTCCAAAATCACCAACCAGGACTAACCATGGTTGCCATATCAGTTGTGGTCTTTCTTAACTGGCTACCCTTGTGGTGCCCAGGGCAGAACAGGGCAGGCTTCAGCTGTTTAATAAATGTCTGTTGACCTCAACCAGATCGACTGTTAACAGCAGCATGCTCCAGTTCTCTCCCTCTCAGCCAACCTCTGACAGTTTCATTAACCCCATTAAATCATGCAGGTGCCTTTACACCTCCTGGGCTTGTTAATCTCTGTTCAGCTCTGGTAAGTTAAAACCTGGCTAGAAGGTTGGATGTACCTTGTTAACCTCCATTAAACCCTATTAAATTTCTTAACTAGAGTCCTAGTGACTTCTCAAAATCCCTCATTAAAGTTTAGTAAATCCAGTTGATTGGGACAAGGGTAACTGTTGTAGCTGCGCTGCTTCAGAGCTTGGCATTCTGAGTTCTTGGACGGTGGGGTTGACAGCAGTATCCCTAGAGCGAGGCAAGCCTTGGGGATCCATCCTGGGAGTGCCTTTACCTCTTTGGCTCTCATTGTTACTGGGGCAAGTTCCTCAGCTTTTCTGAGACTGTATTTACATCTCTATAAATTGGAGTTAATAATAGTTCCTACTTTGTATGATTGTAGTGAGATTAAATGAATTAATGCACATAAAACTATTAGCCATTGTCTGGCATGGACTCTGTACTTGATAGCTATTATTATTCCTGAATATAGAAGATCTTTGTAGACAAAAAACTGTTGAGTACACAGAAGACTCAGTCCCAGTACTAAATAAATATAGTGTCCTCCTCTGTGTCAGGTCTTGGGCTGGAATGGTGGGTTATTTTCATTCTGGTTTTCTGCAGACTGAAGATCATCCATTTGAATGACAACAGTGTCAGCCACTCTGTTTGCTCAGACTCTGCCACTTCTGAGCTGTTTGATGCTGAACGTAACATAGTTATAATACTTTCTTGACCAGGGCCTTAGGGGATTGGACTCAGTGGTTCCTAAACCTGGATGTGCAGATAAATTTCTGAAAGGATTTTTTTTTTTTTTGAGATAAGAATCTTGCTCTGTCGCCCAGGCTGGAAGTGCAGTGGTGCAATCTTGGCTTACTGCAACCTCCGCCTCCTGGGTTCAAGCGATTCTCCTGTCTTAGCCTCCCTAGTAGCTGGGATTACAGGCATGTGCCACCATGCCCAGCTAAATGTTTTTGTATGGTAGAGGCAAGGTTTCGCCATGTTGGCCAGGCTGGTCTCGAACTCTTGACCTCGAGTGATCCACCCACCTCGGCCTCCCAAATTGCTGCGATTATAGCATCCGAGAGGATTTTATAAAACGCGCCCAGCATCCGAGAGGATTTTATAAAAACATAGTTTCCTGGGCTTCACTTGAGAAAATTCTCATGAAAGAGAGCTCAAGGGGAACTTTTAACTAGTATTTGAACAGGTGATACTGAAGCTGTTCATCTCTGTGCTGGGATTGGGAAACCTCTGGACCAGATTGGTGCTTCTCAACTTTATTGAGCTTAAGTCTTACCTGGAGAAATTTTAAAAATCATTATTACTGGGACTTAGACCCTGAGCTTTTCATTCTGAGGATCTGGAATGGGGGCCCAGGAATTGGCATTGCAACAGAGTGCTTAGGGGATTCTGATGGGGGTAAGGGGTGGCAAGTGCCACACTTTTTTTCTTTTTGAGATGGAGTCTTGCTCTGTCGCCAGGCTGAGTGCAGTGGCACGATCTTGGTTCACTGCAACCTCCGCCGGGTTCAAGCGATTCTCCTGCCTCAGCCTCCTGAGTAGCTGGGACTACAGGTGCGTGTTACCATGCCCAGCTAATTTTTGTATTTTTAGTAGAGACAGGGTTTCACCATGTTGGCCAGGATGGTCTTGATCTCTTGACCTTGTGATCCGCCCGCCTCGGCCTCCCAAAGTGCTGGGATTAAAACACCGGACCTCAGATGATCTGATATTCGATGTCCTAAAGCTCTATTTTGAAAAGAAAATAAAAGGGTGTTGGGTTCCTCGTGAAACTTCTGTTCTAATAGCATATTAACATGTGGGTTCATCTCCATCTTTCCATTAAATTGATATCTGTGGATCATCAAGGGATGTTTACTGCAGCAGGGGGTCAGCCAGTTTTCAAAGTGTGGGGACAAAGCACCCCTTTGCCATTCAGTGTGTGAGGACAGCAGGCAGGCCCCCATGGTTAGACACAGTATAAAAGAATGGGAGAGGCCGAGTGCGGTGGCTCACGCCTGTAATCCTAGCACTTTGGGAGGCCAAGACGGGTGGATCACGAGGTCAGGAGATCGAGACCATCCTGGCTAACACGGTGAAACCCCGTCTCTACTAAAAATACAAAAAATTAGCAGTGGTGGGCGCCTGTAGTCCCAGCTACTCAGGAGGCTGAGGCAGGAGAATGGCATGAACCCGGGAGGCGGAGCTTGCAGTGAGCCGAGACTGCGCCACTGCACTCCAGCCTAGGTGAAAAAGTGAGACTCCGTCTCAAAAAAAAAAAAAAAAAAGAAAAAAAAGAATGGGAGGATGGCAGAGGAGGGGAAGCAACTACTTATGCTAAGAAACACAGTATGAAAACTGGAACTTCCTTTGCTTTCTAAAGCAACTCAGGGACCCTGTAAATGATGGTGTCCTTCAGCAACAATCCATCACTAATTCTGTGAGCTCCTTGGTGAGAGCCAGGACTTCCTGTCCTCTCAAATATCTCATGAAAAGCCACCCTCCACACTCCTTACAGGGGAGTGGAATGGGAGAGGAGAAGGATGTGGGAAGGAAAGGATCTGCACTTTTAAAATTTCTGTAAGGCTTAAAATTTTAGAGCTAAGATGTATTACTTCTATGTAACTAATATGATAAAGACAAATATTTATTGCACTTCTCCCTTTTCATTCTGCTGAGGACAAAGCTGTGGTAAAGTGGCACTAGAGACAGGCTTGAAGTGGGAGACCTGAACTTGAGGCTTGCCTTTCTCTTCTCTAGCACTGTGAGGACAGGCGAGAGGCGTCATCCGGTAGCCTCAGGGACCTCCACCAGGAACGTGCAGTCATACTGCCCTGGCTTCTCAAGCTGTAGTATCCCTAGGGAATTTGCTACTATGCAGATTCTGATTCAGTAGACGGCCAGCAGGAGGGGCTGGGAGATTCTGCATTTCCAACAAGTGCCCAGATGATGGACCAACTTTAAATAGCAAGACTCTACTGTAGGTGAAGAAACTCCAGGTCACACGCTGTTAAAAATGTCTTTGAGACATTTAAACATTGGGATGTTTACATGAAGATCTGAATTTCCAGCTTCTCCAGTCAAATTGCAAGACCCGGTCACACAGGGCTGGTGTGCCCATAAGGCTACAGTAGCGGGGAGCTGAGTAGTGGCTGCCCTTAGAAGGGACCTGAGTTTTCCAGTTTGCAGCTCACCCTCTGCAGATATTTCAATGTGCAATCAATCCTCCATACAGTTTATTTAGATGGAGAACTGAAGACCCAGAGAGAGAACTCTATTTGCCCAGTGCATCCAGTACACTACATGGAAGTTGAGCTCCAGACTCAGGCTGTTGGACCCAGTCAGTCTCTTTCCAGGTGAGTGAATGGGATAGCAGTACTGGAACTTGGGCCTAACCTTCTGGGATCTAAACTCAGTGTGCACTGGGGATGTAGGTGCTAGTATTTGGAGCTGGGAGGAAAGACCACTGTCATTAATCACTGTAATACACTGCCAGGGGCCAAATGTGGAAGTGAAAGCATCTGAATTCTATATAAAAATTCAAAGGGAAGACAGAGGGTCTCTTACTCATTCAGATTATTTATTAAGAGCAAAAGTCGGGCCATCCCATCGTGTGATATTGCAACATGAAAAGTCACATACATACTAAGGAGACCCCACAGAATTGAGAGCCTTTCAACAGTACAGAGCCATAGATTACGAAGTTAAAATACAAATGATCCCCCAGATTTGGCAGGAAACAAGTACAATATGAGGAGGCCTGGAATGGAAGGGCACTTACTTTTCAATAAGGCAGTTACAAAATGGGAAAAAAAACCCCCAAAACCTTGTACCCCAAAATATACTCTGATGAGCGTAGCAGACAATAGAAATGTAAAAGAAGGATCCTGTATAACCCTCTGTCATTGGCAAATGTGTGCATTAAGTGAAAGCAACTGAAGGGTTTGTGTTTTAAGATGCAAGCTAGATGAAACAACTGACTGTAGACATTTCTACCTCAAGAACAGTTCATATCTTGCCCTAGGCTGGGTTCTACCTCAAAACACCAGACCCACTTTACCATTTCTAACCATAAACTTGGAAACAGTCTATAATACAATGAAAGGAATAAAAAGGCACCCCTAGAGCACCATGCTTCCCAAGGCATGATCTTGAGCTCATCTGCCCTTCGGTTCGACTGCCCAGCTCAGTAACAGGGACCAGGAGCCAGGGCCAGCTGAATTACACAACCTCAAAGGATCGCCTGGAAGGCAGATATCTGACCAAGAGATCACAGACCAAGCACATTTCATGAGAATTTAAATGCTAGGACAATACTACCTCTCCCAATAGGGCTTTTGAACCCTGGTTTTAAATAACAGGCTAGATCTGTTTTCCCTTACCACTCATTTTGCAAAACTCAACTGGCCTAAACATTTCGCTCAATCTTGAGTTCTGCAGGTTGGTCCCTGAGAGCTAGGTTGGCCTTGGGAATTTCTGCTCAATTTTAAGTTCTCAAGAATCTGAGGGCAGCCGATTTAGACTGAATTAGAGTCATCCTATAGGTCAGAAAGAAAGAATGCTAGACAGGTCAAGAGGGCCAGAGGTTGGTTCTGATAATGCCATATGACCTCAGGCACATCTTTTTGAGTTTTAGTTTCCCCATCTCTAAAAACGGATGATTGGACAACAGCAAGCTTAACAGACTTTCCACCTTGAAAATACGGCACTTCTCTGACGCTTAGACCTTAAGTCCTGAAGCGTTGTTTTCTCAGCAAAAACAGTGCAAAGTCCTTACAGGAATCTAAGGTACAAGCCCTGGGCAACCATGAAAACTTTAAACTTCATGCAAAGCAACGAAGTTATAAATCCTCCAGCTGAACAATTTCCTGATGATGTGAGCATCCGTTTTTGTGGGGCAAGCACAGAACTGAGTCCTCATCTGTCTGAGGTTTAGCAGGCTGCTAACATCTTCTCATCCCCCTCTCCTCTCCCCAAGCTTTGGCAGAAACAAGCCAGCCAGTAGGGTTTTCTCAACATTCTCCAACAAGGAACTGAGTGGACTAATACTCAGGGGTAAGGACAGTGTACCAAAGTGTCCATGTCCTAGCATTGTTTCTTTCCAAAAGGCAAACGCTATGCTTTGGGACAGTGCCAGCAATTAGGTGCTTTGCCAAAAATAACTTGTCCCATGTGGCCCCCATGGGGCAGAGACTAAGATGGAAATTACAGAGAACATAGAAAAGCCAGAGGTTTACAAAGAACAGGCTTCTCCACGAGGTAGTGGGTTCTCTGTCCTCGGAGGTGTTTAAGTCCAGACTGCTCAACCCCTTGGTGGGATGGTTGTAGGCAGAATGTCAGCACCTATGTGGAGACTAGACTGGATGACTTAACAGCCCTTTCCCAACTTTGAGATCCTGTCATTGTAATGACTGAGAGCGCCTTTGGATGACTTCCATGAAGCAACTGCTCTGGGCAACAGCCTCCCTCAATAGGCAAGGCCCCCAGAGTAAGCTCCTTCTTCCATCCTCTCCCTCCCAACAGGCAGTTGCCCTGCAGGATATTAACAAAAAGCTTCCCACAAAATAAAAAGCCTAAACACCAAAATTAGATGCAACACTGCAGCTGCAAACAATTGTTACTATCTGTTCTCTGAAAGGCTAGCAGTGACTATTTAGCTATGACAGGAACATCTAAAAACTTGGCAGCTGTAACATGTAAGTAAAATTCCTCTTCATTTTACAACACCGGTCTTGAATCCTTTGGTTTTTAATCTTTCATGAGATTCAGCTGTGATCTTTTTTTTTATATGCTGTTGCCAACCTAAGAGTTTGTTCCTTGAAGCAAGAAGTTTGTCCATTGGTTTTTAAAACATCTTAAAACAACATGAATGGCAGGATACTGATGTTTCCATGTGAGAACCTTCAGGGCATATCAAAGAACCATACCAGGCTGGAACTGAGGCAGGAACCATACTCTTTAAGAAGACAACGCCAGTTCTGGATTTCAAATTCCAGTTTTGCCCAGAAGCACCAAGAGGAAAGAAGGCAATGCTGCTACGTCACAGGTGGAGAGAAGCGCAAGAGTCCTTGATGGATGGTATAAAAATGGAGCAGCCAAGATGAACATTGCTTTCCCCACACCCCACTGCTCCCTGAAGCCAGACCCCGTTGCTCTGGAGGGCCTGGCCACTTCTCACAGGCAGGAGTCCCTTGCCCACAGATAGAGCCACCAGAAACTGCAGAAGAGGCTAAGGCGAGTGGTTTAGTGGTTTGATGAAAGAACAGATTTCTGGACATAAGAAAAACATAGGTTCAAATAGCTTTGTCTTTTCTCTCACCTGACCTGTTGAAAGGTCAGATTGAAAAGGTTGAAAAGATGCCCACAACCTCCACTTTCCACAAGCACCTCTCCTTAGAGGAAAGACAAGGGACCCAAGTACACACACAGCATCTGGCTGAAGGTAAAACATTTCCCCAGGTTTCGCTTTGGAATAAAGATTCTTTCAGACACAATTGAACAGATGGATCCTACCATCATATATTCTTGTGCAGAAGCTATTGTCTCTCTCAACTGGGAAAACAGATTTGCTGCTAAAGAAATAGTGATGTGACCTACACGCCCACAATTCTGGTTTACGTATCAGAAAAATACACTTTTTTACTCATTAAGATATGGACATTTCCATGGAGCAAGTTAACAATGCCTTAACCTGCAGGCCCCATCTGCCCCTCAGCCTTCTTGATGCCTGTATCAACATCCTTCAGCTGTAAGCAGGGAGAGAATCTCTAAACACATAGTGAATGTGAATGACTGAAAACACTCACAGAGCACTGGACATGCCATCCACAGCCAGGAGGCATACCAAAATAGGATGCCCTCACAGTCCAGAGTATATTCTATATACAACCATTTATATATATTTAATTTAAAAGGCTGCAATCTGCTAGACATGCATTTTGAACACAGGCGAAAGCTTTGCTGCAATGGAACATACTGCATTTTAGTGAGCGTGGTGACCCTGTCCCCATTCCACAGAAAGCGTGGTACTCTGCTCCACAGAACTGAGACCTTTGGACACTCCGCCGCCCTGCTCAGTAGGGGGTTTAGTCCTGACTTCTCTGTGATGGTGCTCAGATTAAGTCATCTGTGAAACTCTCTGCCAGGCCAGGCTGTCCATTGTTCTTATTATTTAAGGCTTAAGAAATTAACTCAGAATTGAAACTGAGTAGGAAAATGACACCTTTGACCATATGTCAAGATGGTCATAAATTAGAATCCAAATTCTTTTCTTTTCTTTCTCCCACCCTCCTACCCCATACCCTCTGCCCTCCATTACACAGATTAAAGAATTTTGCAAAAGCACATTTTTGGATATAAAGCTTTGTTTTCACAGGATACTTTGGCTCTGATATAATTAGATTGAGGAGTTCAACGTTTTGAACAACAAAAAAATTAGGTAATTTTCAAAAATTATTTTAGCAATCTTTCTCCCTAAGAGGGAGGCAAATTGTTCACAAAAATGAGCATCAGATGGAATTGACCTTTGTTGCCCAAACTCATGATTTGCTGATGACCAGAGCCCAGGGAGTCAAGGCCAGCCAGACTTTCAATCCTAAGCTGAACTTCTGGGCAGGAATCACATGGCCCCTGGCAGCTTGCATGGTGGTTGTGAACTTAGGATGAAAACTTCTAAAAATACTTGCCCCAACCTACTAAATATGTCAGTGTGTCAATGCATTTATTACCAAGAAGCTTGGCTGAAGTCATAATATCTAACTGCACCCCAAAGAGTGAAGCATAGTGGGGTGCATAAGGGACCGTATCTTCTGTGAGGGTCTCTATATCAGTGTTTCTGGAACCTCAACGAATAGTTTTGCACATGCAACTGTCCTGAAATCCTTATCTGATCAGAAACTTCCTTGTTGGTGCATCAGGATTTCCTCCACATTCTAGCAGTTAAGTGGTGAGCAACAGAAATGGCAGAGGTCTCAGTCATGAGAGGTGTGAAGCGGATGTTACAAGGCTGGCACTATTAGTGACAGCTCAATTAGCCAATACCTACTGATTGAGTGCCTACTGTGTACAAGGCACAGGGTGAGTGAGGGGGACCAGTGTCAAACTGATCTGCTGATAAATGACAAAGCTTGCAACAAAGCGGGCGGGATATCTATGTCGCCAGCGGGCAGCATGCAAGTCCAGATGTGGGTCTGCTCATGCACTTCCATGGCCAATTGCACCTTGCTGCTATTCCAAGCTACAGCTCACACGTGGCAGCCTGGTGGATAAGGTGATTACCAAAATATTTCTTATCCCACATTTCCAGTAGAATTGATTTAATGCTTTGTTGAATGCTGAAATACATAGTTTTTAATTCTTTTAATGATCCTGATTTTTTTAGTCCAGAGTTATCGTAAAAGAAAGTCTTTCTATACACATGCTGAATCATGAGAATATAATCCTCCTGACCAAAAAGATTTACAGTATTCATCATTCAAACTTTTTTATTTACAATAATATTTAACAGTCTTTATGGGCTTAAATGTAGTAGATATCACCTGTGCATCAAGCATTACACTTCATTCCTTTAAGATGTGCTTCATCCTCACTCAAGCTGCTTGCCACCCTCCGATTTCTGGTCCAGTCTACTCTTGTTACTCTTCACCATGTAGATGAAGTAGGCAAGGGTCTCTTTTTCATTCACAGGTATGTTCCTGAAGTGTCGACTCACAGTCTATGTGGGGGGAAAATACCAAAGTTCCTTAAACCATGCACAAATCACACCGCAAATTCTACATTGTACAAAGAAGCGAATGGAGTTGTTTGCATGCTGTGGCGGGAATGACAAATGCTGAAGAACTTCCTGCCATGTGCGGAACTCAGAGTGCCCTTTGCCCTTCCTCCCCAGGGATGTAGGTGGTTTAATTTCCAGGATCCAAAAGTGGCTTTTTAACCTACAACTCTTCCAAGGTGCAGTTCTATTTCAGTGGCAGCCAACCACCTGTCATGGCATGATTTCACAGTCATACTCATGGAGGAGAGACTGGGACTGCTCTGGTTGGCCAGCTGCTACCAAACCTCTCAGGCCTTGAAAGTGGGAAGAAATGTGTCTTTAAAAAATTGTGGGGCAGGCGTGGTGGCTCACACCTATAATCCCAATGCTTTGGGAGGTTAAGGTGGGAGGATTAGTTGAGGCCAGGAGTTCGAGACCAGCCTAGGCAACACAGTGGAGAACTCATCTCTACCAAAAAATTAGCCAGGTGTCGTAGCATGCACCTGTGGTCCCAGCTACTCAGGAGGCTGAGGTGGGAGGATCACTTGAGCCCAGGAGGTTGAAGCTGCAGTGAGCTGTGACTGCACCCCAGCCTAGGAGACAGAGCAAGACCTTGTCTCAAAAACAAATAAAAATTGGGTTAGGCTGGGGATGGTGGCTCACACCTGTAATCCTAGCACTTTGGGAGGCCAAGGCAGGCAGATCACCTGAAGTCAGGAGTCCGAGACCAGCCTGGCCAACATGGTGAAACCCAGCCTCTACTAAAAATACAAAGATTAGCCGGGTGTGGTGACAGGCACCTGTAATCCCAGCCACTCGGGAAACATGGAGAAGAATCACTTGAACCCGGGAGGTGGAGGCTGTGGTGAGCTGAGATCATAGCAATGCACTCCAGCCTGGGAGATAGAGCAAGACTCTGTCTTTAAAAAAAAAAAAAAATTGTGTTAAATGAACAGCCAATTGAACAAATTGAACAGAGGCATCTGAACCCCAAAATTCTTCTAAGTAGTGCATAACTGCCTCCTGAAAGACATATCAGGTTTGAAGGAAAATGCATCATTTACTAATGCTCCTAATACTTCATTCCATAAGTAATGAGAATGCAGGTCTCCTCTTGCCCCACCTCATTCTTTCCCTTCCACCAGGGAGAACACTGGCAAATGGGTGATGTTATTTTAAAGTAGGAGAGGCTTCTGACCTCCTGTGTGTCATCTGGACACTGGTGAAGGAGTTGTTTAAGAAAAAGTGACGGTCGAGCAAGAAACCTCTAAAGGAAAAACCAAAAATGAAACAGGCTGGAAGCCTTTCAGGAAATCTCAATGGATCAAGGTGGCTGAAACAGATAAAAAAAGACAGAGAACTAGACATAAAGAGTGGTTATCTCTGGATGATAGAATTATATTTTTCTTTTCTCCATTTTCCAACTTTTCTGTAATAGGCAGAAAAATATATTAAGAAAAGAGGGATTAGAAAATACCTGCAGAAATGACAAAGACAGAATTATCAAGCCAGGCAGTTCATGTATTTTAAAAATGGCCAGTGGAGCATTTCCCCGTAATCCAAACTGTGTTAATAACTCAGGGCAGGAGAAAACTTTCTTGGGTGCCATTCATTAAAATACTGTCATTACCAACACCAGAGTAGGAGAAATCAAGGAAAAAAAAATAGCTCCTGTAGAACATCAAGGTTTTGAAATGATTAATCTGACACACAAAATGATCATATCTAAAAAGCATTTTGCTAAGCCAGGCACAGTGGCTCACGCCTGTAATCTCAGCACTTTGGGAGGCTGAGGTGGAAGGATGGCTTGAGCCAAAGAGAATCACTTGAGCAACATAGTGAGGCTGCATCTCTATAAAAATAAAATTAGCTGTGCATAGGGGTGTGCACCTGTGGTCCTAGCTACTCTGGAGGCTGAGGTGGGAAGGATCACTTGAAGCTGGGAGGTTGGGGCTGCAGTCAGCCCAGACTGAGCCACTGCACTCTAGCCTGGGTGATAAAGCAAAATCTTGTCTCCAAAAAAACAAAAAGAGGAATCTTCCAAAAAAGATTCAAACAAATGAACACTCAGGACTTAGAATCTGGAGTCATGAGATCCCAGGCTCAATTCTGCTATCAACTTGCTGTGTGATTTTAAGCAAATCCTTTCCTCTTTCTGTGCCATGGTTTCTTTTCTGGAACTGAGGCCTTTGCAGGTCTAAAGCTGTGGGGTTCTAAATTGCCAAAGAGGAATACAGAGTTGCTTCCAGAACTCTGGAGGAAATTACAATTAGCAGACACACAAGGTAAGGGAGAATCAGGGTAACCATCAGAAGCAGCACAATGCTGGCTCTCTTTAGAGGGCAATTTTGTCTACCTACTTCTGCTAACTGGGCCTTATTGAAGCCTGGTCTGGTCTGCAACTTGTAGTGTCGTTTATAACGTCGTAGGGTGTTCACCTGCAGCTGGAACAGATCAACCTAGGGAGAAGAGGAGAAAAATGTTATCCATCACCTGACCACCCAGGACTCACCAAGAGCCCACTATGTGCCTAGCACTACACTAAGGTAGGGGTGAGGATGGGGAGGGCTTCAAAAGAGGTCTTAGAAATGGTCTATTGAGGACTAGTAACTGGCTAGGAGGGCAAAAATAACAGTAGAAAAACAGTTCTGGCTGGGGTGGGCTGATCTCACAAAACTGGTGGAAAAGGTAAAGCTTAAGCTAAGGAGGAGCAGGGTCTGATAAAGCACTGAGAAACGGTAGGGAATAGGGGAAAAGATCACAGCACAGAGAGCTGGGAGAGGCACAGATGGGCAAGGGGGTCACAGGCAACTGTGATGAATTTAAAAGGTGAGAATGGATGGTAGCACATCCAGAAAAACAGAAGGAGCTATCACAGAGGGTGGAGGGCGATGGCGCAGGATGGGTCTGGTGGTGGTTGTTGGGAAGACTGATGGGGGGATACGGAGGGAGATGCTATAGCAACAATCAGAATGAGATGAAGAGGCTGAGCTTTGGAGGGGCAGTGATGCTAGAAGGGACACCAAAGATGGAGAGCAAAGGCAAAAACCAGAGACATCCTGGAGGATGATAGGCCAGAACGAGGCAGCGACCGGATAGAGGAGCACAAAGGAGGGCTGTTATCCTCAAATAGCTCTTTGCTAGGCCCAGCCTTCTGGTATTAGAATCCTTAACCTCCCTCCAGAGAAAGTTCAAAAGTTACTGTAGTGAATGTGCAATCCAGCAGGTTAGGGCTGGGGTCTTTGCAGATGACTGGATAACAGAGGGGAAGGGACCCCCCCTTTTTGTTTCTAACAAAGGAAGAGAGGAAAGCTGCATAGTCATGAAAAATTGAAGGCCCATAAAGTTGGGCTGCCTTTACCTGCCTCTAAAAGAGCTGTTCTTGCTTCAGGCAGGTGGAGAGCACTTAAAAACAAAATGAATGATCAATATGAGGGGCCAAAGTCCTTCATTCTTTTTCAAAACATTCCTCAAAACCTTTTTTTTTTTTTTTTTGGTGAAAACCACTTAGAAATCGAATACGTCCATTTCTTTGTAAAATAACAATAACGTTAAAGGCAAAAGCAAGATTCTGTAAACCAACATTGGAAAAGGGGACACAGGGAGGGGCAGAGGGAAAGGGCCAGATTTTCAACGGTTTCCTCCACATCTGCAGACAAAGGCCCGCCTACTCTTTCTATTCCTACACAGTCATTTTCACTCTGAGTGCTAACAGGCGGTTGCCTTATGAAATATTCATGTGTCAAATATTCAATGTACACTATAAACGGTTCTTCTCTTGCTGAGTCTTGAGTGAAAACAATTTAGTAGAAAGAAAATCCAATATTCCTTCCTGAAGCCTCACTTAATAGACACGGGCACCTGAAGGGAAGGCAGCCTTCCAGTTTGAGAAGCCTAGGTCTCATGGTCTAGCGCAGTGGTTCTCAACACAGGACGATTTTGTCTTGTAAAGGAGGTGTGGCAATGTCTGGAGACACGTTTTGATTGTCATGACTCAGGGTGGTGATGGGTAGAATCTCACGAGGGGATGCTGCTGAGGCATGCTGTTAAATATCCTACAATGCAGAGGACAGTCCCCACAACAAAAATTAGCTGACCCCAAATGTCAACAGTGCTAGAGTTGAGAAAACCGGGTCCAGTTTAGTCAACTTTGAAATGGATCCTTGGGAACAGCCTGGACTAGATGTCAAGAAATCAGTGAGAGAAAATCAGAGCTGGTATGAACTGATGACTTACACCTTCATTTTTTGGGGAAAAGACTTCTCCCAAACCATTATACACTCTCTAAAGGCATAAACAAGGTTTAAAAAAAAGTGACACTGTGGTTGTATTTACGCATTCGTCAGGGGCGTCTTGCAGAAAAGCAGTGTGGTCTACTGGAAAGGGCCCTAGACTAGAGCCTCCAAACTATATACATGACCTCGGCTCTCTGTGCCTGTCTGTAAAATGATGGGGCAGTCTGACCAGTGGGTGTCCAAGCTTTTAGCTCTCAGATTCCATATTACTATAATTCACTTTTCAAATAATCCACAGCAAAACAAAAGGACTAAAATTACTTCTTAACACAAAAAGCAGACCAGGCCAGAGGTGAGAATCAGATTAGAATCCATTCTTCCAGCTTCCGCAACTGGTTTCTTTGACCTTTACCTCAGGAATGTCAGTGTCGTGCTCGGGAGAATCTCCGCCATCGTCACTTGTCTTCCTCTTCCTTTTATTTCGGACACTCTGGATGAAATTTTTGTGAAAATCACAGATATATAGGTGCCTTACCTGATGGAGACAAAAATCAAAGTCAGAGTTGGCCAATTCCTTGGAGACAGCAATAGGTATCTGTCGAATTGCGGGGCTTCCTTCCATTGCAGGGCATTGGAGAGATAGATGGAAGACAAGATGTAGGCCATCATTCCCAGAAGCTCACTACTGAGTTGCAGAACACAAAGAGAATGCTAACATCACACTTGGCAGCGTATCATACACCAAACTTCCAGTGAATGGTGAAGACAGTAAATGGTACAGATTCAGCAAAGGAAGAGATCCCTGCAACAGAGATGCTCAGGGTGAAGGGCCCTGACTAAAAGGGAGGACTTTAGGCAGACAGGAAGCATTCCAGATGGGTAGGAGTGCCAAGACTTTAGAGTTTCCAATGGAGGATGACAGAAAGAGTGAGGAGGCCCAGGGTACAGTGTCAGTTGGGTGATGATGGCTGCCCATGTAGGAGCATAATGAAAAAGTGAGGCATCAGGGGGGTGGGCATGAGAACAGCTTAGACTTTCCTTCCGACAAGACAGAGTCCCTCAAGGAAGCAGGAAGTGATGTGACATTTTTAGAAGACCTGTAGGAGTCATAAACTTATAGTCGACTGGAATGTACTGTCCTGGGGAGGAGGAAAGCAGGACACAAGGGACTGTTGCAACGGTATTTGGGACACTCTATTTTTACAATTACAATAGCTACTATTGTAGGATAATAACTCTTTGAAAAACTTTGTTTCTATGTGTCAATTTATAATTCTTGCATTATCTCACATCTGATCCACAAAGAAAAGTGGAAAAAGATGTGGAAGTTCTTACAAGGTAGAACCACATACAAGAAGGTGGATACTACAGATTTTCTAATACAGGCTGGAGGCACACTGGTAAGTGAAGGTGGCAGCAACAGCTAAGACATGAAGAATCCTCCAAGGCTGGCTGGAGGAACCACTGAAAAACTTTACAGAAACTGAATGCCCAGCAAATGACTTGGGGTTGTTGATACTGAAACAGCTGTTGCACAAATGTTCTGCAGAGACTTCTGAATTTGAGTTTATTCCTTAAATCCTTAAAGATAAAAGTAAGCTGGCAGGAAATCCGCATCAATTAATTCAGACCTTTTCATGGAGAAAATAATGAAAACTGTTTATTTATTTATTCAGATGAATGATCACTTTCATGTGGCTGGATTAGTGAGTCATAAGTACTTTTAAGTTTATACTGTGATGGTGTCTTGCAGACAGGAGGTACTCGAAAAATGTTGATGTACCAATATAGGAAGTCTCCTATATCTAAAAGTGGCTTAAGGCTAATGAAAGCCACCACTTAACATGGTTACAAACTGGGATAGCTTTGTCAGATTCAACTCTGTCAAAGGACTTTCAAACACAGCACATGCCACTGTCCCAAAGAATCCCACCTAGCTGATGTATATACTACTGGACATGCTTTTCTCCAGGAAGAAAGCACAACAAAGCACACTCTGCATCCCTGAGAGGAAGCTAGCCCTCCATGTTAGCTAGACTGGCGAGTCCACTCAGATCAACTGCTCCTCAAGTTCACAGTAACAAACTTCATAGGAGAACAGGGAGAATAGGTGGCTTCCTAAAGCTTTGGCTGGGAGATTTCAGATCAGGACAATAGAATAACGGAATCCTAGCTGTAAGAGAACTTAGCAATCACTAGTGCAATCCCATTGACCCCAATCCGTTTTCTAAATGGGTAAAATGAAGCCATCCAGAGTGAGGAAATGACCTGGCCAAGGTCACCCAGGCCTTCTGCCCCCCCAGTACATGTCTTTTCCTACTCCAGCATTTTCCTTTATACTATTCTCAACTTCCACTTTTCTCCAGGAAAAAAAAAGCAGAAATATGTCAACTGGAGGTATATTAGTATTTTAACAGATCACAGAACACTGCCAAAGTCTATATAAAATGAGTTAAACAGCCTGAATTGAATTTCTGGTGTTGTTATTTAAAAAGGTTCTCTGCTAGACTCTCTTACAAGATAAATAATCATTTTCTCCTTAACCATTTTCAAGTACATACTGGTTTTCAGAAATTTCAGAGCTCAGTGGCCTTTGGGAGTGGGGTTGGGGCAGGAGGGTGGTAGCAAAGGCTCTAGTTTTTTTTTTTCCTTCACTTTCTGCAATAGCTAAAAATTCTTGTAACATACCAGTTACCTGGAATTGAATTCCTGCCCAAGCCTGTGAGAAAGAAATAGAATCCCTTTCAGAAATAATGACTCCACAACACCACCTTAAAACAAATTTTGAGTGATTCCACCTGGAAACCTTACTACCTCAGAAGTATTACATTTTGGGAACACTAATGCTAGGCTCAGGCTGCCCTTCTTCTAGACAGTGTGTGTGAAATGATCAGCATAGCTCAACACAGGTTTTCCAGTACAGTCAATGGGTAAATAAAAGGAGTCCCAGTTGCAGCAGCAAAATCATTCAGATGGGAAGGCATCCAGTGATCTAAAAGGACTGGAAGATTCTTTTAAGGACTGGAAATTATTATTATAAGCTGCTCAAGTAAAGCAGCTTCTAACAACCTACACGGAAGGTAGGCAGTGTTTCTAAGTGGATGAATTCATTGCCATAAGCATTTCACCTCAACGTGTGACCTAAGGAGGGATCACCTTGGTGTCTAGACCCTTGTTTGTTCTCAGATATTTCCATTCATGCATTCATTGATAGAGATTTGTAGTAAGAAAGCCATTAACTCTCTCCCAACCACTTAAAAATAGCACCTGTCCATGCAAGAGCTGCAACTGTATTATAATGATTAACTTAAAAATGGGGGTAGGAGGGAAGAGTCTGAAGAAAGGACAGGGGCTGGGCGCAGTGGCTCACGCCTGTAATCCCAGAACTTTGGGAGGCCTAGGCGGGTGGATCATTTGAGGTCAGGAGTTCAAGACCAGCCTGTCCAACATGGCGAAACCCTATCTCCATTAAAAATACAAAAATCAGCCAGGCATGGCGGCAAACGCCTGTAATCCCAGCTATTCAGGAGGCTGAGGCAGGAGAATCGCTTCAACCCGGGAGGCGGAGGTTGCAGTGAGTCGAGATCTTGCCACTGCACTCCAGCCTGGGTGACAGAGTGAGACTCCGTCTCAAAAAAAAAAAAAAAAAAAAAAAAGAAAAAGAAAAAAAAAAGAAAAGAAAAAGGACAGGGGAGATTTTTTATTTATTAGAGACTTAATGAAGACTTATGTATAGGGCTTGGAAGTAAATTAGATAATATCTTTAAGAAATTAACCAGCCTCTTAGGTGCTGTGTGTACCTGACACCCTCACTTCCTATCTCTGGGCCTGTTTCAACCCTAAAATCAGAGGGGAAACGTGCACTCCCTTTCAGTTTAACAAGCAGTCTCTGATTTCCTCCAACTGTGGAGAAATTCTGATTCTAGAAGAGAATGGATGTTAACCACCTAAGCTCTTAGCTAGTCTACCTGAATATTAAATATCCCCTTAACTCATTTCCAATTCCTAATCATGAAGCAATCACTTAAGGCTTGTAGCAACAGATGTCAAACTAAAAAGTTCTTAATTGGTTGACAATAGGCACAGCTTCAGAATTGTTAACTAGAAGTGGTGAAGTCACACGGGAGGAGTTTCCTATAATAAGCCACAAAGAGCAGGGCAATCCGATTTAAATTTAAATATCCACCCCCTTATTTCAAAAGAAACTACCACTAAGAAAATTGATTTCTTTTCTTCCCCCCTCCAGTCACATCGACTGCAAGAGCCATTTCTCAAGACCTGGCCTTGGCCTTATTTCTGCCACATCCTAGAAAAACCCATTCCCACAGCTGCCTGCGAAGCAGCTAGCTCGGTGACCCTCTGCTGATACCGAGGATGCGGGAGCCAGGGAAGTAACTGCCACCTTTCTCTGTCTGAAGGAATAACAGGGTTCCTAGAAGGAGAGAGAAGTTGGAAAAGAGCCGGGTATCTTCATCACTCCCCGCTCCGATTCTTGCTCCTTCAAGGGCCAACAAAACTAACCCACCTCTCCCTGCTCTAAAGTCTAAACCAATAAAACAAGTTGGAAACTGCTGTCCAATCTTTCCAGGCAGCAGGAGTCCTGAAGCCCCCGCCCCCATCCTCCCGGATCTGGGTAGAATCACAGTCAGAGCATGTCAGCGCTGGAGCGGCCTTTGAAATGCGGAGTCCAACTCAGTTCTGCAGAGCCGGGGCGGCGAGGCCCACGGCGGGGAGTGCCCGGGGAGTCCCGACTGGAGCCCAGGGCAGCGGACGGAGAGCTGGGGGCGCCGGGGCCCAGACGCGAGCGGGGGCGGACTCACGCTCTTGTCGATGTCCAGCTTGAGTTTCTTCTGCGAGATGCTCTTCTGGACCCTCTTGCTGAAGGAGGCGTTGCCCGCGGGCCGGACGCAGCGCTCGCCGTCCTCGATGAGGCAGCAGCTCTGGCCGTAGCCCGGGGCGGCGGCAGCTGGGGCGGCGGGGGGCCCTTCGCGGCTGTCCTCCTCCGTGCTGAAGCCGTTCATCTCCCCGCCCCGGGCCGGTCCCTCTGGGGGAGGGTCCCCGGTAGGCCACTCCGCGGCCGCGCTTGCCGCGGGGCAGGTCGCTGAGACCCCCGCAGCCGAGGGTCCCAGAGTCCGTCTCCAGCCCGGGCGCTGCCCTGCCCCGCGTCCGAGAGGCCCGGCTCCCTCGGCCCCCGGCCCTCCGCCTCCGGAAGCCCCCTTCCTCCCGGCTCGAGGCCCCGGGGTCGGCTCCCGCGGCTCGCAGGGCCCCGCCGGGGGTCACCCGGAGGAGCCTTCTGCCGGGGGCCCAGAACCGTAACCCTGCAGCGGGGGTGTCCGGGAGGGCGTCCCAGGAAACAGCCGCTCCCCAAGGACTCCGGGCCTGGGTTGCCAGGGGGTTTCGAAGGCCCCTGCCGGCTCCCGCCTTCTTTCGGCAGCGGGGCAAACTCGCTGCCGGGCAGCTCCCCCGGGGTGGCGCGGCCTCCTCGCGCGGGGCCCGGCCTCGAACCCGCGGCACCCGGGCCCCGCGGCTCGTCCGGCCCACTCCACCCCTGCAGCCACTCGGCTGCGCCCCGAGTCCCGCGGCAGCCCCTGGGCCGCCCGGCCGCCGCCCGCCGAACGCTCCGCACCACAACAGTTCGCTCCCCCCGCCCTTCGCGGGACAGCGGAAGTCCCGCCTTCACGCGACCATTGGTCTCATTTGCTCTCTGGGCGGGGCTGCCGCCGCCGCTGGCGCGTCCCATTGGGCGTCGCCGCCGCCAGTCTCCGGCGCCAGGCTACTTCCTGGACTCTGCTGGGATGGGTTCAAAGTAGAGAAAGTGGAAGAGGAAAGAGTTACCCCAGCGAGAACCGGGAACCGGGCTGCAGACTCTCCGGCCCGGGGGAGGGATGGTGAGCAGGGGCCTGGCTGGACCGAGGGCCAGACTCCAGGAACAGAGGAACACATTCGGGGACAGACAGTAGAGACGCGGACGGGGACGCTGAGGGACAGACTTGGAGGAGGGGCATATGAGGGGACCTAAAGAGGATAGAGGTGCTATCAGGAGAGGGGCGGACTAATAAAATGAAAGGGCCAGGGCCAGAGGACTCGCGGATCCGTGGGAGGAAGGGTGGGTGAAATAGGACGGAAAGCCAGTCATGGCGGGAAAGACAGAGGGACAACCCCATACAGATACGTGGAAAGACATGCGGAGGAGGTGATGGGGGGATCTTGCAAGGCAGTCGCAATATTGGGGGTAGCCGATACCTTCCAGAGTGTGGAGAGTGGGACTGGCTTGGACGGCGCGGAAAGAAAAGGAGAGGGGGAAAGGAGACCCCGAGGGGTTTGGGCGACCCCTCCACTGGGAAGAATGGGAAGTCCGAATGAGGTCTGGAGGGTGGACTAGGTGAGCCGCGGGCAAGAGAAAGGGCTTCAGGGGAGATGAAGTGAAGGCTGGGAGTGGGGCCCAGGGGCCAATCTCGGAATCTAGATGGGGAAGGGCTGCGGTGTCTTGGGCTCTCCCTGGAGCTCCAAGCTGTAGTTCTATTGCTTTGAGTCCCCGGGTCTACCGGCGAAGCGACTGCGCCCTGCCAAGACCCTGCGCTTGGTTTCGGCGCCCAGGGCACCACCTCCCCTCCAGGAGGGGCCGTAGGATATGCTCTGGTCCAGCACTTCAGTCATGCCACTCTCCAACTGCGCAGCATGGGGACTGATGAGGTCCGAAAGGCGATGGGACCAGCCCAGGGTCGTGTAATTATGTAGGGCTGGGCAGCGTTTTATGGGCAGGGAAGAGGGGAGGCTGTGTTAGGTGATAGGTAAGCAAGTGTTAGTACTAGAGGGCATAGAAGGAGCTTCGGGTTTGTGTCCTGTTGTAAAAGGGAAAGCTACCAGTTTCCATGTTTAGAAGCAGGTGGCTGGTGATCTTAAGTTTTGCTCAGTGGCCATAAATGCATTTGTAGCATCTGAACTGGTAATTTCACACGTGGGACAGCCATCGTCGGAAATAGGCCTATCAGAGATAATATGAAGTACAGTGATGTTCATTATGGAATTATTTATAATAGGAAAAATAAAATAGAACCTCAGAGTTCCAAAAGGGAAGTGGTTAAGTAAACTACCTAAAATCTTCAGAAAGAGATTGTGCAGTTAGCATTTGAGGTAGTTTCAACATCAATGTAAACATTTTCTATAGAGAATAATTCACCATTAATTCTTAAATAAAGAGCTGATGAGGAGTTGGAGAAATGCTTTTTTTATGATAAGTAAAAAAATTCAGGATATGAAATTGCATGGAGGATACGATGTCTGTACATCTATGTTTAAAGAAAAAAGAAAACTATTGGTATAAAAAATGCACCAAAGTACTAACAGTGATTATTTCTGGGTAGCAGGAATATGGCTGATATTTTTCTCCTTTTGTTTAACCTTTGCATTTTCTTTAATAAGCATTATTTTTGTTTTTACAGTAGAAAAAATAGAATAAAAATTAATGGAAAAAAGGCACAGATTAATAGGAGTCTTCCCTCAGAGTTCATATATTCTGTTCAAAAGTAAATTGTTGTTGAACTCATTATGTATACCAAGTATAGGGTTGGCTATAGGAGGAGGATGAAACATAACCCTTGCCCTAAAAGAATATCTCCTATCTGGGGTGTTCAGACATATATGTAGAAAACACTTGGGTATCTGTACCAGGCACTGTGTGATGTTGGGTCCAAAGTCAGTTGGTATGGATGAAACCTCCATGTTCCCCATATTTTTCTAAACAGCATTTGTATTCAATGCTAGGCTATTGCGGTACACAACTTCTTCTGCACCAACTTGCCCTGGTCTAAGGGGATCTAGGACCTTTTCTTAGGTGCTCTGTCTCAGTCCTTGAGGTAGTGGCTACTTATATCTGCTATTCTTGTATTATTTAGCATTCTTTTTTCTTTTTACTAGGCAGTTCCTTATAACTGTAGGGGACTACAGTCCCCTATTATAATTAATACATGTTTATATTATTATTTTCCTGTTCAAATTACTGTAAGGTTACTCTTTCCTGATTACACCCAGCCTGATACGCCCAGCCAGCCTCTGTGTGTGTGTGTGTGTGTGGTGGTGGTGGTGGGGGAGTTCATGCTTGTAACTGTTCTTTTTTTTTCTTTTTTCTTTTTTCTTTTGAGACAGAGTTTCACTCTGGTTGCCCAGGCTGGAGTGCAATGGCGCGATCTCGGCTCACCGCAACCTCTGCCTCCCGGATTCAAGCGATTCTCCTGCTTCAGCCTCCCGAGTAGCTGGGATTACAGGCATGTACCACTGCTCCCGGCTAATCTTGTATTTTTAGTAGAGATGGGGTTTCTCCATGTTGGTCCGGCTGGTCTCGGACTCCCAACCTCAGGTGATCTGCCCGCCTCGGCCTCCCAAAGTGCTGGGATTACGGGTGTGAGCCACCGCTCCCAGCCATTCTTTATGTATAATTTTGTAGTCTTTATTCAAGGCATACTTTATCATAATCTTTCCCCATATTGCTATGTAGTTTTCACAGTTGCCATTTTTTATGTAGTACAGTGCAGTTTCTGTAGTACAGTACACTGTGGTGCTAAAGACAGTTGGCTTTGCTGTCAGAACTGGGTTCAGATCTGGACTCCACCCATGACTTGTTATAACATGTTAGCAATTATTTCACTTCTTGAGTCTGATGAAATAGGTGGTGACAAATTCTTAACACAGTGCCTAGAACATCATAAGTGGTTAATAAATGTCAGCTATCATGATTCCTACCGTAGTTACATTTGCCCCCCCAGAAGTTGGATATCTTTTTTGTGTGGTTCTGTATAATTATTTTTGAACATAAAACTTTTTATTATTTAGGATTATTATTTTTTCTGAGTGCCAGAGATGGAATTGTGGTCAAAGACTACAAAGTTTTCCAAGGTCTAAGGGCCAGGCTCACTGACCCTTTTTTTCTTTCCTGTCTTTTCTGCCCCTGCCCTCCCCACCTTCATTCCTTCCATCCAGTCAGGCCCCAGTTGAGAAGTTATCCCCCAACACGCCTTAAAGAATCAGAGTTGGATACCTTGGCCAAGCAGTCACAGTCCTACAAAAGCTCTTTGCTCTCCTCTTTCTCTCCTCTTTTCCCTTTTTGGGGAATGTGGCATATGGCTCTGGGAGTGATTTCCAATGACTGCCCTTCTTTGGGAACAGGTGGACACTTAGGTGTCCAGTGACTGGGTTTCTAATCCTTGAGTGGCCCCTGATTGTCTAATAGTGAATACTTGCTGGGTTAAGCCTGTGGCTCAAACTGTACTGGTCAGTTTCTCTCCAGCAAATCTGCTGGTTGGAACTGACAGGTGGTTGGTGGGAGTGGTTAGAGCAGAGGCACTAATGGTGGGTCCTGCCTCCTGTGTTCCCCAGGGCCTGGTAGTTGAGCTTGCCCTTGGGTTCTGTAAGGTACTCATAGATATGTTGGCATGAACCAAAAGTATCTGAGACAGGTCTCAATTTAGAAGGTTTATATTGCCAAGGCTAAGGACGTGCACGTGACACAGCCTCAGGAGGTCCTGACTACATGTGCCCAAGGTGGTTGGGATACAGCTTGCTTTTATACATTTTAGGGAGACATGAGACATCAGTCAATATGTACAAGATGTACATTGGTTCCATCTGGAAAGGCAGGACAACTTGATGCTGGGGCTTCCAGGTCATAGATAGATAAGAGACAAATGGTTGCATTCTTTTGAGTCTTTGCTCAGCGTTTCACTGAATATACAATTTACATGTGGGGAAGGGGTGAGGTGGGTGGTAGAGGAATAGTCATTTATGCCTTTGTCTCAGTGGATCTGCATTTTTACATAAACAACAGGGCAGAAGAAGCAATCAGATATTCATTTGTCTCAGGTGAGCAGAGGGATGACTTTGAGTTCTGTCCTTTGTCCCACACCTATGAAGATAAGCTATCCATTTACATTGCCAGGGTGAAATTCAACAGAACTGTTTTAGGGTAAAGATCTTGATGCCCACAAGGAATTTCCTTGTGGGCAAATTGTGAGGGAGGTCTGTAGCTTTTTTATCTTTGTAGCTATCTAACTTAGGAATAAAATAAGAGGTAGGTTTGCCTGATGCAGTTTCCAGCTTGACTCTTCCCTTTGCCTTAGTGATTTTGGTGTCCCGAGATTCATTTTCCTTTCACATTGTTCTGAGACTGGAAGTTCTGCAAGGACAGGGAACTGTCTCTATGGCTCATCATAGTTTCCAGTGCCCAGGCACTTGATTAATATTTGTTGAATGGATGGATAGATGGATGATGGATGACTTGGCCTCTGGAATCAAGAGGCAGTACAGCATAATGGTTGGTATAAATCTAGATGTAGTCAGCTTATGCTGGAATCCTGGCTCTGCCACTGACTAGCCTGGGAACCTTGGGAAAATTACATGGCCTTAGTCTGCCATGGTTTCCTCATCTGTAAAATGGGGATGATAGTAACCTCTCGGGATTGTTGTGAAGACTGTCTGAGTTATTAGATATAAACCAACTATTAGATATAAAAGTGCCTTGCACATATTAGGTACTCAATAAATATTAGATACTATTATTGGCTTAATTAGTCATAATTAGGTTTAGCAAGTAACAGAAAACCCAAAAATAAGCTTACATTTTTCTCTCACCTTCAGGAATCCTAGAGGTGATCAGATTGTTTTCCTCAGCATCAGAGACCGAGGCTTCTCTTGTTGCTTTGCCATGTTTGGCTTCCATTCCCAAGGTCGCGTCACTAAGCAAGGTGGCTGCTGGGACTCCCATCTACTGAGGCATTCTAGCCAGGAGGAAGGGGGAAAGGCAGAGGAAGGGCTCACCCTTGCTCTTTAAGGATAGTTCCCAGAAGTTGTAGGTGAGCCTCCCACTTGTACCTCTTTGGCCAGAATTTCGCCATACCTAACGGGGGAGGGGAACATTGGGAAATGTAGCCCTTATTCCTGGTGGCTGTATGCTCAGGTGAAAACAGAGGGCTCTGCTACACGTGGAGATGGGTGGAATGTATATGGAGCCCAACCAGCTGCTCTGCTATACCTCTTTTTAGAATTTCCCCATCTCTTAAATTCTGGGAGTGTGTCTTGGTTAATTTTGGTTCTGTTTCTCTGGAGAACACTGACTAATCTGGGCTGCAAAGACCTGTAGTTTTTTGATCCAGGGACCACTGCAGCCTCAGCATTTTGCCATTTCTCAAGTTTCTGAATTTTTTTTTTTTTTTTTGAGACGGAGTCTCACTCCGTTGCCAAGGCTGGAATGGGGTGGCGCAGTCTTGGCTCACTGCAACCTCCATTTCCTGGGTTCAAACGATTCTCCTGCCACAGCCTTCTGAGTAGCTGGGATTACAGGCACCCGCCACCACGCCTGGCTAATTTTTGTATTTTTAGTAGAGATGGGTTTCACCATGTTGTCCAGGCTGGTCTCGAACTCCTGGCCTTAAGTGATCCACTCACCTTGGCCTCCCAAAGTGCTGGGATTACAGGTGTGAGCCACCGCACTGGCTGTTTCTGAATCTTAACAATGTTCTCTGCAGCTTGCATTGCAAGAACTGGTACTGACTCCAACAGAGTATCACCCAGTCTTTAAAGGAAAGATTTACAGGTTTCAAACCTAGCTCTACATCACAATCACATAGGGAACTGTAAAAAAAATTACAAAAATCTCAGGCCTCATCTCAGACCTCCTAAATAAAATCTTGGTGGAAAGAGTATGAGGCTCTGAAATCTACATTTTAATACACATTAATTTAATCTATGGATGATTCTTAATGCACCTTAAAGTTTAAGACACCCTGCTTTAAAGGTTAAAGTATGTAATAAATCTTCATTGGAGGCAATTACCTCTTCTAGTCTAGCCTACTCACTTTCTTTCAAACATATGTATTTTCTTATATCTACTCTTTTGCTTACAGTGATCCCTGACTTAGACTCACTGGCTGTGAGACTTAGAAAGGGTCTTAGGAAGCCAATCCTTTATTTAAGCCTATCGGATTTGAGTTCAGCAAGGTTGAGCAACAAGTCCAAGCACACACAGTGATTAGTGGCTATTAGGATTGAGAAGGTATATGGTGACAGCATTTGCTGGGATTATCTTTAAAATCTCCTTCCCCCCAAATTAAGAGGTTATACACAATAAGGGGTTATACACAATTTATTTTGCCAAGTTAGGGCAGTTCCCTCTATAGCCTCTACATGCTCCACCCCATGTCTAGGTATTGGCCTTCAGGGCTGGGTACACTTGCATTCTCTCCATATCCTTTCCCTAGCTGATACTAGGTTTCCTTACAACCACCATATGCTAATGTCTCCCGTCAATAAATATCTGAAGACTTGTGTGCAAAACGACAGATTTGAAAGTGAAATAGATTGGTTGCCATTAGCAATATTTGGGAAAAATTCTGGTCTCTTTATTGGGGGAGTAAATCTGTAACTCCAGAAAGGAAATGGGAATAAATATTCTGTAGTGAAGAAATGAATACAGAACAGAAGCTTCTATGATCCTTGTTCTGCTTTGTGTAGGATTTAAGGTTCTTGAAATAGCCAAGTGAATCTGATTTGCTACATTTATACATTTAGGTAATTAATTTACAACAGTTGCTTAAATGCTTAGAAAGGTTTTGCTTTTTAGATTTGTAAGTCTGCCCTATTGGGCATTTAAAGTGAGAAAATCAGGCATATTAAATTGATAATTGTAGTTTTAAGTGTCTAAGGAAATTTGATTAAGGAGGTAAGTCTTATTAAATATTAAGGAGGATTGAATATACTAAACTTAAGAATTAACAGTAATCAAAGAACAAGTGAAAGTGATTGTTCTTATCTTTACACAAGAAATTGCTAGATTTAAAATGGAATAACAAGATTTTGTTCTTATCTTTATACAAGAAATTACTAGATTTAAAATGGAATAACAAGATTTGTAAATTGAACTTAAAGTTTAAGAAAGGCTAGGTTTTTAAATGGACAACTTGAGTCAGTGACTGTAAGATTCCTGTCCATACCCAAACCTACCCCCAGATATTTAAAGGCACAGGTCAATAACTCCCAGTTTTATAGTTCCAGCTGAGACCTCTCCTTTGAACTCCAGACAGCAACACTTCAGCTCCTTGCTTGAGGTGCTCCAGAGGCATCACAGACCAAGATGTTCAAGTTGAAACATTCTCTGACTCCGAATCCAGACTCCATAAACTGTGCCACCTGTACCTCCTTTAACTGCCTCTCACCACATCCTGAGGCCACTCATCATTGAGGCCATTTTCTTTCTTTCTTTCTTTCTTTTTTTCATATTTTTGAGATGGAGTCTCGCTTTGTTGCCAGGCTGGAGTGCAGTGACGCGATCTCAGCTCACTGCAACCTCCGCCTCACGGGTTCAAGCGAGTCTCCTGCCTCAGCCTCCCGAGTAGCTGGAATCACAGGCGCGTGCCACCACACCCACCTAATGTTTGCATTTTTAGTAAAGACGGGGTTTCACCATGTTGGCCAGGATGGTCTCGATCTCTTGACTTCGTGATCTGCCCACCTCGGCCTCCCAAAGTGCTGAGATTACAGGTGTGAGCCACCACGCCCGGCCGAGGCCATTTTCTTCTACCTCCAATAGATACATTTAGAATCTGTCTCTTTTACTTCATTTCCCACAGCTAACAGTCCATTCCAGGCCACCATCACACCATCATCTTTTGCCTGAAGTGCATAAGCCTCCAACTTGGTCCCTAAACTTCTCTACCCAGTGAGCTCTACACAAACCAGACCATGCTCCCTCCCCATTAAGGCCCCTCACAGCTTCCCAGTGCATTCTGACAGTGCTCTCTGCACCTCTTCGCCCTGTCCCACAATGCATGAGCTCTCTTATTCTTTTTTTTATGAGACAGGGTCTCACTCTGTTGCCCAGCCCAGATTGTAGTGGTGCAATCATAGCTCACAACAGCCTTGACATCCTGGGCTCAAGCGATACCCCCATCTCAGCCTCCTGAGTAGCTGGGACTACAGGCATGCGCTACCACGCTTGGCTAATTTTTTGTATTGTTTGGAGAGAGGGGTTTCCCTGTGTTGCCCAGGCTGGTCTTAAACTCCTGGGCTCAAGTGATCCACCCACCTCAGGCTCCCAAAGTGCTGGGATTAGAAGTGTGATTCATGCCTGGCGTTTTGTTTTGTTTTGTTTTGTTTTTTTTGAGACAGGATCTCACTCTGTTACCCAGGCTGGAGTGCAGCACTATGATTATAGCTCACTGCAGCCTCCAACTCCTGGGCTCAAGTGATCCTCCTGTAGCTGTAGTCTCCCAAGTAGCTGGGACTACAGGCACATGCTACCATGCCCAGCTAATTTTTAATTTTTTTTTTATAGAGATAGGGGTGTGCCTGTGTTGCCTAGGCTGGTCTCAAAAAATTCCTGGGCTCAAGCAGTTCTCCCACCTCACCCTCCCAAAGTGCTGGGATTATAGGTGTGAACCACGGCACTGGGCCTGCCTTATTCTTCCTTAAATTTCTCAAGTAAGCCATCCTTTTTCCTACCTCAAAGTCTTGCATTTGCAGTTTCCTTGGCCTGGAATGCTGTTTCCTTCCTACTGGCTTCATTCTTCAAATCTCAACTTAAATGTCACCTCCACAGAGAACCTTATCTGATTAAAAGGAGTTGGATCCCCCACGACCACCACTATTCTCTATCCAATGTCTTTTCTTATTAGCATTTATCATAATATGCAATTATTCTGTTTGTTTTGTTGTTCCTCAAGTGTTTCTTCTATTAGAATGTAAGCTCCCTGAAGGCAAAAACCACATCTATCTTGTTCCTGTAGTTCCAATGCATAGAACACAAATTCTCCGATTCTGGTGGCTAATAGAGTAGGGACTCAGTAAACATTTTAAAAATAAAATAAATGTACTCAACTATACCAAAAGATTTATTAAGCAAAAAAGGTAAGATACAAAACAGTATGTAGTGTGGAATTCCATTTATATTTTGTAAAAATTTTGTGCAGACACACACACACACGTGCATGCACATTAAGGATACACAAAAAACTAGTAACTGTGGTTGCCCCTAGGATAGGGACTATGACTCAAGGGAGAGAAGATAGAAGTAATTTTAATTTTATAATCATTGTTCCTATTTGGATTTTTGTTTTACTACATGTCTATATTTCTTTTATAATAATAAAAATACCATCTAGTACTGTTATTTTAAAAAGGAAATATGGAATAGCAAAAAAAAAAAAAAAAAGGAAGAATCTTAGAATAACAGTCATTTAAATGGAACAAATTTGTCCTTATGAAAACCCCACAACATTGTCCTTTTTTTTTGCATTCCACTGAGGACCTGGGAAAGCTTCCTCCAGCCCTGATGCTGGCCTGCAGTATGGCACTTGACAGCTACTGGTATTGTGGATAGAAGCAAAGGCTCTGGACTCAGCAACACTTGGTTTGAATTCCAGTTCTACCACTTACTAGCTGTGGTGCTGCTGACAACTTAAACTCCATGAACCTCAGTTTTCTTCATCTGTAAGGTGGGATAACAGTACTTCTCTAATAGGGATATTGTGAGGATCAAATATGATGATCTAAAGCAGTTAGCACAATATCTTGCACATAGTAAGTGCTTAATAAGTGGCAGTTATTATTTCATACATTATAAGGTGATACCCCTGAACTTCCATTGTATCCAGATTCAGATTTCTGCATGTTAAAGGACACATCATATTGCAAGACGATAGGGTGGTACTGCCTATCAGCCAATTGTGTAGGCTCCAGATCCATCAGCACAGCAATGATTGGGAAAGTACTTGATTATTCCATGTTATCCTCATTTTATAAAATTTTGTCAGTGGAAAATGGAAGTACCAATAGTAGTGATAAGAAGTATGCATCTGTCAAGTAAGTGAAAATACAACCCACTGAATGGGAGAAAATGTTTGCAAATCATATATAAGGCAGTGGTCCACAACCTTTTTGGTACCAGGGACCGGTTTTGTGGAAGACAATTTTTCCACGGTTGGGGGTGGGGAGGGGGTTGGGGGTGAGTGGGGATGATTTCAGGATGAAACTGCTCCATCTCAGATCATCAGGCATTAGATTCTCACAAGGAGCACCCAACCTAGATCCCTCCCAAGTGCAGTTCCCAGTGGGGTTCACACTCCTGTGAAAATCTAATGCTGCCGAAGATTTGACTGGAGGCAGAGCTCAGGTGCTAATGCTCCCTTGCCTGCTGCTCACCTCCTGCTGTATGGCCCCATTCCCAACCAGTACCTCTCCATGCAGGTGTGGGGAGGCAATGCGGTGTGGGGAGGCAATGCGGTGTGGGGGTGTTGGGAACTGCTATGATAAGGAACTTGTATTCAGAATATATGCAGAACTCTTATTACTCAATAATAAAGAGACAAATAACCCAATTGAAAAGTGGGCTAAGGGTTTGAATAGACATTTCTCCAAAGAAGATAAACAAATGGCCAATAAGCCCATGCAAAGATGCTCAACATCCTAATCACCAGGGATATCAGAAGGGAAATGCAAATCAAACCTGCAATTAGGTATTACTTCACACCTACTAGGATGGCTGTAGCCAATAAGACAGACAATAACAAGTGTTGACAAGGATGTGGAGAAATTGAAACCTACATATATTGCTGGTAGGAATGCAAAATGGTAAAACACTTTGCAAAACAGTGTATCAATTCCTCAAAAAAAATTTTTTTTTTTTTGAGACGGAGTCTCTTGTCACTGAGGCTGGAATGCAGTGGCATGATATCAGCTCACTGCAACATCCACCTCGTGGGTTCAAGTGATTCTCCTGCCTCAGCCTCCCAAGTAGCTGGGATTACAGGCACCTGCCATCATGCCCGGCTAATTTTTGTATTTTTAGTACAGACGGGGTTTCACCATGTTGGCCAGGCTGATCTTGATCCTGACCTCAGGTGATCCACCCACCTCGGCCTCCTAAAGTGTTGGGATTACAGGCATGAGCCACCTCACCCAGCCCAATTCCTCAAAATTTTAAAATAGAGTTACTTTATTAATCAGCAATTTCACTCTTAGGTATCTGCCCAAGAGAAATGAAACAATTCATCCACACAAACACTTTTACATGAATGTTAACAGCAGCATTATTCACAATAGCCAAAAGGTGGAAACAGCTCAAATATCCATCAACTGATGAAAGGATAAACAAAATGTGGTATATTCACACAATGAAATATTAATGATACAAAGGAAGTGCTGACACATGCTGCAACATAGATGAACTTTGAAAATATGCTAAATGAAAGCAGTTACAAAAGACCACATAATGCATGATTTGATTTATGTAAATGTCCAGAAAGGGCAAATCCATAGATACACTATAGAAAATAGATTAGTCGTTGTCAGAGGCTAAAGAGAGTAGGGAGGATTGGGATGGGGAGTGACTTATGGGTACAGGGTTTCTTTTAGGGGGACAAAGATATTTTGGAATTAGTAGTGATGGTTGCACAACCTAGTAAATATACTAAAATATATGAAATTGTACATTTTCAATGGGTGAATTATGTAGTATACGTGATTTATATCTCAACAAAAAGGAGTTTAAAAAGAAGTATGTGTATCATTGACTCTTTCGATATAAACATAGAAATCATTAGACTTATCGAAAGGGATGAATCTTTAGCCTCCATGGGATGTTCTTAAGCCTATTGCTGTTTTTTGATTTGTGAAGGAAAATAATCAAATTGAAGGTACATTAGGAAGGACAGCAAACATATGATCAGCGATTGTGTCTAAAAATGCAGGTGTAATTGGACATGCTGTACCACTTTTTATTCCCAACATAAATTTGTTGTTTGACTTTTGTACTTTTGACATTAGTAATATTTTCTGAAATAAATTGTGTATGGAAGCAGGGGACTGTGTTTACTGTGTCATGGGGAAGGCAAATGATCTCTCAGCCCTCTTCACTTCCCATTTGTTTAATGCTGAACCATCAAGCAAACTTCCTCTAGGGAATAATTCAGCTGGTACCAGGAGACTGCACATAATTATTTGGGCCACTGGAAAATTCTAATGCCCATGAAAAAATAGCTTTTGGTTTATAGATCAGTCTTTTGTGAATTTGGGCAGGAAAAGTCAGCCCTGGAAAGTGGTTTTATTTTGACCATAACTAAATATGCAAAAAATAGTAGGATAAATAATGAGATTATTAATAAATCTCACAAAACTGTAATTCTAAGGTTTAGCTTTAGTTTGGTTGGTTCATCAACAGCTCAACAATTTTGGAGGTCCAAATCTGTTCTGGTAAGAGCTGGGGATAAAATGGTGGATGATATAGACACAGCCTTGCTTGCCCAAAGTCAAGTGGAAAAGTAACATAACATAAGAGTGAATAACATAATTATGCATTATTCATAGATTCCATTATTATACTCATTCACAGATTCCAGATTTACAATTTACCTACTCTCTAAAATGTATTTGTAATCTCAAAAATCAATGCTCTTGGCCGGGTGCAGTGGCTCACGCCTGTAATCCCAGCACTTTGGGAGGCCGAGGTGGGTGGATCACCTGAAGTCAGGAGTTCAAGACCAGCCTAACCAACATGGTGAAACCCACTCTCTACTAAAAGTACAAAAATTAGCTGGGCATGGTGGCGGGCAACTGTAATCCCAGCTACTCGGGAGGCTGAGGCAGGAGAATCACTTGAACCCGGGAGGTGGAGGCTGCAGTGAGCCGAGATCGCACCACTGCACTCCAGCCAGGGTGACAGAGCAAGATCCTGTCTCAAAAAAAAAAAAAAATCAATGCTCATTGCACTTAAAAAAAATTCGTATGTTTTGAGACTGGTCTTACTCTGTCACCCAGGCTAGTGTGCAATGGCACAATCATAGCTCACTGCAGTCTTGACCTCCTGGGCTCAGGCAATCCTCTTGCCTCAGCCTTCCTAGTAGCTGGGACTACAGGCATGTTCCACCATATCTGCCTTTTTTTTGTTTTTTGTAGAGATGGGGTCTTGCTATGTTGCTAATACTGGTCTTAAACTCCTGGACTTAAATGATCCTCCTACTTCAGCCTCCCAAAACACTGGGATTACAGGCATTAGCCGCCGCACCCTGCTATATGGCACTTTTGAGATTACTTGAGAATGTGCATATGCACAGAGTGGTGAAGAAAATTCGAGTTGTCCAGCAGGCGCTGTCACAGACTGAATGTCTGTGTCCCTTCCTGAATTCATTTGTTGACATCCAAACCCCCAAATGGGAGATAGGGCCTTTGGTACGTGATTAATTCATGAGGATGGAGCCCTAATGAATGGGATTAGTGCCCTTATAAAAAGACACTGCAGAGCTCCCTCTTCTTTTCCACTGTATGAGGACATAGTGAAAACATGGTAGTCTATGAACCAGGAAGTGGGCTCTTACTAGATACTGACTCTGCTGGCACCTTGATCTTGGACTTCCCAGCTTCCAGGACTGTGAGAAATAAATTTCTGTTGTCAACCAGGTTAAGTTATTTTGTTATACCAGCCTGTAGACACACACGTTCACAGCTAAGGTCGAACCAGAGGACATCTGCCTTCTTGTTTCAGCTCTCATACTGTAAACAAGTGTCCTTTGGTGGTTTATTGAGTGCCACATTTTTCATATTTTTAAGCTTTTTGTTGGTGATTTTGGTTTACATGGTGCCCAAGCATAGGGCTGAAGTGCTGTCTAGTGTTCCTGAGCACAAGAAGACTGTGATGTGCCTTACAGGGAAAATATATGTATTGGAGAACCTTTGCTTGAGGCATGAGTCATAGTGCTATTGGCTGTGAGTTCAATTTAATGAATCAATGATAAATATTAACTAAGGTCTCTCTAAACATAAATGCATATAAAACAAGATTATGTATTGATCACTTGATTAAAATGTTGTGATCAGAGGCTTGCAGGAACGTACCCCTGTACTTCCCCTAGGGACAATAGTTCAGTATTCACTAACTGTGTTCATGGTGACTTACAGAACATAACTACCATGAACCATGACAATCGACTGTAAGTCAGGATACATGCCATGCGAGGAGCTACAGAGGTGCTGGAATGATTAAGAATGATGATGGGGGGATGTCTATTCTTAATAGGGTGGTCAAGGAAGCCTCTTGGGGGAGGTGACAGTAAAGCTGAAACCTAAAGGATGAAGCTGCAGAGCAGGGGGGAAGAGTATTCCAAGCTGAGGGAACAGGGTCCGAAGGTGAGAGAGCTTTGGACTCTGTGGGGAACTGGGGTCCTGCCAGGAGGTGATGGAAAAGTAGGCAGGGATCAGTCCCAACAGGCCTTTTGGGCCAGGCTAGGGAGTTTGGGTTTATTGTAAAGGCCTGGAGTAAAGTTACCTGTAGGCAGTGGTAATCAAGTTATTCTCTTTTAATTTGTGTGGGAACTCAAATCTGTTCTCATCACTAGGCCATAGAAGTTGCAGATCATCCCTTATGCACCTGGTATTTGCAGGGCCTAGGACAGAGCTGGGACCAATCACTGTGGGTACAAAATGCGAAACACCATGAGCCCAGGGTACCTATTTCAATCCGTGTTTGTTGATTAAATGACCAAGCCCTGGGATTCTGTGGCTGCAGCTGTGAAGAAATCATAGCAGAGATTTTTTCCCCAGATCCCAGAGAAACGCAGAATTCAGGCCTCTGCTTCCCAGGCTGACTGACAGGCCAGTGGTGTGGTGTGGGGGCTTAGCTCTGGGCTCTCATAAAGGCAGACCTGCCATCCTCTTCCTCCTACCCTCAGGCGGAAGCTGGCAGGAGATCAGACGATACTTGGATTCCAAGGAGTTCATGAACAAAGGCTGTAAAGTTGCTAAGAAACTGCCTTTCTGGGGGTTCACCATTTTTTTTTTTTGTTCCCGTGGTGTTGTGTGTGAGTGAGTGTGAGTGTGAGCACACCCAGGGCTGTCACTCTGCCAGGCCTGAGTGAAGTCACACTCGAAGGGAAGAACTGCAGGCTGCCGTGCAGGTGCAGCACCACCATGGACCCCAGGTGTCCCTAAGCTGGGCAGACCAGGCTTTGAGGATAACAAAAGTGGAACCAGCTGCCCGAGGCCAGAGGTTGGCAGAGCTGTGTGCAGCTGCAGCAGGGAAGCCTTGGATGTTGAGTGTTGGACCCACTTACAGCAAAAACCAAGAAGCCCTGGGTTGGGAGATACCAATAACAGAACTGGGAGGGAGTCCCACCCCTACCTCCCAGCTGAGCTTGGAAAGTAAATTCTTAACAAAACCAGGTCATTGCAAAATACAAGATGCAAGATTTATAGAACTCTAAGAGTCCAGGCTGACCATTATCTAACTTGCCTCCTTCTCCTTATTCTCATGTGGAGAATCCAAAGCCTAGGGAGGGGAAGGAACTCTCTTAATGGGATGTAGCATATATCAAGTGCAGGAACCCGGCCTATCAGAAGGGCTGTGGGCTGTGAGTGGAGGGAAAAAAGGCCTGGTGTGTACCTGAAAATATAGTACTCATCCATTTGTCCACTCATCAAGTACTTATTGAGCTTCTACTAAGTTCCAGGATCCCCTAAGCCCCAGTTCCAACCAAACAGAGAAAAGTAGAGCCCAAAACTTTGAGCAAATTGCTGGCTTCTCTGACTGTTTCCCAATAAGTGTGCCACTGCCAACCACCACCACCACCACCACCACCACAACAACAACAACAAAGCTCACACTCTGTGTCTAGCTCAGCATCTTAGATACATTGGATTCTACTCTCGCTTGCAGGCTTGGAAGGAGAAGGAGCTAAAATGGGTGAGAAATGTAATACCTACTCCCATTCTTCCACCAGCTCAAGGAAAGGATCTTGCCCCTAAGTGGTCAGTGTCTTTGAGGAGGCACCAGAGGTCCACTTGCCCTGGCTTGTTTCTCACTGTGTTTGCCCTGGGTGCCCATTATGTGCTAAGCAGTGGAGTAAGTCACTTCCTGGCTCCAGACATCAGTCAAGGGCATATCTGATAATCTCACTGTGCCCAGTTTTAAACCCTTTAATGGTTTCTATTACTCTTAAAATAAAGATCAGAGTCTCCTTAATGTGCCCCACAAGGGCCTATGGTGCTGGCTTTTGCCTACCCTCTCCCTGTTCTCCTCTTTCCTTCCTGTTCTCTGCTCCAGCCTGCCTGCCTTTCATGCCCGCCATACTCCCTCCATGGGGTCTTTGCACATGTTGGCCCCTGCACCTGGAATACTCTCCCCCTTTTGTTTCTTTTTTTCTTTTTTTCTAATAAAAGAATTTAATCTTTTTCAGGAAATGATTAAGCATTTTGGAAGTAAATATAGGTGAAAGTCTATCTTATTCATTGGTGGAAAAATATTTTTTAAACAAAACAAAGTTACAAAAGAAAATATCAATACATTTGGCCACATAAAATTTGTCCAAATAAACTTAAAAAATGCAAATATAGGACAGAGCTTTAACATCGACATATAATAAAACATTCTTGTGTATTGACCATAAAGGAACTAAAACTTTTAAAAATATATATTAAAAGATATAGGCCAGACCCACGCCTGTAATCCCAGCACTTTGGGAGGCTGAGTTGGGCAGATCACTTGAGGTCAGACCAGCCTGGCCAAAATGGTGGAACCTTGTCTCTACTAAAAATACAAAAATTAGCCAGGTGTGGTGGCACATGCCTATAATCCCAGCTACTCAGGAGGCTGAGGCACGAGAATCGCTTGAACCCAGGAGGCGGAGGTTGCAGTGAGCCAAGATTGTGTCACTGCACTCCAGCCTGGGTGACAGAGCGAGACTCTGTCTCCACCCCCACAAAAATAAAATTCACATACCATAAAGTTCACCATTTTAAAGCGTACAATTCAGTGGTTTTTAGTATATTTACAAAGTTGTGCAACCATCACCACTTCTTTTTTAATTAATTTATTTGTCTAAATTTATGGAGTGCAAGTGTCATTTTGTTACAAACATAGATAGATTACATAGTGGTAAAGTCAGGTCTTTTAGTGTATCCATCACTGGAGTAATATACATTTTGCCCATTAGGTAATTTCTCATCCTTCACCCCCTCCCAACTCCCACCCAATGGAGACCTTCTGAGTTTTCATCGACTATTACTTCACACATATTAATGTGTAATAATGTACATATTATTTAGCTCCCACTTATAAGTGAGAACATGCAACATTTGTCTTTCTCTGTCTGATTCGTTTATTTTGAGTTAATGGCCTCTAGCTCCATCCATGTTGTTGCAAAATACATTATTTCATTCCTTTTCATGGCTGAATAGTATTCCATTGTGTGTGTGGGTGCATGTGTGCATGTATATATATACACATATACACACACAATGGAATACTAGTATATGTGTGTGTGTATATATACACACACATGTATACGCACATACATGTATATATATATGTATATACAAACACACACAGGGTAGATACTGTTTTACATAAAGGTTATGCTAATTAACATTCCCACCAACAGTGTATAAGAATTTCCTTTTCTCCATATCCTAGCCAACATCTGTTATTTTTTTGTCTTTTCAGTAACAGCCATTCCGATTGGTGTAAGATGATATTTCACTGTGGTTTTAATTTGCATTTCTGTGATGATTGGTGATGTTGAACTTTCTTCATATTCTTGTTGGCCATTTGCTTTTCTTTTTTTGAAAAATGACTATTCATATCCTTAGCCCACTTTTTGATGAGATTGTCTGTTTGGTTGTTGAGTAGTTTGAGTTCCTTGAAAATTCTGGATATTAGTCCCCTGTTGGGTGTATAGTTTGCAAATATTTTCTCCCATTCTGCAGGTTGTCTGTTCACTCTTTTGCTATGCAGAGGTTTTTTTCTGTTTTTTTTTTTTTTTTTTTTGAGATGGAGTCTCGCTCTGTTGTCCAGCCTGGAGTGTAGTGGCGTGATTTTGGCTCACTGCAACCTCTGCCCCTCGGGTTCAAGCGATTCTCCTTCCTCAGCCTCCCGAGTAGCTGGGATTACATGCGCCTGCCACCACACCCGGCTAATTTTTGTATTTTTAGTAGAGATGGGGTTTCACCATCTTGGCCAGGCTGGTCTTGAACTCCTGACCTCGTGATCCACCCGCCTTGGCCTCCCAAAGTGCTGAGATTACAGGCATGAGCCACTGCGCCTGGCCTGCTATGCAGAACTTTTAAAAGTCCCATTTGTCTATTTTTGTTTTTGTTGCCTGTGCTTTTGAGGTCTTAGTCATGAATTCTTTGCCTAGATCAATGTCTAGAAGAGTTTCCCCTAGTTTTTCTTGTAGTATTTTTATAGTTTCATGTACTACATTCAAGTCTTTAATCTATTTTGAATTGATTTTTACATGGTGAGAGATAAGGGTCCAGTTTCATTCTTCCGCATATGGCAATCCAATTTTCTCAGCACCATTTGTTGAAAAGGGTGTCCGTTCTGCAGTGTATATTTTTGTTGACTTTGTCAAAGATCAGTTGGCTGTAGATATGTGTGTTCAAATCTTTGCTTGGCTTATTCATCTTTTGATTGTTGTATTGCCAGAGATCCCTTTATATATTTTGGATACCAGACGCTTGTCAAATATAATCTGAAAATATTTTCTCATTCTGTGAGTTTTTTTCTGTTTTCTTTTTATTTCTTTTCTTTTCCTTCTTTTTTCTTTTTTTTTTTCAAGGCAGAGCCTCGCTCTGTCACCCAGGCTGGAGTGAGATGGCATGATCTTGGCTCACGGCAACCTCCGCCTCTTGGGTTCAAGTGATGCTCCTGCCTCAGCCTCCCAAGTAGCTGGGATTACAGGTGTGCACCACCACTCCTGACTAATTTTTGTATTTTTAGTAGAGACGGGGTTTCACCATGTTGGTCAGGATGTTCTTGAACTCCTGACTTGAAGTGATCTGCCCACCTCAGACTCCCAAAGTGCTGGGATTATAGGTGGGAGCCACCGCACCTGGCCTCTTTTCACTTTCTTAATAGTGTACATTGAGGCACAATAGTTTTTAATTTGATTTTAATTTAATTTTAAAATTTAATTTGAAATTTAATAATTAATTTTAAAACTTAATTTAAAATTTACTAATTAATTTTAAGGCTAGGTGCAGTGGCTCATGGCTGTAATCCCAGCACTTTGGGAGGCTGAGGTGGGCAGATCATGAGGTCAGGGGATCAAGACCATCCTGGCTAACATGGTGAAGCCCCATCTCTACTAAAAACACAAAAACTAACCGGGTGTTGTGGCACACACCTGTAGTCCCAGCTACTCGGGAGGCTGAGGCAGGGGAATTGCTTGAACCCGGGAGGTGGAGGCTGCAGTGAGCTGAGACCATGCCACTGCACTCCAGCCTGGGCGACAGAGCGAGACTCCGTCTCAAAAAAACAAAACAAAACAAAACAAAACAAAACAAAACAAAAAAACCCAACTTAATTTAAAATTTAATAAGTAATTTTAAAATTTAATTTTAAATCAATGAAGTCCAATTTATTTATTCTTTAGTTGATTGTGTTTTTAATATATTTTAGGAAACGATTGTCCAATTTAAGGTCACAAAGATTAACATTTATTCTTTATTCTATAAATTTTTTAGTTTTCACTCTTACATTTAAGTCTTTTATCCATTTTAAGGTAATTTTTGTATGTAGTGTGAGGTAAAGGTACAAATCCATTCTTTTGTATGTGGATATACAATTGTCCTAGTGCCATTTTTTTTTTTTTTGAGATGGAGTCTCACTCTGTTGCCCAGACTGGAGTGCAGTGGCATGATCTTGGCTCACCGCAACCTCCACCTCCCAGGTCCAAGTGATTCTCCTGCCTCAGCATCCCAAGTAGCTGGGAGTACAGGTGCCCGCCACCATGCCTGGCTAATTTTTGTATTTTTAGTAGAGATGGGGTTTCACCATGTTAGCCAGACTGGTCTCCAACTCCTGACCTCAGGTGAGCTGCCTGCCTCGGCCTCCCAAAGTGCTGGATTACTTACAGGTGTGAGCCACAGCACCTGGTCTTCCCTAGTGCCATTTTTCGAAAAGACTGTTCTCTCTCCGTTGGATGATTTTGATTCCGTTGTCAAAAAGCAATAGACTGTAAATGTATGAGTTCTGGACTCTCAGTTCTGTTCCATTGATCTATATGTCTATCCTTATGTGTGTCTGCATTACTGTATCTTTGTAGAAAATTTAGGAATTGAAACGTGTAAGTCCTCCAGCTTTGTTATTCTTTTTGAAGATTTTTGTGACTGTTCTGGATCATTTACATTTCCATATAAATTCTAGGATTAACTTGTCCATTTCTACAAAAAAGGCATTGAAGTGGTTTTTTTTTTTTTGAGATGGAGTTTTGTTCTGGTTCCCAGGATGGAGTGCAGTGGTACGATCTCAGCTCACTGCAACCTCTGCCTCCTGGGTTCAAGTGATTCTCCTGCCTCAGCCTCCCCAGTAGCTGGGATTACAGGCATGCGCTGCCGCGCCCAGCTGATTTTTGTATTTTTAGTAGAGGTGGGGTTTCACCATGTTGCCCAGGCTGGTCTTGAACTCCTGACCTCAGGTGAGCCACCCGTCTTGGGCTCCCAAAGTGTTGGAATTACAGGCGTGAGCCCCTGCGCCCAGCTACCACTGAAAATTTTGATGAAGACTGCATTGAATCTGTAGATCAGCTTGGCAAGTACTGTGATCTTAATATTGTTTTCTGATTCATGAGCAGGGAATGTCACTTTCTTAGGTCTTCTTTAATATCCTTCAACAATGTTTTGTAGTCGTCAGTCTTGCACTTATTTGGCTAAATTTATTTCTAAGTATTTTATTCTCCCCTATTGCTGTTATAAATGAATTTTCCTTTTTGTTTTGTTTTTTTTTGAGACAGGGTTTCACTTTGTCACCCAGGCTGGAGTGCAGTGGTGTGATCTTGACACACTGCAGCCTCAAACTCCTGGGCTCAAGGTATCCTCCCACTTCATCCTCCCTAGTAGCTGAGACTACAGATGTGCACCATCATACCTGGCTAAGTTTTAATTTTTTTTTGTAGAGACAGGGTCTCACGATGTTGTCCATGCTCGTTTTGAACTGGGCTCAAGTGATCTACCTGCCTTAGCCTCCTAATGTGCTGGGATTACAGGCGTGAGCCACCGTGCCCAGTCATAAATGGATTTTCTTAATTTAATTTTTGTTTATTGTCAGTGTGTAGAAATACAACTTGCTTTTTCTTGGTCAGTCTAGCTGAAAGTTTGCTCATTTTTGTAGACAACCCTTTTCAAGGAACCAACTCTCGGTTTCATTGATTTTTTTTCTATTTGTCTAATCTCTTTAATTGATTTCTGCTCTAATCTTTATCATTGCCTTCTGTTTGCTTTGGGTTTCATTTGCTCTTCTTTTTCTAGTTTCTTAAGGTGGAAGATTGGATTATTAACTTAAGTTTTTCTTCTTTTTAAGTGTAGGCATTTATAGCCATAAATTTCCCTCTGAGCACTGATTTTTCTACATCCCATAAATTTTGATATGTCATGTTTTTATTTTCGTTTGTCTCAAATAATTTTCTAATTTTCCTGGAAATTCTTTTTTGACCCATTGGTCATTAAGAGTGTTTGTTTAATTTCCATATATTTTGAATTTCCCTAAATTTTCCATTACTGATTTCTAATTATATTCTGTTGTAGCTGAAGAACCTATTTTATGTTATTTCAGTCTTTTACAATTTATTGAGTCTTGTTTTCTTACCTGACATATAATCTATTCTGGAGAATGTTTGATGTGCACTTGAACTCTGTTGTTGCTCTGTTCCTTTCCTCCTTTTTTTGTTGTTATGGTATTGTGCTGTTGATGGGTGGAGTGTTCTATAGATGTTAGTTCTAGTTGGTTTACAGTATTGTTTAAGTTTTATATTTCCTTATTGATCTCATGTCTACTTGTTCCATTCATTATTAAAAGTGGGGTACTGTAGTCTGCAGCTATTCTTGTCAAAGAATTATTTCTTCTTTCAATTCTGTCAGTTTTTGCTTCATGTGTTTTGGGGCTCTGTTATTAGGTGCACATATATTTTTAGTTGTTACATCTTCTATCTTCTTCTTGACCTTTTATCATTATAAAATGTCCTTCTTTACCTCTAGCAAAAATTTTTGTCTTAAAGTCTGTTCTGCCTGCCATTATAACCACTGCAGCTCTTTGTTGGTTACTGTTTGTGTGGAATATCTTTTTCCACACGATCTTTTAAATCTTTTACATTTTCAATTTATTTGTGTCTTTGTATCTAAAGTGTGTCTCTTGTAGACAGCTTATAGTTGGGCCATGTTTGAATGCATTCTGTCAATCTATGCCTTTTTATAAGGAGAGTTGAATCTATTTACATTTAATGTAATTACCAATAAGGAACGACTTAACTTCTGCCATTTTGCTATTTGTTTTTTATGTCTTATATCTTTTTTGTTCAATTCCTCCATTACTACTTTCTTTTGTGTTATTTTCTAGTGTACCATTTTGATTCCCTTCTCTTTTTAAAAACTATGTATTTTTGAGTTATTTTCTTAGTTGTTGCCTTGGGGGTTAAAATTAACATCTTAATTAAAAAATTCTGATTCAGGTTATAGTATATGGCAACTTTGCTCTTATATAGCTCTGTCCCTTTCTTCCTCCCCTTTCTCGTTAGTTATTGACATATAAATTACATCCTTACACATTGTGTGCCCATCAATAGATTTATGATTATTTAATTATGCAGTTTGCTTTTAAATCAGCTAGGAGAAAAAATAAGTTTTAAAAAAAACCCTATCTATACTGTCTTCTATATTTACCTATATAGTTATTTTGACCAGTGCTTTTTATTTCTTTATGTGAATTTGAATTACTGGGTTTACCCAATGGGAGGCAGTGAGTGGCAGATGACTGGAAGGTAGAAAAGGAGGAAGGACAGGATATGTATTCCTCCCATCTCCTCTTGTTTTGGCAGTAGCTGCAATTTACTACCTGCAGCTGCAGATCCCATTGGGAAGCCCCTGTTCCTGGCTACAGCCTTCTCTGCATTATAGTAACACTACTGCTTCTTGCCTTTTCAGGCTTACAAGTAGTAACAGCTTCCCATTTCTGCTAGTCCTTAGGTGCTTCACCATCCTTTGTTGTTTCCTTAATCCCACCCATACTTCTGCAATAGTTCCTTCATTAAATTCTCTTCTGTTACTCCAGGAGTGGGCTATATCATGACAAGATCTTAGCCGACTCAGCATGCTCCATGACCTTCTTGCTAAGGTCAAGTTCTTATACTCTCACGTGTACTTCTCCTTTGCAGAGCTTACCACAGTCCCTAACTATACATTTATTTTAATGATCATTTGTTTAATGTCTATTTTTCTAACTAGATCATAAGTGCCTTGCACAGTCTTTTAATTTCTAGCACAGTGCCTGGTATATAGTAGGCATTTGATGCATTTTTACTGAATGATAGCTAATATTTTTCTCTTATCTGTTTCATGGAATTCTTCTGAGAGTCTGGGGGGTACAACAGGTATAAAAGGCTTTAAAAATTGAATCTCTCCCCATGTCTACAAAGCTGTAAGGTGTTATTGTGTGAGGATAACATGAGCATGGGCATACTGAAAACCTGGATGGACTGTGTCAGTCACCACCATGTCATCTTGGGTCAGAATTTCCCCTTTGTGTTATTCAGCCTTTGTCAAGCCATGGTCCATAGCACCCTCTGGTGGTCCCTGAGTGACAGCATGAGGGGGCAGCTTCCAGCTTCTGTTCATTGTCACCCGTAGCCCCCAACCAAGACTCAATCATAGGACCACAGGTGGAGCTGGAAGCATCATCCAAAAACTTGTCATTTTACTGTGGAAAACAGGCCTAGTTGGAAGCAGCATTTGCACAAGATCTCACTGAGTTTTTTTGTAGAGCTGGGCCAGACAGTGCTCTTCCTACCATATCTAATACCTGATAGCATGAAAATGTTTTGGTAAGCAAGTACTCATGCCTGTTGGGTAAGCATCAGAAATGAGTTACAGCTGGGTGTGGTGGCTCATGCCTGTAATTTCAGCACTTTGGGAGGCTGAGGCAGGAGGACTGTTTGAGGCCAGGAGGTCAAGAACAATCTGGGTAACATAGCAAGACTCCATCTCTACAAAAAATAAAAAAAATTAGATGGGCATGGTGGTGTGTGTCTGTGGTACCAGCTACTAGGGAGGCTGAAGTGGGAGGATCACTTGAGCCCACAAGTTGAAGGCTGCAGTAAACTATGAGTGCCACTGCACTCCAGCCTGGGTGACAGAGGGAGACCCCATCAAAAAAAAAAGTTATGCTTATTTCATATTGTCACTGCCCTCCTGAGATCCTCCGCTCCTGGGTGTGACCCTTTGTGGGCTGCCCCACGTAACTCTTCAAGCTAACCTCCTTCTGCTCCTCCAACACAGAAACTTCTACTTACCTCAGGGCCTTTGCACTAGCTGTTCCCTCTGCCTGGAACTCTGTTCCGGGAAATCATCTTGGTTCACCCTCCTTCATGTCTTTCAGCTCTCACCATTCTAGCTAACGTTGACCCCCACTCCAGTCTCTAATATATCATTGCTTTATACCCTTCATAGCCCTATTTGCATCTGAAATCATCTTAGTTGTTTTAGGTCTGCCTTTCACTCTAGAATGATGGCTGTTGGGAGTTTTTAGTACCCAGCAGAATGCCTGAGTCCGAAGTAGGTGGTCTACGTGAAGAATGATGAAAAGAAGAATGACACATGAGAAGGAAGAAGGCAGAGACCACTTTAGAGAAAGTCTGGAGGTTTACTCAACAACGTTCACAATCACAATTGTACATGGTAAATCAGTCTTTCACAAAGGCTTATTTTTCCAGGCAGGAGGAGAGGCTGGTGGTCTTGAGCTTTTGGCCTGGAATTCCAGTCTGAATTTTCAAATATTCCCTGCCTCCAACCCCTTTGGGATCCTAGTCTTCAAGCCAATAACAGAGCAGGAGTCTGACCCTGTTCTGTTGCCTGGCACGGCTGAATCAAAGCCATTCTGGAAGCAGATGTTAAGGTGAACTTGTCACTTGGTATGTAGGTCCGACTCCCATCCCAGAGGTGGCAGTGGGCCTTGGCTCAAGATCAAGTTTGAACTAAAATATTACTTGGATTTTTCACAAAGAGTGTCCGTTGAAAGCAATAAGGAATTCCAGAACAGAACTGCACTTCTTGTCCCTCTCTCACACTTACAAAGCTTCAGAAAACATTAAAAATGCATTACCTCCTAGGAATTACAAAAGATCACCCAACTGTACAAACTAGATATCGCTGAAGCAGAGACTCTGATTCCTCAGTTACTACTGTAAAGTGCTTTGCCACTCTTTTTGAGACTCCAGAGACTAGGAAAATGGAGATGCACAGAGAGACATAAGGAGCTGTTTTCCAAGACATCACCTGTTTCTTAAGGAAAAAAAGAAATTCAACTGGTGGGAAGTTTGAAAAGTGAATGTCATGTAGACTTTGGAAATCCATTTGTTACATCTTTAACAGAAACTGCTCTTTCTCTCCTGGACCGAATGTCACATCCTCTCGTCCGATTCCTCCTGTGGATGTACCCCGTTCTGCCTGAGCATTTTTTCCTAAAGGGAAGAATCAATAGTTTCTGACTGTTTTAACAGCTGAAAGCTCCAACTGGAGGCAGAAGATGGGATGGCTTTTCACACACGTGCGTGCAAGTTTAGCCACCTCCAAAGGCCTTGTTCTTAAAGCAACAGTGCTGTTTGCATTATGAAATGTCTCTGGAGTTCCCCTTTGGAAAGGCTGCTGGTGGGCCACATGGTCACGATACTTTCAAGTCACACCCTACTTTGTGACCTTATCCTCAGAGTAAAGGCTTTAGAGGAAAAGGGACCCCACAGTCTCACCCATTACCTGGCTGTCAGCATCTCCATATGCTCCTGGCTGAGTTTTATTGAGCATCAGCTGGGGATGTGAGCAGAAACCTGAATCCTTGAGACAGGTGGTTTTCAAAAAGGAAGCCATAACAATGAGTGGCTTAGTACTGGCAATTGATCAGTTGGTCCATGAAATGGAGCCAGTCAAGTTCTGTCCTTCCTTCCCCTCCCACATACTTTGTCAAGTCCCAGGACCTACTGATATGGGCTCAGCAATGACAAATGCCAGAGTGCTCAGAGGACACACCCATCCCTTTTCAGGGTGTGAACCCAGACTGGAAAGGAGAACCAAAGGATGGGAAAGGCAGGCCCGGGACGGCTTGCTGCTGCTCCTGCTTTCACAGGAATCCTGGTCATGCCAGGAACACTGCCGCCCACTTGGGGTGGGACTATGTGGAAGTCTAGCTAGTGCTCGGCACCCCTTAACCCAATGGTGAGAAACAGGACAAACATGCTGGGGGTTCAGAGGGTGGACCGCAGGGATGGCCCCCAAACAGGTCCCAGTGAGGTAATGCAAGGCCTCCTCTCGGGGGCTGATGAGGTCTTCTAGGCCACAGACTAAACGCACTGCCCAGCCTTTAGTTTGGAGTGTGACTTGCACTGACTGAAATAAATCTGACCTGTCACCCTTGGGGGACATCTCAGTCTCAGATCTTGCTCCAGACCCAACATCTCCTGCTTGAAATGAGACATTAAGAAACACACACTCATCCAGTAGGAACTGCACACACCACCAAAAACGTTCCCCTCCCCACAACCCTGCCCCTTTATGTTTGTCTAGCAAGGCACTAGGAAATGGTTCAAGTTTAGGGATTTGCTCTATATTTGCATTTTTCTTTTTAAAAGGCACAGTTTTTATTTTAACGACGCTGCATTGCTCTTTGATGATGAATCTCAATTCGACTCCTCAAACTGTCAACACTCTTGTTATCCTAGATTCTAGAAGGGGCCTCATCTTTTGACTTCTTTCTATAGAGGGCCACTTCTAAAGCTACAGCACTCATTTGGAAAAGGACACTGGGATCAACACGTAAGCGTTGCAAGCACAGGGGCCGCCTCTCTTGCAGACAGGTGGCCAAAGCAGGGCTTGTGCTGGGCCAGAAGTGGAAGTAATTCCTCGCCAGCTACACATTCAGTCTGACTGGTGGATGATTGGGAGTGTTTGTCCCTCCCTCCCCCAATAATTGATGGCCTTGAGATCTGCCAGCATCTCAAAGGCAGATTCGTGGCTCTGTTCCCAGACTTAGGTCTCAGTTATTTAATTGGTAAATGACACAATCAAGAGACTCAACACTAATTGGAATGCTGATTTCAAGTATTTCCTGGGCTAGCTGGTGGAAGCCATAGATTGTGGAATGTGATTTCCATTTCTGAATCAGTGGGTGGCAGGTTGGTTACAGAAATGCTTCCTATTAGTCTGGAGGCCCTCTAGGAGTCTGACATGTAATTAACAAAGCAAAAGGTAAACATGAAGGGCTGGCATGGAGCTGGGTGTATATCTGGCTGTGGGACGTCGGGTTCTTTTCTCCACTGCAAATGAGACTACAGTTGTGATGATGGTGGGAGGTTCCAGGGGTGCAGGTCTTCACCAAGGACCATGTTGTACCACAGCCTCTGCTGAGCTGAGGGACACATGTCCCCCTGCTTTCCCAACACCACCAACTTTGGATTTCACAGATTGTCTCTAGGCTGGGGGCTGCCTTGACTGTATTACACCTGGCTGGCTCCTTTAATCACAGCATTCTAGAAATCCATATTGGATGTGGAATACCAGAATCCTATGTAGCATCCTAGTTTGCAATCCAATTATAGAGTTCTTTAAAAATTCTGGAGTTCTGTATGAGAACTAGAACCATGATGAGGTCAGAGGCAGGCACTTTGCCCACAGTTGATCCTGGAGGCCTCCAGACTCTGTGAGGTGAGCACCTCGCAGCACCTCTGTTCCTCTTTTGAGGCCAGTAATTGCCTGGGGAAGAGAGACAGGGAAATGGAAGCATGGATCAGGGCAAATCAGCCAGCATTTCTAGTTTGGAGGTCTACCTGGCCTTTTCCGTGGGCTCAGGGCCATCTGAAACACTGCCCTGTAAAGCTGGTGCTGGGCTGTCCTTGTGCCTGGAGAGTGCTAAAATTGACATTTCAAATACCCAGAGAGCAGGGGGAGATATCCCGCATGTCCATAGCTGCAAAGAAATGTCTAGGGGGGCTCCCTCTTCTGACTCCTCACCTGGCAGCTGATCAGCATTCAATACTGAACACTCTTAGGGCCCCAAGTATGGCCTTTGACCGGACCAAATCACCTGGGGTTGTGACAGAGAACAGAAGCTGTGCAGTAACTGCAATGTTCCCCCCAGGACGGCAGAAACTAAAAAGCCCCAAGAGGACTTCTTTCTCTTCTGCTGCAGATGAGTGGCATCGATACTAAAAGCTGCCCCAAACAGGCAAATTTTACCTTTGTTTCTAAAGCACCATCATGTAGGAGAGCCATCTGAGGGCTGGGCAACCTCGCAGGACTCACTTTTGGGTGGCCTAGGCTACCTTGGTGTTCTCCCACATAATGTTCAAGGGGACATAGTGACAAAGTTGAAAAGGCTCTGTTGCTTTTCCGTGATGTCAGCAGGGATTAAAGCAGTCTCTGCTCCCTGTGGGGCCTCTTGTGGGATATGCTCTTCACCCTACCCCCACAACTCAGGGGCTCAAGGACCAGGCAGACCCCAGCCCCTGAATCAAGAGCCCTCTTCACCCTGAACCATTTGGCCAGCACCTTTTACACCTAGTGCCCACAGGGGCCCTGCCTCCCTTGAAAGAGGAAGTCTGCAGTGAGTGCCAGACCCTGGGGGGCCTGCCAAGGGGACATGAGGGCTCAGTTCCTATTGAATTTTTCCAAGACTGTTGAGTTGGTGTGTTCAAACAGCCACTGCTGGGTGAGAGAGGATGGGTTGCAGGTGTTCATGAAGATCCTATGGTCACTTTCACTGCAGTCCATGCAGCTGCCACTGACAGGGTGGTACAGGGTCTTGTCCTACAAAACATGGAGGTAATAAGCCAGACAGCACTGGAGACATGTGGCCAGTCAAACCACAGCAACAATACCAGCAATGAGAAAGTGAGGAAGTGACTGACTGACTAGCTGTTCATACACCTGTTGGTTTTCCTCCTGAGCTCACAAGCCGGATGCTGCCCAGCCTCCCTTGCAGCTGGTATTGCCGTGGGACTGGGTTCTGCCCGCTGGGATGTGGCCAGAAGTGATGCACGCAGCTTCCAGGCCTGGGACCTAGACACTGCCCACCTCCTGTCAGACCTCACTGGTCCTTATCGTGTGTGTGTGTGTGTGTGTGTGTGTGTGTGTGTGTGTATGTGCTTTCCTTTTATCTTTTATTTTTTTAATTTTTTTAATTTTTTTGAGACAGGTTCTCACTCTGTCACCCAGGCTGGAGTGTAGTGGCACAATCTTGGCTCACTGCAACCTCTGCCTCTCAGGTTCAAGTGCTTCTCCTGCCTCGGCCTCCCGAGTAGCTGGGAGTACAGGCATGAGCCACCATGTCTGGCTGATTTTTGTATAGAGACGGGGTTTCACCATGTTGGCCAGGCTAGTCTCGAACTCCTGACCTCAGGTGATCCACCCACCTCAGCCTCCCAAAGTGCTGGGATTACAGGCATGAGCCACTGTGCCCGGCTGCACTTTTCTTTTTAAATGGAATCAGTTGCCAACATTTAAGACTTGAGGATTTCACAGTGAAGTCTAGATTTCTGACTACTCTTGAATGACTACAAAATCCGGCATGGTAGGTTTGTGGCACAAATGAATAAGTGGATGGGCTCTGTTGAAAGAAGGGGTGAAGCACTGTATTGCCTTAAAAAAAAATTAAGCAGGTGCCCTGCTCCCCCCGCATCCCATCTTACTTTGCGGTATTTCCACAGCTGGTTGCCCTTCATGCTGTGGCAGTCGTACAGCGTGACAGGGCTGGTGTGGGAAATGGCATCAAAGCAGAACTTCTTGGTGTGCTGGGGGTCTCCAGGCCGGATGTCCTCTCTCCAGGTGAAGGTGAATACCTGTGCACAGGGGCATCATAAATAGGGATAGCAAAGCCAAGGACTTTCTTTTTTTCTCCATTTTTTTTAAATTATGGAAAAATTTAAACTCAGAGGTCCAAATAATAATATATTAACCTGTTCTAACCACCTAGCTTTAAAAGTTACTAACTTGGCCAGGTGCGGTGGCTCACCCAGCAGTTTGGGAGGCCAAGGTGGGTGGATCACTTTGAGGCCAGGAGCTTGAGAACAGGCTGGCTAACGTGGTGAAACCCCGTCTCTACTAAAAATACAAAGATTAGCTGGGTGTGGTGGCGTATGCCTGTAATTCCACCTACTCGGGAGGCTGAGGCAATGAGAATCACTTGAGCCCAGGAGGCAGACGTTGCAGTGAGCCGAGACTGCACCACTGCCCTCCAGCATGGGGGACAGAGTGAGACTCTGTCTCAAAAAAAAAAATAAGTTACCAACTCAAGGCCAACGTTGTTGCAGCTCTACTTCCACCCCTATCCTTACCCTCACAGTATTTTGAAGCAAATCTCAGCTATCATATCATGTCAGGTATAAACACTTCAGTAAGTGCCATTATAACATCTAAAAGTAGTTACTACAAGGTCCAAAATGTCATCAAATATCCACAGTTCAAGTGTTCTTGGGATTCTTTTTTTTGTTTGTTTTTTGAGACGGAGCTTCACTCTTGTTGTCCATGCTGGAGTGCAATGGTGCAATCTTGGCTCACTGCAACCTCCACCTCCTGGGTTCAACCAATTCTCCTGCCTCAGCTTCCCAAGTAGCTGGGATTACAGGTGTGTGCCACCACGCCTGGCTAATTTTGTAGTTTTAGTAGAGAAGGGGTTTCACCACGTTGGTCAGGCTGGTCTTGGACTCCTAACCTCAGGTGATCTGCCAACCTTGGCCTCCCAAACTGCTGGGATTACAGGCGTGAGCCACCGTGCCTGCTCAGGATTCTTATCAATTTCTTTTCACAGTTAGTCTGAGTCAAGATCCATTTGGTTGATAACCTTTGTTACTTTTCAGTAGCTTTACTGAATAATAACTGGCATACAATAAACTGCACACATTTAAAGTGTACAATTTGATACATCTTGACATATGTTTACACCGAGAAACCATCATCATAATCAAGGTAATGAACATACCATTACCCCGCAAAAGTGTCCTCATGCTCCTCTGTAATCTCCTCCTCCTGTCCCCACCAACCCCCATGTCCTTAGGTCAGCCACTGATCTGCTTTCTGTTTCTAGAGATTAGTTTGCAATTTCTAGAATTTTCTATAAAGGAATCATACAGTATGTATTCTCTTTTGTGTCATTCTTTCACTCAACATAATTTTGTTGAGAATCATCTATGTCCTAACAGCATTTATCAATAATTCATCGCTTGTTATTGCTGAATTTGCACTCCAGTTCCTTGTTACAGGACATCTTGGTGGTTTCCAGTTTTTGGCTATTACAAATAAACCTGCTATGAACATTAGTGTACAAGTCTTTGTATGGACACATGTTTTCTTTCTCTTGGATAAATACCTAGGAGTGGGATGACTGGTTCAATGGTCAACTTTCTAAGAAACTGCCACAGTTTCCCAAAGTGGCTCTGCCATTTACACTCCCACCAGCAGCATACAGGTCCAGTTCATCCACATCTTTGCCAATCTTCAGTGTGGTCAGTCTTTTTAATAGGTGTGTGCTGGAATTTCCTTGTAATTGCAAGTTCTATTTCTCTATTAACTAATGAAATTCAGCATTTTAAATATGTTTATTTGCCATTCATATATTTTTTTTGGTAAAGTATCTGCCCGCTTTAAAATTAAAAAAATTATTGACTTTTGAGAGTTTGAGAGGATACAAGTCCTTTCATTTATATATTCTAGATACAAGTCCTTTATCAGATATATGCTTTACAAACATTTTCTTCCCATCTGTGGATTGCTTTTTATTCATTTTGAATTAGTCCAGTTTTTCAATTTTTTCTTTTATGGATTGTGTTTTTGTTGTTGTATCTAAAATATAATTGTTTATCCCAATGTCACTCCACCCAGGCTGCAGTGCATGGCACAATCACTGTAACCTCGAACACCTGGCTTCAAGCAAGCCTCCCCTAAGCTTCCCACACTGTTGGGATTGCAGGCATGAGCCCACTATTGTCTGAGCAGTGGCTCTTCCTGCAGGCTGGCTTACCCTCTGCATCCCACCCATCCTGCAGGTGAGGCTGACCATGCCCCTAGGCTCCAAGAGTCAAGGTAATGAACACACCCATCACCTCTCAAAAGTGACGGCTCTGTCCTCATCAATATGAGGACTTCCTCACTTCCTGCATAATCAGCTCAGGGACACAATTCATGGGAGCCCCAGGGCTTTTCCAGAACTCTTGGAAGTGGCATGCCTATCCATGGGGCTGCTGATGGCCACATCTGCTACTATATAGGAAGGGCCAGGTTGAGAATGAGGCCCGCAGAGAGGGAAGCACTCTCTTGAGAGATCCAGCAACATCATCAAGGCTTTTCAGGGACATGAGACAATAACGCACTTTTTGTTGAAGGCCATTTGGGCTGAGTGTCCATCATTTGTAACCAAAATGGTCCAGACTGATGGTTTTATTGCAATGTGAAGGAATCCCCTTTCCACGGTGTTCAGGAAGATCTTAAAACTCATCCCCGGGGCTGACTCTTGTCATTTATCACTGACCCATGCCTCTCCCTCCCAGCTGGCCGTGTCAGCACCCCAGGCTGCAGATGTTTCAGAGAACCTGGCTGCCAGTCCCTGAGGGGCGGCCCTTACCTGCATGTTGTTCCAGGCAGCCTCCCCACGGCCTCGGACGCAGCCCTCTAGCCTTAGTGGGGAGCCCAAGGCCCCGTGCTTTGTGTCTGCACACAGCCCTGTGCCCACATTTCGGATCTGAAAGGGAAAGAGGGAAGAAGTGGACCACTGAGGTGCCTTAAGGTGCCCACCGGGTCCCTGCCAGGTGAAAGGGGAAACCAAGTGGGAGACATTAGCTGGATTAACCTTCAAATCGTCTTGATAAAGCTTGCCCTGGGCTGTTGGAAGTACCTTGAGCCTCTCAATGAAGGAAGACTCAGTCCACAGAATGTAATCCTTAAAGCACTGCTGTAAGTAGTATTGTAGAGTATGCAGAGTCCTGGGTTGGTGGTGGGGGAGTGGAGGTGAGGAGTTGGTAAAGGACTCCCTGGCCCTACTCCTGGAGAAATTGAACCGACAGGTCCAGGAACCAGATTTTACCCCCATTCCAGGTGACTCAGGTGCAGGTGGTCCAGGGACCATACCTTGAAAGCGCCTAGAAAAGGACATGAAACCTTTGCTGTATGTCATGGACTGTCTCTGTCCCTTAGGACAGGTGAATGGCAAGAGGTGGCAGGAGGCCCCCTCACCCCCTGCTGAGATCCAAAGAACAATAGTTGCCTCTTCCCCTTCAACCATGAAGACGGGTGTGGTGGGAAGAGCACTGGGCTAGGAGTCTGAAGCCCTAGGCTGCTCACTTGCTTAGCCAACAAATACCGATTGGGCACTTACTGTGGGCAGGCCATTGTGCTAGGTGCATAGCGTCACATCATGTAGTTCCAACCTTACAGATATCAATCCTACTTTATCTGAGGGATAGGGGGCTGTGGTGGCTATGAAAATGCACCACCCAATTTCCTGTTGCAGAGAGTCTCATTGCACCCAGATCCTGTATTCTGAATCCACCACTGTGTCCACCCATGGATGGATCCCAGCCAATGGGTGAGGCAGACCCACTCTTGCGAGATGTTGAACTCCTCTGGCTGGTGATTTGGCTTGGGGACTCTTCATCAACCTGGCCAAAGCTTCCTTACAGCTTTACTGCAGTCTGGACTCTTCCTATCCCGGCTCTCCTTCCTTCCCTCACCCCTTCACAGATGTAAGACCACTGTTGTGGTCTCATGGCTCTCCTAGTCTCCCCAGGTGTCTTCATTTTTCCTCTCAAGTGTTTTAACCATAAATCTCTTGCGTGTCTAATCCCACTGTGGCATCTGCTTCTTGGAGGACTTGAACTAACACAAGTGAGGAAGCCAACAAACTAGTAAAGAGCCAAAGAGCCTCATGAGGGAAGTCCACACAGCAGTGCTCCTGCAAACTGGAGGTGATGTTGGGGTAGGCTAGCCAGGCAGCTGAGCCAGGCAAGGGCTCTGTGACTGCTGTGTGAATTTGAGCAAATCACAGCTGGTGTTCCTGCCAGCCCACCATGCCTCTCCCCTTCCTCTGGTAACACCACCCTGACTTTCCATGGGGCTACTGCTCCTCACGCGCCCTGTGGCCAGCCGTAGTGTCCATCCTACCCTTGCTTTTCGTCTTCCCCGATGGCCCCAGTGATGGGTGCAGGATCCAAGAATAAGACTTGATTCCTGCACCTTTACTGGTATACTGGGAAAGAGGCATATACTTTCTGCTGGGTTGGCCAAGCAGTAGGGGTTGGTCAGCCTGAAGCTTCTGGAAGCCATTTTGATACCTTCAGCATGAGGCCAACACAAAAGGAACATGAGTTCAGCAGGAGAAGAAGAGACTGACATCATTTGAAGCCCTGGATCCAGGTTGTCTTAAGCCATAGCTACCCCAGGCTCATATGTGAGTCAAACACAATATATTCCCCCCATTTTTTTTTACTTTAAATTGGTCTTCTGAAAGAGCCCCAACTCTTATGCTCCCCTTTTCCAAGCTCCAACCTATCCATCAATGAATGGGTAGGTCCTCTCAGCTCAGAGACCCAGGATCCCATGGTGGCATGCTCGTCTGCTTGCAAAGACTGGTCTGCCTCGGCCAGCATGGGCCTCACGGGCCACACCATGCGCAGTTCACAGGTCCCCATGCTCAGGAGGGCCTGGCTTGATTTAAAGCTCTGCTGCCACTGTCTTGAAATTCTGAATAATTTTATCTTTGAACTGTTTTGTAAGTGAAATCTGATGGGACACTGGAGCGTGTGCATGAGCAGAGAAGCACGCTGTTCCTCTCTGCCCTGTCTGCATGCAGCATGTGCGAAGACACTGAATAAATAGGGGCGCTGGGGGTCCCAGAGGCCCTGCTTTCCCTTCAAACCGGAACTCGCTCTGGGTGTGCTAAGAAGGGCAACAGCATCCTAAGAAGCAGGAACGACCAACAAGTCCTGTCATGTTCTTTCTTACTTGCGTTACTGCCCCGTGTTAGCCAAGAACTTATGAAGGAAAGGGAAAGATAGGGCAACCCTTAGTTCCTTTTCTTTTTCGAGGCAGGGTCTTGCTCTGTCACCAGGCTGGAGTGCAGTGGCACGAGCACAGCTCACTGGAACCTCGACCTCCTGGGCTCAAGCAGTTCTCCTGCCTCAGCCTCCCAAGTTGCTGCAACTACAGGCACATACCATTACGCCTGGCTAATTTTTTCTTTTTTTTTTTTTTTTTTGTAGAGACAGGGTCTTCCTATGTTTCCCATAGGAAAATGTTGTCAAACTCCTGAGCTCAAGTCATCCTCCTGCTTTGGCCTCCCAAAGTGCTAGGATTACAGGCCTGAGCCACTGTGCCTGGCTCCTTAGTTCCTTTGCCTTCCAGCCCTTTCTTACTCATCAGTAAATGGAAGGTGGAGAGTGTTGGAAGAATATGCACATTATCAAGAAGTGAAGTAAAAAGCTGAGTTTGTTGTGTGCCATGTTTAGATTGTTCTGGTGAGAAATACTTATGCATGCAGCAGGTGGGAAATACAGATCATGTCATTTCACCCATTCTGAACATGAGTTACATGCTGTTAATCTGAATTTTAAATTGTCACTGCATAATATAAAGATGAAAGGTAAAATTCATGCTAATAACTTAAAGTTTTAATTTTTCTACACTGAGAACACTAACTAACAAGTAAAAATACACCATGACAAGGCTAGAGAGAGACCAGGAAAGAAAGGAAACGATTTTATATTCACGCCTTTCCTCCCTGCACTGACTTTCTACCTTTTGAACATGGGATCTGCATTTGCATTTTGCACACCCATTAAATTATGGAGCCAGCCCTGCCCTCCAGACTCACCTCCCCCCAAGCTGCAGCCGGGGGCTCCACGGGTGGGTAGAATTTGGGCAGGTCCCAGGCTATCTTCGTCATAAACCACTTGAAACTCTTGCAGTTAAGGGAGCTGCGGAGCTTTTTCTGGACTGCGACATCCCCAGCGGAGAGGTGGCGGTATTCAGGCCGGCGCTGGTAAATGTACTCTGCGTACTCATCCATCCACACTTCGGCCACCCGCTTAAGGTTCTATGGGGCAAGAAGCAATGGAGGGGTCAGTCTTTCCAAGAAGCCAAAGCCAGGCAGTGGGGTGAAAAGGGTCCTGGCAGGTCGAGGTCAACCCTTCTTATTTTATGTTCCATCAAAAATCCCAGCCCCACCGTGAGTTTAGGCCTTCTGTGTTTCTATTTATCATTATGCATGTTTTAAGGGCTTCACAGCTTATAGTTGGCCCATAGGCTGCTGTTGTTTTGCCTGCCCATCTTCCATCCCATCTTCTTCTAGCGATAGCCCCCACTGATTTTCCTCTGGGGAGCCACCCTGTCTCCCTGTCAGCTCATGTGGCAGGAGGAAAGGCATGGACCCAGCCTAGCTAATGTGAATACAGGCGCCCCCGGTGCAGGGGCTGGTCAAACAGCAGACCCATTCCCTAAGCCCCACCAATCACAACCAACAGGCATCAGCCTTGGGATTTTTGCAGGAACTATTGGAAGAATCGTTCTGTTTCTGCTTGGATTGCTGGGTAAGACAGGATGCCAGCCAGAGCTGCTGGGCCATATGGCCTCCAAGGAGAGACAAGGAGAGCCTGTCCAAGGATGAAATCAACCCAGAATGAAGCAGAGCGGAGGGCTGGATCCAGGAATGCATTCCGCCTTTTAACACCAGAATCCAGCCATGTCTGAAGCTAGAGCTACCTTGGACTTTCCAGTTACAGAAGCCTGTATATTCTTTCTTCGCTAAGCCAATTTGATTTGGCTTTTTGTCATTTTCAACTGAGAGTTTTGACCAAGCTATGTGATAAAGGCAAATTATAATTTGAAACCAAAAGGTGTAATTCCATCAGCAGCTGGAATTTCTAATAATCCTTTGAGGTGCAAAGGTTGCTGCTACTTTCATCATGAAGCACAAAGATAATCAGTTTTAAAAAATGACAGCCACATGATTGGCAAGCAGAGGCAGCAGGTGAGGAAAGTGTTTGTGAGTAGACTTGGGGACAGAGGAAGAGGGAATTCTTATGTATGTGATGAAAATTCCTGATTCCATCTGCAGTGTAGACCCCACCCAGTGAGAACTTCTGATATGTGATATATCTGAGAGCAAAACTTCAGGGTTCAGGGGAAATTCTCCGCTCCAAAACATCTTTCTTCAACCCCTGGCTGTTGTCCCCCCACCCCAATTTTAACTCTTCGGTTTTACCTCCTTCGTAAGTTTTTTCCCTATTGCAATCTAAAATTTCCTCTGAAAGGTTAAAGGGGAGTTAGCAGTTTAAGCTGTTATCAGTCATTTGCACCTCAGTGTGAAGGATTGCTCTAGGAGCAGAAGGTCAGGCAGGGGTCCCAAATGTTTAAATGTCTTCTATAAAGAGCCGGATAGTAAATACTTAGGCTTTGCAGACCATATGGTCTCACCTCTGATGTAGCTATAAAGCAGCCATAGACACCATATAAATGGTGTGGCTGGGTTCCAGTAAAACTTATGGATACTGAAATTTGATTTTCATGTATCACAAAATATTCTTCTTTTGATTCCCATTCCCTCTAATGATTTAAAAATGTAAAAACCATTCTTAGGTCACAGGCCATACAAAAACAGGCTGCTGACTCTGGAGTAATGGAGAAGGAAGCCAACATGAGGGAGGCCCCCGCACTGAAGACAAAATTCACCAGTTCCCCCATTTTGCTGGCTCTGAGTTGGGGACCAGGAAACAGCTGAATTTCCTTGTTGCTACCTAGTTCTTCCTGAGTGCTGAAGAGTCCACAGTGGGTTAGAAAACAGCTCAGGAACAGTGTTTATCCCCACCAGGCCCCTGCACAGAAAAGGCTGTGTTTAATTTAAAACTGTGCTAGAGGAAGTTGAAGGCCTAACAGAGACTGTCTACATGAACACTCTGAAACACAATATTTCCTCTGCTTTTTCCAGTATGTCCACCAGGCTCTTTTGGCTCACTGTCTAACCTGCTCGAGTCACAGAGGTAATGAGGGTAGTTTCACTCCAACTGAAAACAAGTCTGGACACTCTGACCATGGCCAGACTGGTTAAGAATGATACTGAAATTTACCAGTGTCATTCTTAAAGGATTGAATAACATCATATTTTAATTCTAATTATAATTACCATTTTAATTAATATTGCATAATTGTATCTTCCAGACACAGCTTGAAAAGCTCTTTCTCCCAGATTTTGAACTTTTTTGCTACAGTTCACTGTTTGCACCAAAGGAAATGACTTTACACTTATTTCTCTCACATCTCCCCTTGTTAGAGACATAAAAAGGACCTTGGGATTTCAGTGGGCTTCGGGCTCCTCATACCTCTACTCTCAACACCTTCCTACTTCCGAGTCCCAGTCCCGTCTGAGGCCCAACTGTACTTCTTGTGCTTGGATTACAGAGATTTGCCTGGATCCTTGGAGTAAGTCTCCATTTTTGTTTCACCAAGTTTGAGTAGTTTCTGTTATTGCCTTCCCTAAGATCCTTTTTCCAGAGGCAAAGATAAGAAAGATTTCAGCAAGTTTAGTAAACAATGTAAGACTGGCTACTTGTTCCTGAGGCAGGCAAGCTGGTGGACAGCTCATCCTTCCTGAACTGCTTCTACCTCAAGGCTGTCTGGCTGTTTGTCCTTCCGGAGTCCGTACAATCTCAGTTTCTCTCTCTATCTGGCTCTCTCGGAGCTATTAGGACAACTCTCAAATCTATCAAAATGATCATCTAGGGGACAATGCTCTAGAAGGCTTAGGATGTGGTTATTAAAACATTGAGCACTTTTTTTCCCCCCAAGATGGAGTCTTGCTCTGTCGCTCAGGCTGGAGTACAGTGGCTCAGTCTCGGCTCACTGCAACTTCCGCCTCCCGGGTTCAAGCCATTCTCCTGCCTCAGCCTCCCTAGTAGCTGGTATTACAGGCGCACACCACCACGCCTGGCTAATTTTTGTATTTTTAGTAGAGATGGGGTTTTGCCATGTTGACCAGGCTGGTCTTGAACTCCTGACCTCAGGTGATCCGCCCGCCTTGGCCTCCCAAACTGCTGGGATTACAGGCATGAGCCACCACGCCCGGCCCACTGAACAAATATTTTAAATGTGGTCTGCAAGTAATTGAGGGTTGTTAGTCACCATAATAAAAGGCCGCACCTGATTCAGGCATCTCTGTGGTTCTGCGAACCCACACATAATCAGACCTGATGGATCACAGAGTCCCTGGGGAAGAAGCCATGAGGCACCACTCAGATTGTTAAGTGGCTTAAAGCCAAACACAGGACGATGCTTCAGTACAGATAGGTAAAAGAGAAATACGTTAAAATGCCTAAACACAGAATTTAGATAAGACTTTTAAATACATGTTCCAGTCTTTATTGTTAATATTGATGCTAACACTAATAACAGCAGTCACTGTTTAAGGAACAATTGCTATGTGCCAGGTACCTGTCAGACCTACACAGGTTTGAATTCTGGCACTAGTTACTTAATGTTTCCATCGCCAACATCACGTTTCATGTTCCCCATCCCTAAAATGGGGTTAAAAACAAGTGAGAATTAAGTGAGATAAGTAAAATGCTTTGCATGCCTGGCTCGAAGGGAATTTTTATAAGTATTACTACAGTTAGCTCTTATCCACTGAATTAATCTATAATAATGGTTCTATAACAAGCAGGAGGCGGTAATGTCTCTTTATCAGGTGGGCCTTTTAAAAAAAAAAACAACAGCAACAACAACAACAACAAACTTTCTTTGAGACATGGTCTCGTTTTGTCACCCAGGCTGGAGTGCAGTGGCACACACAGCTCACTGCAGCCTCGACCTCCCTGGCCCAAGTGATCTTCCCACCTCAGCTTCCTGAGTAGTTGGGACTACAGGCACACACCACTGCGCCCGGCTATTTTTATTTTTAGGTGAGCCTTATCAACAACAGCTCTGCAGAGGAAAAGAATGCTTTAGGGTTGCTCCTGGTCTGGAGTTGGAGTGTCCCCATGGTCCCTTGTAGCCGGAAGAGTCTCAGTCTTGGGCGTACCGAGAGAGCGTGCGCTTTTCCTGCCTGGCTCCCTCCTCAGGGATCGCCAAATGGCCTTTCAGAAGAACGCGATTCCTGCTTCAAGGGACTGAACCTAGAACCTACCCCCCGCCCGTGTCGGATGGGGCTGTGGGCAGCGCGGATGGCTGGTGAGGGCGTCGTTAGGCTCTGCTACCACTGGAGGGCACTGCCGGCTCTCCTTTCCCTCCACGCGGCCCCTGACACTTCCCGGAGCTCAGCTCCCACCCACTGATGGCTCTCAGGGAGACGCGCGGCCTCTTTGAGCCTCTCGGCTTTCCTTGTAAGTCACAGGACAACGCTCTTCTAGGTCCCGGGGGCTGCAATTCTACACGTCAAGGTTGTCAAGTGGAGGAGGAGGCAGCGCCCTGGACAGGAGGCAGTGCGGTCTAATGCCAACCCGGCCAGCACCGGGGTCTCCTGGCCGGGGCGGGGCTCACAGGCTCCCCGGAGGGAAAGCTGTGCGGGGGTCCTTTCCAGCTTCCCCGCAAGGCTCTTTCTATCCTCTGGGGACCCTCCCTCCTCTTCATTTTTCTTTTGTGGTCACCTGGATTTATTTATTTTTTTCCGAATACATTTAATATCCAAACCAAAAACAAACTCTGGCTGACAGATTTCCATTTGCAGCCAGTGGCCAATTTAATTGAAGCAATGATTGATAGAAACCATTTTAAGGCAATGAAACAGTTTGACATGCAGAGGTTTTGGCAGTAAGAGTAGACAGGGGGTGAGGAGAAGAGAAAGACACTGACATTTATGAAGCCCACTTCCCCTCCAGAAATTTAGTACGCAAGCTTTCCCAAACACACCACACCACACCACCTGTATTAATATTTATCTAACATGTTTTTTTACATCACCTCTGGTCTAACTTTGCACCTACTTTAGCTGTATGCTAAGTAATAATATCTGTGAAATTACAGGTTAGCTACACGAATACACATTAATTTAGAATCCACATTAACTTAAACACATGAACAAGAAAACATTCCTGTGTTTGCTGCCTAAGATCGTCTCCTCTGTCACACTCTGGGAAACAGTATCACCTCCTTAATTCTCCTGGCAATGCTGGGAGTTGGAAAGAATTAGCTCTCTTTAAACAAAGGAGGAAACACAGGTTCAGAGGACTTAAGCAACCCTCCCCAGGTCACATAGCAATGAATGGTTAAGTAGGGATTTAAGGGAGTTCTTTTAAATCAGATTTCACCTGGAGAATGGGAGGCACATCCTCAAACCCAGAGATCACATAACACAGTCTAGGGCCCCAGGGTGCCTCAGTGCAGCTGATGGTCCTAGGCCAACCCCTTCTACCCGCCAAGGAAAGCCACCACCTTACCCGGGCCAGGCTGACTCCGGCCGGGACCTTGTAGGGCACATACTTCCTGTAGATATGGCCCACCCTGGAGCAGGGGATGTCCTCCATGCGGCCCCCACACATCCACACCTGCATGGCAAGAAGGAAGAGAGAGGATGACGTTTCTGCTTCCAGTTCACCATCCCGCCAGGCCAGCATCCCTTAGTGCACTCAGCAAAAGCATCAGCCTGGATTGTCTGCTGAAGCCTGGATCACAGACCTAATGACATGGGAAAACACAGTAATATAATAACAGCGGTAAAAACAGCTGACAGCACTGAGTGCTTACCATTGCCACACACTATGCTAAGATGGTCACATGCACAACCACACTTAAGCCTCATCAGAAAACCTATAAAGTAGGTAGTAACATTTTACAGATGCTGAAATGGAGGCTCAGAGAAGCTAAGAAATGTGACTCAGGTCACAGAGTAAGTGGTGGAGCCAAAATTTAAACCCTGTTTTAGCTGACTTCAGAATCTGAGCTCTAATCCACTATGGAGTGCTGTGTTGAGAATTCTAGGGTGGCATCGGGGGATCAGTGGGAAAGACCATGGTGATCACAAAGTGACATCAGCCACAGCATAAGTAGTCAAGGTGGCACACAGGTTCCGTAGATTTACTGTCACATATTTATTTTCCTCCTGGATCTATGAGCCTCTCGCTGGGTCTCCCTGAGCAGTTCCGTCAGCCTCCCTGCCCTGCCTTCTCTGAGTCTGGCTTGCTAGGCTGTGCAGCTGGGTCTTGCCGCAGTGTGGGATCTGATGGTTCTCTTTGCCTCCCTCTCCCAGGGAGGAGTATTTGACATCACAGAGAGCTCCTGAGTTTGCCCACTGGTCTGATAGCAACTTGGGAATGTGAACATGTACAGCCAATACTGACTCATACCCACTGAGGGGCCCAGCCTACATAGACCCTCCTTGGGAGGCCTGGGTTTGAATCCTGGCTCAGCCACTTACCCACTTGATGACTTTGGCCTACACAGACCCTCCTTGGCAGGCCTGGGTTTGAATCCTGGCTCAGCCACTTACCCACTTTATGACTTTGATTAAGGTACTTAACTTCTCTGAGACTCAGTTTCCTGTAAAGAAATAGAGGAGGCAGGACTGGAAGATGAGATATTGTGTGTAAAAGGGTTTAGCACAAGATCTGGTGCATACTCAGGACACAGCAGTGAATCAGTCAGCCGAGGCCCCAGCCTCCGAAGTGGCCTCACAATCCCTGCCTCCTCGTATTTGTGCCCCTGTGTAGATGCCTCCCAGTGAGTCACATGAGGACTGACCTGTGTAACCCACAGGATACTGCAGAAATGACGGTCATAAAGATGCCGTGGCTTCCACCTTTCTCTGTGGGACCGCTGGCTTTGGAGGAGCCAGCTGCCATGTTTGAGGACACCCCAGCCATGCTGTGGAGAGGTCCATGCGGTGAGAGCTGAGGCCTCCTGCCCACAGCACTAATTTGCCAGCCAGGTCAGTGAGCCACCAAGAAGCAGAGGTCGTGGTCACAGTCAAGCCTGCAGATGACTGCGGCCCTGGCTCATGGCCTGACTATTCTCCTATGCGAGACCCAAGGTGGAGCTATCAAACCAAGCCACTCCCAAATCCCTGGCCTAGGGAAGCGCTGCCATCATAACTGTGTATTGTGTTAAGATGGATTCTGGGGGTAATTTTTCCTGGCATAGGTAACTAACATGGGAGATGGTTTCAGGTGGCGATGGCAGAGCAGGGCCATTGCATAGATTCGTTGTAGGGGTGTATGGGATGTGAGAGATGCTACTTTATGCTCCCCAGTCAGGGAAAGCCTCACTTCGGAAGGGATGTTTGAGGTGGAACCAAGAAGGTGAAAGTAAAGGCAAGGGAACGGGTGGGAGAAGAGCAAGTGCAAAGGCACCAGGGCAGGGCCAAGCTTGGCATAATCAAAAAGAAAGCCAGGGCAGGAGCAGAGGGAGAAAGGGGAAGAGGGATGGGAGGGGAGGCCAGAGACGCGGGCAGGGCTCCCGCAGGGCCCTCACGGGGCAGAACAAGGAGTCTTCACAGAAGGTCTTCAGTGAGGGAGACACACAATCCACTTACATCTTACAAAGATGACTCTGCCAGTGGGGTGGAGAACAGCCTGATGGGGCAGGCCTCAGGGAGAGTAGGCCCGGGAGGCTCTTGCAGTCGTCCTGATATGAGACCGTCCTGACCCTGGGTGAGGGGTGCTGAGGCGATGGGGGGACACAGCTGGATTCAGGACATTATTATGAATCTCGCTACCATAGTCTCTCATTTGTGGAATGGGGGGCAGGAATGGGGACATCTGCAAACCAGATTCTGTGCAAAAGTGCTCTTTTCAGTTGGAACTGCTCGATGAGGTCGTGGGGATTGGGCTTCACATCTTGATTAATTCAGGGGCTCTAGAAGGGCTTGCTCTTCCACCTGGCTCCTAAAAGGTCCTTTGTCCCCCACTACTTCCTGCTGTCTCCATCCCCAGCCCTGATGTACTCTGGCCCTCCCGAGAGGGGATGTGCACAGGGCTGCAATTATTGGAAGTGCTGCCTGGAGAAATGCAATTATATTCTGATCTTGGGGGAGAAAAAAAAATCCAGCCAGTCAATAGAACAGAACATTGGTCTCGAGATAATGGGCTCCTGATGGTAGATTAATGTCAAGGCCAAACCAAGAAGTTTATTTTCAAAGCAGGAGATATTGATCAGGCGCCAGCATCCCATAACAATAACTCTTCCTTTATACAAAGTGATTGATGTGGAAGTGATGCTTTTGCCTGGCGGGTATTGCCCAGGTCGCTGCTGGGCTGCCCTCTGCCTTTCAGGTGGTGCAGTGGCCCTGAGCAGGTGGGACACCTTACCCTGCTCTATTTCTGAACGTCTCCCGGGCAGTTGATCAGGTCGGCATCCAGCTTCCTTGTCTTCATATTAAACTTGCATTAGCTAATGAGGCTCTGTGTCCAGCTCTGCTTGGCAGAGGCACCTAACTTTATGCAGGTGGATGATAAATTTCCAAATCCTTCTCTTTGCTGTGACCTCTGGTTTCTTTGGCCCCAATCATGCTGGCCATCAGCCTGAAGGTTCCTGAGGGACCAGGGTGACCCTGATATGTCGGGAGGCTTGAGGCATCCAGGATGCCCTCAGATTCCTGGGATGTCTGGAGGGTTTGGTCAGTGGGTTTACTCCATGGCTTCCCTGCCCAGCACAGGATGCCCTGGTGGCCGACTCTGAATGTGAACTACCCTCAGGAAGACAGACATCTGCTCAGATGAAGCTGCTTCACTCCTGGGTCCTTTGAGAGCATCCCAGTGCAGGCCACGCCCATCACTTCAGAATGTCCTCTGGCCTGACCAAGAGCCCCGTGCAGCCCTCCACCCTCACCTCATTCCACTCACTTCTTGCTCACCACACCCATTGACTCCCCTCATAGACTCCTCCCTCTGCCTGGCTACCTCATACTCATCCTTCAGGTCCCCTTAAGAGCCACCTCCTCAGGGGCTTCTCACCCTTTTATACCTACACACAGCATCTTGCTTCATTGCCTTTTACCAGAAGTGAAATATTAATTATTCACAGGATTATGTCCCTGGTCTAATCTCCCTGCAATGGGCATCTGTTGTTTTTGCCTGTCCAGTGCACCTTCTCCCTATTGGGGACTGTCCTTCCAACTGCTCCACCTGGGGCCTGTGACCCAGGATGGCCAGCTGGAGCACCCAACCTCCTGGGCTCTGGAGCTGGTGTAGGGCAGGGTAATGGGGTATATATTTAATGGTCGCCACACATGCTGGTGCTTGATGTGATGGCCACACACTTTCTCTGGGGGGAAGAACAAAGTGGACAACACACTGCAGCTGCCAGTGATCACCTCTGCACCACACAGTAAGGGAGGGCCTGTCCGTGAATGCAGCGAGCACCCAGCAGGGCAGTCCCAAGAGAGGGAAAGAGACACCTGTTTGAGCACCTGGAAGCAGGCCTGTTGAAGACAGCCCCTCACCCCCGCCCCCGCCATGGCTTTTCTCGGCTACGGCTAGTTTAAGATGATTTTGTCACTTTTATATTTATTTCTTTTCGAGACAGGGTCTCCCTCTGTCACACAGGCTAGAGAACAGTATCACAATCACTGCTTACTGAAGCCTTGACCTCATGGGCTTAAGTGACCCTCCTGCCTCAGCCTCCCAAGTAGCTGGGGCCACAGGTGTGTGCCACCATACCTGGCTATTTTTTTTTGTAGACATGGGGGTCTCCCTGTGTTGCCCACACTGGTCTTGAACTCCTGGGCTCAAGCAGTCCTCCCACCTTGACCTCCCAAAGTGCTAGGAATACAGGCATGAGCCATTGCACCCAGCCTTTCTGTCACTTTTAACATTAAGAGTCCTTACCAACCCCTCTGTGCCCTGCCAGACTCAGGGCCAGTGTTGGCAGGAGTCTCATCTGTTGTATTTGCCATTGGACCCCCAGTGCCTAGCACAGTGCTCTGCCCGTAAGAGGCACTCGGTCATGAAAGAGGAGGTGAATCAAGACTGATTCAAAGTCTTGAGCATAGGGACTTGACTAGAGAGAAAGATGACCTCATTTTGTCATCCATTCTTCAGTCACTGGCTCCAGGGATGAACTGTCTTTTTTGCTTCCAGTAATCCTAGCAACAATATAAGCCATGAGCAGGGAGCCCGAGGTTTCCTTGTTTCTCGGGCAGAAGGCACCATTGCCATCTCTTTCGGGCTGGATCCTGGCTGGGTTTGTCTGGGGTGAAGTGGAACAGATGTAGGAGGCCAGAGAGAGCATCGCCGTCATGCTCCTGGCTTGCTCACCTCCCTCTTGTGACAAACAGCTCTCAACTCTGCCACGGAGAGACAGGATCCCAAGACAGGAGGGGACTCTCCTTCCAAGGACGGGCTAGGGGGGTGGTGCTGGCCACAGATCCCAGGCCCTGTGGTTCTGCTCATGGCCCAGGTCACTTGTCCTTTGTATCTTTAGGCTCCTCCCTTTCTTCACAGCAGAGGTAGTGACCATCCAAGACCCAGACAGACACTGCAGACACTGCAGCCTGACTCCCCTCATACCAGTCCTCATACCACCAATGCCTGCTATGTGACCTCCTGCAGGTCATTGAACCTGGGAGCCTCACTCTCCTCAACTGTGATGTGGGGATGATGATGGCTGTTGAGATGGCACAAGACAGTGTGTGAAAAGCTCTTAGCTTGGTACCTGGCTCTTAGAGAACCAGATGAATGTTAGTCATTTCTACTTGCAGAAGGACGAGAAACACCACCACCCTGAAATTACAGAGCGCCTGCCCTCTGCCAAACAACATCAAGTTTTTTCACCCTATGGCCTGATTTCCCAAATGGAGAGACTGAAGTGCAAAGAGAGGAAGTATTTTTTCTTAACTAACTTGGTGGCAAAACCTGCAAGTGACCAAGAGAATGATATTATTATGAATCTCGCTACCATATTCTCTCATTTGTGGAACAGGGGGCAGGAATGGGGACATCTGCAACCCAGATTCTGTGCAAAAGTGCTCTTTTCAGTTGGAACTGCTCCATGTGGTTGTGGGGATTGGGCTTCATGTCTTGATTAGTTCAGGGGCTGTAGAAGGGCTGCTCTTCCACCTGGCTCCTAAAAGGTCCTTTGTCCCCCACTACTTCCTGCTATCTCCATCCCCAGCCCAGACATACTCTGTTGGGGCAGGTGGGGTGGGGCAGGGTCCCTGTATACCATTTGGGGCCTGGCCACCCAAGAGCACTGTCCTCTCACCCAAGAGGCAGGAGCAGAGTCCAGCTGGGGACAAAGAGAAGGGGAGCTCCAGGGATGGCAGCAGCTGGATCATCTTTGACCAGGAACCCATCTTGTTCGAGATGCAGACAAATACAGGCCACTGAGATGACATTTTGCAGTTCCTCTCCTTGTGTTGCTGTCAGCTTTCTCCCTGCCCTGTCCCTTCAACTCCCACCCCTGTAGGGGGATGCAGCTGTCTGCTCTGGGTCCCTTGCTGCTCCACCGCAGGAGTTCCCAGCACAGGAGTTCCCAAACATATCCTGCTAGCTTGTTTCCAGGACCCTTTCACTGCCCCTGTGGCAGTCTTCTCATAGAAGCACCATGCCTCTAGACAAGTACAAATCTAATTGTGAAAGCCTGTTCCCCATTCATTTTCATTGCTGCTTTGATTTATTTTATTAGCAAACTTCTTTTGTGTGATGACAGGCTTCATTACAGTGCCTATAAAAGACAATTACCCGCTCTTATCTCCTAAACTGAGGGGGAAAGAAACGAGTGGTGATGTGCATTGGGAAAACACAATGGGACCCAGAAAGAAGGGCGCAGTGGAAGGGATTGTCCATGGAGGGGAACCCGAGAGGGCAGGGGCTGGGGCAGAGCTTCTCTCTGTTGAGGAAATGGCTGCCTGGAAGCTAGCCAGGAATGGCACGGCACCCGACCTGCCCAGAGATAAGGAAAAGACTGGCAGCTGGCCACGGCTTTTGCCGTTGGCATCTCAGCTGAGGACCCCTATGAAGTTCAAACCCTAATCAGTTGCATTTGGGGGAAAGACTATACTAATAATTGCCACCAATCATTCAGCATTCACTGTGTGCTTAGGAGGCACATAGGGTAGCAGTTAGGAGCTTGGTTCTGGAATTAGAATTGAGGTCCCACACAGGCTGTTAAGCAAGTTTTATAAGTCTGAAAGCCTCAGTTTCCTCCTCTGCAAAATGGGAAAAATTACTGTGCCTACCTCCTTAGGGTTGTGGTGAGGCTAAAATGAGGTAATGTAGAAGCTCAGAGGACACCGTGAGCTATCCATATGGTGTCCTGTGGGCACGTGGCCCATCGCTACTGGTGGAGGGCGTTGCATGAATGCTACACAATTCCCGGCTGAAAAGAAACTCATATTATTTTGAATGTATTAGTTTGTTTTCAACAAGATATTGTTTCAAGAAGTATCACCACCATGAAAGGACAACCTCAGTCATGCTGGTTTTGGATGTTTACTGGATGCAGCTGGTAAAAAAAAAAAAAAAAGTAGAAAAGAACAACTTTAGTTTTAAATTTACTTCTAAATTTAAGCTGTATTTTTTTTTTTTTTGAGACGGAGTCTTGCTCTGTTGCCCAGGATGGAGTACAATGGCACAATCTCGGTTCACTGCAACCTCCGGCTCCCAGGTTCAAGTGATTCTCCTGCCTCAGCCTCCCGAGTAGCTGGGATTACAGGTGCCCACCACCATGCCCAGCTGATTTTTGTATTTTTAGTAGAGACAGGTTTTCCCCATGTTGGTCAGGCTGGTCTCGAACTCCTGACCTCTAGTGATCCACCCTCCTTGGCCTCCCCAAATGCTGGAATTACAGGTGTGAGCCACCGCGCCCAGCCTAGTATTTTTATATGATACAGTTTTAAGCATATGTGCATCTAAATTAATAAATTAAACATAGGACTATCTCAACAATATCCTTAAGTGTTTATAGTTAGTTACTTCCCCAACAAGGGCGAGATGGTTACTTTACATTAGGTTTTGACTCAGATTTGGAAATACAGCAATCTCACAGCAACCCAGCGAGGGAGGCATGATCACACCCTTTACACATGAGGAAACCGAGGTTTAATTAACACTTTCCCCAGGGTTGCCCAGTGCATAAATGGCAGAACCCAAAATGGAACCTGGGGTTGGGTCAGAACTAGGCAGATCTGAGAGTTCCACAGAGACTGTGTTTTCCTAAGGTCTGGACCCACCCTATCATGGTCTTCCTCAAAGATCCCTAACAGCACTTGTATTGTCTGCAGAACAAAGGGGTCACCCTTGGCTTGCAATCAGGCCCTCTGCCACCTGCTCCCACCTATCACCTCCTACCCTCTCCATACCCGCTGGACTCCCTATGTGGATGCTGCTGACAACTGGCCGCAATGCATTCACTTTTCTGCCCTGGGGGCTTGTGAATTTTTCTTTCTGTGACTGTTGAAACCCCAAACAAACATTAATTACCTAATTCATTCATTCATTCATTCATTCATTCATACATGATCTGGTCATTGGTCAGGTTTGTTCTAAAAACCATGCTGGAAAAAATGGAACAGAAACGAACTGCCAAGGGTGGACCAAAGATACAGAGCCTTGAAAGCCGGGTGAAGGTATTGGAACTTGTTGGCCAACCTGCCAACCAACCTGCCCATTTACTCTGTCCTTCCACACCCACGCCTGAGCATCCTCTCTGCACAACCTCCCACCTATTCATTACAGCTGCGATTTTCAACCTTGGGCCTCATCGGAAGCACCTGCAGGGCATGTTGAAACACAGCTGGCTGGGCTCCACGGCAGCCTCTGACTCAGCAGCCTGGGGTGGAGCCTGGTAATTTGCATTTCTAATAAGTTCCCCGGTGATGCTAATGCTGCTCGTCCAGGGTTCACACCTTGGGAGCCACCGCGTACTGGAATGGTGACAGCGTCTCAGGTGACTGTGCCTGCCAGTTCACACTATATTTCCTAACAGCCCTGTGAATTTGGGATGATTGGTGCCCCTCTGTAGATGGCGAAATAAAAGTTCAGGAGAAAGGGCAGATGAGTCCAAGATCTCACAGAGAGTTTGTTCCAGAACAGGGCCTAGAGCCAAGGCCTTTTGACCTGTCTTGCCAGCCTCTTTCCACTCTTGTCTTCCTGCAACCACAGCCCGATCACAATAACCACAACCATGCTGACATTAACAGCTATCATTTAGCGAACATTTATTATGTTCCAGGCACTGAGCTAAGCTTTTAATATATTTTGGCTCATATCATGCTCACGACTGCACTATGAAGTAAAGATTATTCCATCCCCTAAATAATATAAAGAGGAGAGGTTAAGTCACTTTCCCAAAGTCACACAGCAGCTAGCTCATTGAATTTGCACTAGAACCCAGGCAGTTTGATGCTGAAGCCCATCTGTGTAATACTGTGCTGTTCTGCCTCCTTACCTGAGGGTTATGATCAGAACAGCTGCCACTTATTGAGTGCCTCCTCTTTGGTTAGCTCTAGGCCAAATATACATATCATCCCATTTAGTTCTTACAACAAACTTTTGAAGAAGTTATTTTATTACCACTTTTAGGGATGAAAGAGCCAAGGCACCATGAGGTAGGTGTGTGCTGGTTAGGGAGTAACATACACACAGGCGACCCTCGGGCCTTTGAGCCGTCTCCTTGGAGGAGTGGTGGGAGAAGCAGGCTCCACAGGCAGGGACACTCATGGAATTTCAAATGACTTGCCGAGAGTCATGAGCAGAATGCCTTCCCTGTTTCTAGCAGACGGCTCTTGCAAAGGCTGGGCATATGTGGCCCCAGGACGAAAATGCTGCATGTATCAGAGCATATTTCCATCATCCTTGGATAACACAGGGAAAGGAAGAAATGAGGACCAGGTTCCTGGCAGCCATGCTGCAGCTGTCCGAGGCAGAGGGTGCTGGTAGGGGCAGGGAAAAGGATGGGGAAATGTATTGCCATATAGTTGCCTGATGGTGGCCCTGGATATCCTTCTGGTGCTTGGGCTGGCCTTTGGCAATCATTTCTCCCTCCTGTGTGGCAACTTAACCCCTCTCAGGGCTGGTCCTGACCTCTGGGCCCTTCCTGGAACACGGGCCTCTCTTTAGACTGGATACACCTTTTCTCTACTCCTACCACCAGGCGGAATGAGATGAGCACTGGGCTTGGAGCCAGGGCATCTGGGATTTAGCCTTGGCACTGCCACCTTCCGGTGGAGGGACCCTGCCCAGTCACCTAACCGCTCTGGGCCAGGTTGCAATATCACCCTTGCTCAGCTTCTGGGTGTGTCCTGCCTTCTTTTCACACGTCCTGTTTCACTTAGTCTTCTTGATAACACTGAGTTTTATGGGAAAAAAAAAATCAGAGTTTTTTTTTTTTTTTTTTTAAGTCTGTTCACGTAGCCTGGGACTGGGCTAGCCTTTCAGTAACCATATCAGTATCACACAAAGCGAACCCCAGTCTCCTCTGAGTCTTCATTCCTCTACCCAGAGAATGGGTTTTCCTCTCAGAACAAGCTCAAAGACCTTCCTGACTTCTGCAGGGGAGGGTGTCCTCCCTCTCGTCCCCTCACATGGCTTTCTATCACTCCCTTGCTCCTGCAAGCCTGCCTCATGGAACCCTCAGACCAATCTCCATTTTGCCAAGGACGGTGGGGCCCACCTCTGCCTCTTGGAGCAGACCCTGCAGAGTTGCTCTTGGCGGCCTCAGGCCTTCCCTGGGAGTCTCTGCACTGCTGACTTGTGCAGAATCTCATCTCAGAGCTTGCAAATGGCCCCAACAATGTGCTGGAATGTATATGGATGGGGGTGGGCTGGAAGTGCTGAGAACCCAACATTTTCTTATTTTTTTTTTCTTTCCTTTGAGACAAGTTCTCACTCTATCACCCAGGCTGGAGTGCAGTGTCATGAACATGGCTTATTGCAGCCTTGACCTCCAGGCTAAAGGAATCCTCCTCCTACCTTAGCCTTCCAAGTAGCTGGGACTACAGGCACGCAGCACACCACCATGCCCAGCTAATTAAAAGAACTTTTTTTTAGAGATGAGGTCTCACTGTGTTGCCCAAAGCTGGTCTTGAACTTTTGGGCTCAAGCAATACTCCTGCCTCGACCTCCCAAAATGTGAGAATTACGGGCATGAGCCACTGTGCCTGGCCCCTTCTTCTTGTAACTTTTCCTGGTTACAGAAGTAATACGTACTTATGATGAACAAGTTCGATGTTGCAGACACACATTAGGTAGAAAGAGACGGCTGTACTTTGAAGACCTCCCACCCCCAAAGGCCACTAGGGATGAAGGGTTCATGGCACTGAGTCATTTTCAGAAGTGAGATGGGCTGGGCGCGGTGGCTCATACCTGTAATGCCAGCATGTTGGGAGCCCGAGGCAGGAAGACTGCTTGAGGCCAGGAGTTTGAGACCAGCCTGGGCAACATATGGAGACCCTGTCATTACAAAATATTAAAAAATTAGCCGGGAGTGGTGGTGTAGACCTGTAGTCCCAGCTATTTGGGAGGCTGAAGTGGGACAACTGCTCGAGCCCTGGGGTGTTGAAGCTGCAGTGAGCTCTGATCACGTCACTGCCCTCCAGCCTGGGCAACGGTGTGAGATCCTGTCTGAAAAAAAATGGGTTTTTTTTTTTTTTTTTTTTTGTGGAGACCTCCAATTTATTTTACGTAATATTTTCTTGTTTAGATATGCTCTAACTTATTTATCCCCAAAGGACGTGCATTTGGGTCATTTTCAATCTTCTGCTATGGTAAGTAACACTTCAGCAAATAAATCTTTGCTCATCACTGTCTCTCTTATATAAACTCCTGGGCATGGAATTTCAGGTCAAAGAATGTGCTTGCTCTGAAATGTAATGGATTTTGCCAAATTGCTATTCACAGAAGATATACCCACTTACACTGCCCCAAAGCCTACATTTTTCTCACTTTAGTTTGGTCACATTGTCCTGGTTGGATACTTTCTGTCTCCCGTATCTCATAGTTGGAGATATCCTAACCATGGCCTCCTGGGGACACTGTGCAGTTTCCTTTCTGCTCATCCTGCTGCCTCCCCCCCTAATCCAAACAACCCCTCATATCTGTGTATGTCAGAGGGCTGTCCACACAGCATCTCATTTGATCCTATCTTGTGGGGTAGGAAGGAAAACCGTATCAGCACAGTCTGGGGTATGAGGACCAGAGGTGAAACAACTGGCCCAGGGTCCTAGGATGGAAGGAGAGCCTCCTTGCTGAGCACTTTCCCACCATACACCATTGTCCAAAGATGGCCTCCTAAGTCTGGGAAGGGTAGTACCAAGGAGGTATATCAGTTGGAAGTGATGCCACTAACACACTAACACTTACTGAAAACACTGATGTGGGCCAGAGACTGGGGATATAGAGGTGGACAAAACCTCCTCCCTGCCTCCAGGGAGCATGCAGAGATGGGAGTGCAATGTGGGGTAGTTCCTAGGCAGCATGGGGAGCCATCTATATAAGCTGAGATTGGAAGGGTGAATGAGGGTTGGCCAGACTAAGGAATGGCATTTCAGGAGTGTACAGTGTGGGCCTGCAGAGAGGGGCTGGCCCGTAAGCCTGGTTCTTACATGCAGTCTTGTCTGGCTGGGTAAGGTAGACATCTACGGTTTGCTCTGCCCCACATCCATTCTCCCTTCTGGGCACAGCACCTGGACTTTCCTTTGGGTAACTAGCCCATCCCCACCTTCCTGCAGTCACAGGGCATGTGACTGCAGGTGACCAATTGCAGTATTGTTCAGGGATGGGCATGGGGCCAGCAGGCCAATGAGACTCAACCTGGGGACTTGTACAAGATGATGGGAAAAACACTCTCCTTCCATGGGCTGCTGAGGATCTCCATGAGAAAAAGCCCACCTGAGAGGGAAGCCAACTCAGATGAAATAGGGACTAGGCATTGAGAGAGACCTAGCCCGAGTGAGATGACTGAGTCCCTGCATCCAGCCCGGCCTTAGGGTCTACCCTGGAATTTCAGTTATGTGAGCCTATCAATTCTGGTTTTTGCTTAAATCAGATTGACTAAGGTTTTGGTTATCTGTAAGCAAGAATCCAGACTAATGCAATGGGATAAGAGGAAAAGGGGAAAGGAGAGAGCAGTAGGGCCAGCTCATGAACCTAGCTGGAGCTAGGCTATGGAGTTAAAGACTTGTCCAACCACTAGAACTAGGAAGATTCTGACTTCCACGTGAGAACTTTGCTCTGCTGAGAGAGACAGACAGAGAAGGAGGGAGGGAAAGGGAAAGTCAATGACTTTTCTAGAAATTTCAGAGCTGTTGGGACACTTTTTGGGGATTTTCTCATCAGGATAGAGAATCCGGTCTGGAATCAGCCCTCAGCCCTGAAGGTACGTGTTGATTGATCTTAATTTCTGAAAATACACTCATGCCTTTCAGACCAGGCTTCTCTCTGTCACCAAGAAAAGGGATCTTAGCAGAGATGAATCAGAGGGAATTCGGTCCTTCGTAAATGCCAGCTCTGGCTGAAAGAGAACACCTGCATTCCAGCAGGGCGCTGCCAGGGATGAATGGGCTCACCTGTTCCCCTCAGCCCTGCAGGCAGTCTTTCCACAGGGTCCTGGGAGACAGTGCACTGGCAGATGGGCTGTTGCTGGCTCCAGAAACTCTCCTTTTCCAAGCCAGGAGAGAGAAAGCCCAGGGAGAAAAGTCTCCCTTCCGGACCTCAGGAGCCTCCTCATTACACTGTCTCATTTCCTCTGGAGAGTGACGGACATAATTGGATCAAATGGAAATGTAAGCCAGCCTCCTTCCCCCTCCCGGATGAGATACTTCCAATATGGCTTCATTACCAAGTCTATTGTAAATAACTGTGGAGAAAAATGCCATTTGTTCTGCCATAATTGCCTGATGAGCATCAGTAGATGGGTCTTTGAAACACATAGAATGAAATCATTTTGGGCTGGTTTAGAAATTCCTTTGTGCAAATCTTTCTCCATTCACTGTTCTCCATGGTGGGGGTTCTGAAGAGGGTCTTCTAGAGCAAGGAGCCAGTTAGGAGCTTGGAGGCTGATTCTGGCCAGGGACACACTTACTTGGAGTATTCAGCCAATATTTGTTAACTGCTGTCAACTAAAGAAAAAAAACGAAGCTTTTAAAGAATTAAAGTTAGTTTTATTTAGAAGTCTTCTTGAGGATTATAGACCAAGGCCTGTAGCCTGGGAGGAGGCTTTTAGAAAGGTTCTCTCAGACTCCTCCAACGTAGTATTTTAGTTTATACATAGGTGGTGAAGATTTAGTATGTGAAAAATTACATCAAGGTTTGGGTGTTAGAGTACATCTGGTTATAGATTACAGAAACATAGTCACTATTCTTGTCGGGTGTTATTTTATGAGTAGAGAAAGGCGAGGACTAGGGTCATTTATCTTTGATGGAATTAGTGACTCAGGCGAGAGACATGGGGGGCCATGCGTTCTATCCTGTTTTGCCTTTAAAACATTTTTCCAGAGAGCTGCACAGTGTCCCGGAGTCAGGGGCTTTGTGAAATTCTCCCAGCAAAGGGAAATGGGCAAACACGGCCTCTTACATTTGCCACTTTGTTTCACGAAGTTTTTGGTCATAAATTGTTTGGTTGTGTTGGTAAGAATTAATGTTGATTGCCATCTGTAGTTAGAAGGGCTCTTGTTTAGGAAGGTTGGTAATTTTTAGTTGTAGTTGTATCAGACCTAGTGTGTTTTTTAGCCTTTTCTTGGAAAATATGTTTTGGACTGAGTTTAGTTCTCATTAGTAGGATGCAGGGGGTTTTTGATGGTGTCTTTTTTTTGTATTTAATACAATATTTTAATAGGATTATTATGAGGATATTATAGATTCTATACAGTAATACAGACTTCATAGTAATAAAGTCTGTTGTAGACTGGAAAAAATATGATATTTAATAAAATTGGAATATATATTTGTATACTTTTAATTGTATTATTTTTTATACTTATATTTATTGGAGTCTTTTTTATGAAAAGCAATGTTGGACTAGAATTTATTGTAAATGCCTTTATAGAAGAATTTAGAATAATAATTCTAAATAAGTGAGAAAAATAGAATAATCCCAGTTAAAATTTGATAAAGGTTTTTGATTTTTTTTTTTTTTTGACATGGAGTCTCGCTTTGTCGCCCAGATTAGAGTGCAGTGGCACGATCTCGGCTCACTGCAACCTCTGCCTCCCAGCTTCAAGCAATTCTCCTGTCTCCACCTCCTGAGTAGCTGGAATTACAGGCATGTACCACCACGCCTGGCTAATTTTTGTATTTTTAGTAAAGATGGGGTTTCACAATGTTGGCCAGGCTGGTCTTGAATTTAGTTATTTTATTATATGTAGTATTTTAACATGATAACCAGAATTATGGCTGACAGTGTTATATCAGAACTACTAGACTTTTATACATTTTACATATTTTTAGAATATTTATAAGATATTTATATAAATATAATTTTAGAAAAGATTTAATACAATAATAAAAATTATGACTCATAAAAATTGGTCTCATAGTGTCTTTTCTGTGTTGGACCAGGCTTTAGGTACTTGGGATATGGCGGTGAGTGAAACACAAAAAGATCCCTCCCCCACTGACTACTCTTTGCTGATAAGCTTGGAAGCAGCCTCAGAATGCATATCAACACCCACCTGGGGCAGCCCCTACCAATGGATCAGAGTTGGCCTGGCAGGGAGTAGAAACCTATTTGCTGTGTCTCTCTCTCTGTCTCTCTCTCTCCCTTTCCCCCTCCCTCTCTCCCTCCCCACTCCTTCTCTCTCTCTCTTTCTTTCCTTCTTTTTTTTTTTTTTTTTAATGAGATGGGGTCGTGTTGTGTTGTCCAGGCTGGTCTCAAACTCCTAGGCTCAAGAGATCCTCCCATCTCGGCCACCATTCCTGGCCCTATTTGCCACTTCCGACTTAGATTGTTATTAATTCCATTAACTAAGAAATTGCAGAATATCCAAGTAAACTAGGAATAATACCAGAAGAGGCAAAAAAAAAAAAAAAATCCCAGAAAGGGTGAGGCAGAGGTCCATAAAACATGGCAGGTTTTCAGAACAGTCTGGGTATGATTTAAACAACAACAAAAATAGCAGGTCAGAGCGTGGGCTTTGGAGTCAAGCAGACCTGCGTTTGGGCCCCAGTTCTGCTTCTTCCGGCTGTGCGAGGCCTTGGTCTGAGCTTTGCTTGCCTTCCTGGTGAAACGGGTATAATAATGATACAACTCTCCTAAGGTTGTTGTGAGGATTAAACAAGTCAGCATGTATGAAGGGCTTGGCACACTGTCCTGTTAGCTATGATCAGGACCGAACTTCACTTGTTACACGCTGGAGTGGATGCACCATTGTTTATAGCTGGTATCTGTTCTGACTGGATGTGCTTGTGTTATCACAGTTGTTACATATTTTGAACATTACCCTTATGTGAATATTAATTTTATTTAGGGGGCTGGTCTCCTTATGGGAGACAACTTCAGAACTCTGGTGGTTAAAATAGATATAAACTGGCCAGGCACAGTGGCTCACACCTGTAATCCCAGCACTTTGAAAGGCCGAGGTGGGTGGATCACCTGAGGTCAGGGGGTCAAGACCAGCCTGGTCAACATGTCGAAACCCTATCTCTACATTAGCTGGGCGTGGTGGTGGGCGCCTGTAGTCCCAGCTACTCAGGAGGCTGAGGCAGGAGAATCACTTGAACCCAGGAGGTGGAGGCTGCAGTGAGCCAAGATCGCACTACTGCACTCCAGCCTGGGCAGCAGAGTGAAACTCCATCTCAAAAAAAAAAAAACAAAAGAAAAGAAAAGAAAAAAAAAGGATATAAACTGCTTTTCAAACCTAAATAACATCAAAAGAATTGTAGGTTTTTTTTTTTTTTGGGCTAATCAAGAATTTATGTTCTCCAGTTCTGAACTACTCAACCACTGTTGCAGATAATAATATTAATGTATTGATAATAATCTTTAGGATAATTTATTAAGAAGCACCTAATAAGCATGGTCTCACTTAATCCTCTCAACAACTCTGTGAGGATTAACGTTTCATTAAACCCACTTTATGGAAGTAGAAACCAAGGCTCAGTGAGGTGAGGATTCCTTGCCCAAGATCACACAGCTGGCAGGACACGGCAGAGCTAGGATCTGATCGTGGCACTCTGGCACCAATACCAAAGCCTTAATTCACTGTGCCTGACAATGGTCCTTTGCACTGAAAGTTGAGGCCCGATGAGGGGGCATCAGAGTTGTGTGTTCACAGGGGTCAGATCAGTAATGGTGCTATCTGTCCCTTGTGGGCTGGGGATATGCCTTAGCCAGGGGTCTAAGCTGTTAGAAGCTGACTCTGACAGGCCACAAGGGCATGGGACAAGCTAACCCTCCCCTCAGAAGGTCCAAGCTTTCACTTGAGAACAAGACAGACTCCCACAAATAAAGTGGAGAATGTAGCCTTGGAAGTTTGGGTGCTTAATTAGTTATTAGTTAACTAGTAACTCCTTTACCACTACTGTCAGAAAGCTTCCAGAGTCCATAGGCTGGTCAAGTAGGTTACAGTAAATATTTACTCACCGAAACTTTAACAATTTCTACCAATTATTAATTGCTGGTCATGTTCCCAGGTTGTATGCTAAGCACTTTCTAGACATGATCTCATTTAATCTTCACGATAGCTCTGTAAGCTAGGTAGTATTATTATTCCCTTATTTCAGATGAGGAAAGAAAGCTCGGGGGGGTGATCTAACTTGCCCAAAGTCAGATAGCTCCTGATGATGGAGCTGGGATCTGAATCCAGGCCTTTGTAACTTTACAACTGGAGCTTATGCTCACTGGTCTTTGTCAAACTCCTAGAGCAACAGGTACAAAGGGAAAACTTGGGGTGACTGAGAGGACTCCTCTAGGCCTACGTATCCTGTTTGGCCTTCCTAGCTTCTCTGGCCCACTGCTTATTTGCTGGACATCTCAATCTCAGACCTGCCATCTGAGTAGAAGCAAGACCTTATTCCAACATCTTAAGAAGACACAAGGCAAATGCCAGTCAGAGCTGTGGTGAGGACCAGCCTTTGGCAGCTGGAGAGTACTCCCCTTCCCTCCCACACCCCCCCACCCCACAACAAAGAGTGGCCCATGAGCCCCTGTCTTCTTCACCTGATGGGCAGAAGGGCTACAGAACCCTGAGGCCTCCAGTCTTTCCAAGCTCAGGCAGAAGCTGAGACACCTACTGGGACAGGCACTCAGGAGGCTGTGCCAAGAACGGGGCGTCTGGAGAGCTGGCTCACCTTGAAGGAGATTTCATACTGCTCCCCTCCCCAGATCTCCAAGCCTGGGTCATACCCGCCGAGTTCCCAGAACCACTTCCGATCCACGGCGAACAGTCCACCGGCCATCACGGGAGACCTGTCAGAGAAGAAGAACATGGTGTGAAGGTGCAGATGTCCTGGCCACATGCTCTCATGTGGCCCGATAATGCCATTCCCCCAGCGGCGGTGTTCCATGCTGCTCCCTGAACACAGTCCAAGTGTCTTCCAGGGAATCCAAGGCCCTTCCAGGCATCCCCCTTTCTTTCCTACAACTTCCTTTCATAAGAGCTACATTTTAACCAAATGGGACCCGAAGTTCCTTTACACAATTAACACCTAAGAGTACTTGTGAAATGAAATCACAGTACTTTGTCCACATGGGCCCTGTAGCTGCATCATAAATATGTACATGTTAGTCCTCTCACTAGTTAAATGGTCCAAGTTGGGGGTCTCTCCAAGCCTGTCTGTGTTGTAGAATCTCTTAGAGAGATGAAAAAATATACAGCTCGCTGGGCCCCACCTCAGACCTGCTGAAACAATCCTTGCGGGAGGCAGCCTAGGGCTCTGTGTTTTTGAACATGCTCCTTTGACAACTATTACTCAGTAGGCCAGCATGGACGTTTGTTCTGCTGTGGTGTTTACAGAAGAAGCCACTGTCTCTGTCTTTTCAGTTAAACTGGGAGATAAGATTAACTCCATTCATTCATTCTCTAATGAGTTTGTTCATCCCATGCCAGTTGTGAGGGAGGTGCTGGAAGAATCTCGAGGTCAATGAGAGTCCTTCAGGAGATGTTGGTGTAGTGGGGCAGCCCCCTCAAGACAGAGGGTGCATAAGGGACTCCGGGAGGTAGAGACAGCATTACAGGAATCTGAAAGGAGTGTGTCTGTTTCCAGCTTTTGGGGTAAGGAGGATGGCTGGGGCAAGGGTCAAGGAATGAGGCTCAGGGGAGGTGGCATTTAAGTGGGTTTGGACAAGAGGAAATTTGGGAGAGGGAAAGGCACTGAGGGGAGGATAAAACGTCAGCAAGGACACAGAGACGACAAATCATGCAGTACCCACGGGAACAGGAAGTCCGCCTGGCACCGTGCTAAGTGAGGAAACGTCATGCTGCTGACTGTCAGCGTCCCCCAGGGTATCTCGCACAAGACTGGCACCTGGTAGGGGCCAACCAGCGTTTGCTGTGTGAAAAGCTATCAGAGTGGCTGCATCCTTGTCTGGATGCACTGGAAAACTCCAAACCCTCAAATCCAAACATTCCAGCAGCAACCTCCATTCCCCCTCCTGGTCCCTGGAAGTGCAAGCTCATGGGAAGTAGGCTGATCGAATAAGCTCTTAGTCAACCCAAAAGCTGCCCAAGCAGCTCCTCCTTCCAGTAGCAGATGAGCCTTTACAGCACAGGCAGGACTCCTTTAAAAGGGGAGCCCCTGAATATTTACTGAGGGCTTGAATATGCCGGGTGCTGTACGGAGCTAATTTATTAATAAAATGAATTTACTCTTCACCTCGACCTCATGTGGCAGGCCTCATTATCATCACCATTTTACACATGTAAAACTGGAGTGCAGACAGGGAACTTGCTCAAGGCCCCATGGCTAAAAAGCAGCACTGCTGGGATGTGAATCTCTAATCTAAGCCACAGTTCACACCCCTCGCCACCACAATATACTGCCTCCAGGCAGGCAGGAACACTCGAGAAGCAGGTGATGCATGCAAAGAACAGGGCGTGAGAAATTCGGAACCCTCACTCTCATTTCTGCTTTCCTTAACCTGCTGTGTGACCTGAGATGCAGCGTTTAACCATTAACCCTGTGCTACCCAGGAAGGAAGCCACTGGCCACAGGTGATGACTCTGCACTTAAAATGTGACTGGTATGAACTGACATGTGCTGTGAGTGTGAGATACACACCAGATTTCCAAGACTTAGGATGAAAAGAGTATGAAAGAACTCATTAATAATTTTAAAGTGTTGGTTACATGTTAAAACGATAATATTTGAGGTATACTGGTTTAAATAAGATACATTATTAAGATGAATTTTACCTGTTTCTCTTTACCTTAGAAAATAATATCACATATGCAGCTTGTATTATATTGGACAGTGCTGATTTAACCTCTTTGAGCCCTATTCCCCATCTAAACAATGGAGTGATAGCTATACTTCCTATCCCACGTTGCTAGTGATACGGTTGGCTACGTCCCCACCCAAATCTTATCTTGAACTGTAGTTACCGTAATCCCCAGGTGTCATAGGAGAGACCTGGTGGGAGGTAATGGAATCATGGGGGCAGTTACCCCCATGCTGCTGTTCTCATGATAGTGAGTGAGTTCTCATGAGATCTGATGGTTTTATAAGGGGCTTTTTCCTCTTTGCTCAGCACTTCTCTCTCCTGCCGCCTTGTGAAGAAGGATGTGTTTGCTTCCCCCTCTGCCATGACTGTAAGTTTCTTGAGGCCTCCCCAGCCATGTGGAACTGTGAGTCAGTTGAACTTCTTTTCTTTATAAATTACCCAGTCTCAGGCAGTTCTTTATAGCAGTGTGAGAATGGATTAATACAGCTAGAATATTTCTAAAAGTACCCAGTACTATAAGAAAATAAGGTGTTATTAGTATTGGCTCCCCTTTGTCTTCTGGAGATTGAGGGGGTCCTGGTTTTTTTTGGCTGGAGCCACAAATCTACCGCTTGGAAAGGCTGACAGTGTTTCTGACTTGGTGCTTCATGGGAGACTGAACTCAAGGCTTTGCACATGAAAATCAGCCTCGGTCAAAGCAGGGGCCGGGGCTGAGGGGCTGCATGGAATAGGCAGGATATCAGCTCTAAGGCATTTGGGATGCTCGAGGCTTTGCCTCCAGAGAGAGGCCTCTCTGCCCAGCCTGTTCTGGTTTCTGCTGTGTTTGGCAATACTAGTAACAATTCTGAGTGTCCAGTGTGTGCTACTTACTTTACTGACACCATCTCCAGCTCTCACAAAGCTCTAATATTAGTCTCCTTTACAGACGGAGATATTTGAAAATCAGAAATGTTAAATAATCTGCTCATAGTGAGTGGATAAGCTATTACTGAAAGTGGGGTCTGCCACTGAAACCATGTCTTTTAAACATCCTTGCACCATGCTGTGCCTGTAGATTGCCCACTTGCTGGGCACTCTACCATCAAGTGGGAAGGTGGGAAGCTGTACAGAAAATGACCAGAATTTCTCTAGTGGCCACTTCCTAGGGTTCTGTCCAAGTAAAAAGCAGAAGAGAGACTTCTGGAAGGAATCATGGGAGAGGATGGAGGGCCCTTCAGAAAGCATCTACACCAGTGACTGCCAACCATGGCCACACATAAGCATCACCTGGGAGCTTTAAAAAATGATGATACCTGCATCCCACCCCCAGACTCCAGTGTAACTGCTCTTGAGGGAAGCCTTTGTGTTTTTACAAGCTCCCCAGGTGATGTCAATGTGTGGCTAGGGTCAAGAGCCAGTGCTCTCTGGTGAGGCCAATCACTTCAATATCCAGATGAGGAGACTGAAGCCCCAGAAGACACTAGCTGGGCCTTTGCTACTAGCCAGCTGTATGACCTGGTCTTAGCCTTTCCTTACTGTGCAATGAGGATAACGATGGGCCAAGACCTGTCCTTAAGTACCTTTCAATGAGTCTGCTCATTGCAAAGGTTCAAACAATAAAGGAGGTTCTAATTACCCCCTTGGTTACCCTGAAAATTCCATTTTCTGGAGCAGCCTATTCTAACCTCAGCTTCTGCAGTCATGTCAACTAGGACAAGTCTTGTTTCCTCTCTGAACCTCAAGGCCTCCATCAGTCAAATGAGGGTAATTCTACCTAGACCTGAGGATCCTACATTATTATAAGGATCATGCACAATAATGGTCAGTAGAAATTGCTTTGCCAACACAGGCCAAATGTTAGTTACTCCTGGTGTTGGTATTATTCTACAAGGATTTAGGTCAACTGAGGATTGATTCTGAGGTACACAGAAGGTGGGGCAGACTGCATAATGTGATCATGGCTAAATCATATCTTTGGACCAGGAAGGGATCTAATAGTAGTGATCAACTGTGTTCAAGAGGCCAAGAGAAGACCACAAATGTTTGACCTGCTGCTGGAGACATGGAATCCATTCTTGCTCTCCACTCTTGGCTCAGGCTGGTCCATTGTCCTGGCCACCTTTCATTTCCTCAAAGAACCCAACTCTTTCTACCTCTGAGCCTGCCCTGGGGCTCATAGTGTTAGGGGTTCCTCTCAGGAGCCCTGGGTATGCACCATGCCCATGAAGATGGCTGAGCTTCCAACAGTCCTGCTTCTCAGATGGGGAGAGTAAGGCATAGAGAAATGTGGTTCACTGAAGGCCAAACTGTGGTGAGAGGTACGACTCCCCAGTTATGGCAGTGTCTGAATCTCCGGAACCTGTGAATATGTTACCTTATGTGGCAAAAGAGACTTCGCAGATGTGATTAAGGTTAAGGATCTTGTGGTGGGGAGGTTATCTTGGCGAGCCTGATGGAATCACATATCATTAATGTAATCACAGGGCTTATAAGTGAAAGAAGGAGGCAGGAAAGTCAGAGTCAGAAGGAGATGTGATGAAGGAAGCAGAGGTATGAAGGAAAGCAAGGAGAAGGAAACAGAGATCTGAAGATTCTATCCTTCTGGCTTTAAAGTTGGAGGCAGGGGCCATGAGCCAAGGAATGTAAGCATCCTCTAGAAGCCAGGAAAGGTAGGGAAATGGATTCTTCCCAAGGCATCCAGAGGGAATGCAGCCCTGCCGACACTATGATTTTAGCCCAGTAAGACTCATTTCAGGCTTCTGACCTCCAGAGTTTTAAGCATAAATTTGTGTTGTTTTAACCTTCTAAGTTTATAGTAATTTATCACAGCAGCTATAGGAAACTAATACAGCGGGAGAGCTTGGGCTTCGGCTTTGTATCCAGAGATCTTTTCCACACGTGTCGCAGGAGAACTGGAACAGCTCACAGGACAGCTGCAGGGACAGTGAGCCTACTGTTGGGGAGAAGCCCCTTCCAGAGCTTGGAGCACCAGAGAGGGGCTGGGCTCTATTTCTGTCTTAGCCACTCACAGAGCTCCTCCTTCTGGAGCCTTAGTCCCTCATCTGCAAGGGGCTGAGTTCTTCACTGGTAGGTTCCTTCCAGCCTTCACATTCTAGGATGCTGTGAGTCCAGCCCATCACCCTCCCCTAGCCTGCAAACTTCTGCTGTGGGACAAACTGCTATTTTCCTTACACTTCCAAGTGGGTATAGCAGTACGATGGGAAAATTGGCTCCAGAGGCAGACAGACAGACCTGCATTTGTACCTAGTAACCTGGGCAAATTACTTAGCCTCTTGGAGCATTGGTGTCCCCATTTGGAAAACATGGATAATAATTTTTACCATATATAGTTGTAGGGGGTTAAATTGGATCAGAGGGTAATGTGCTTAGTACTGGGCTGGGCACTTGGTGACGATGATGGTTATAATTGCATGGCAGGCTTGAGGAAGAGAGCATGAGAGACCCACTCACCCCTGCTGACAATCCTGGCAAACTGTGCAGAAGTGGGCAAGGTGGAGACCAGCCTGGTGGGCCATGAGCTGAGGTTGTTACAAGCTGGGAGGGATGGTGCTACTGGCTGGGGATATCTGACACTTGGTACTAAGTGGGGCTGGGAAGCTGGACCCTCTGCATTGGGCTTTTAAGGGAGATGGCGATCCTGAGTTGTGTGCGTGTTGGGAGTGGTCACTGGGTAGCCACTGGGACCAGCCAGGGTTGTTCATACTTACTCAAATGGGTCGCTGGGGTCAGCTTTCTGCAGTTCTGGAGGGATCGGGATCCGCTTGTAGTACATCTCCCAGTCAAAGGCTCCCCGCATGGCATCCCCTGCCTGTGTCTCGTACCGAAAGTCGTCATGGTCAATTACATCAATCATCGGGCACACAATGGTCTTGCGGTTCCGAGCAATGCGGTCTGAAGAAGCCAAGAGATGCCTATCAGATGAAGCAGGATGGGGAAGCAGCTAAGTGCACCATCCTGTTCTGCAGCTTACTTGTATTTTTAACATCTCTGAACCCTCAGTTTGACAATCCATGGAGGGGAAGGGAGACTGCAAGCTTTAAGCAAGAGGGACCGAGGCTCTCATCTCAGTCCTTTTACTCTCCATGGGGCCCTGAGGCAGCTGCACAAATAATATCTCCAAACCCCAGTGTTCTCCTCTATGCAATGGGTTAAGAAGAGGCTCTGCCTCATAGGTTATGAGGACTGAACACAGTATGTTTGAAAATGCTTAGCATACGTGCCTTATTATTAGCATAATGATCAGTACCACTATGGAAAAAGATTGATTTCCTTCTGGGAAGGCCCCTGCTCTAGTCCTGCGAGGCTCCTCATTCCAAGTCCTGAGCTTGATTTACGGCCCAAAGCAGTAGGCACCCCAGCACTTTCCTTCATAGCAGACTATGTGCCCCTAACAGCTCACTGGCACCCTAGGCTGTAATCAGTGAGCAAACGGCCCTCCTTGCAAGAATTCAGCTCAACTCTTTCAATCATCGGAACTATGGATGGGGGAATGAACTGCCCCAGGAAGTTTGAGTTCCTCAAGACTGGAGGTATGTAAGCAGAGCCTGGTGGACCAACACCCTGCAGGGATGCCATAGGCTGGGTGATTCCAAAGGCAAATGGGGGGTCTTGACTTAGATGGCTTATGGTCCCTTTTAGGCCTGGGAGAAGCTGATTCTAGAAAATCGAGTCTGTCCAACCTACCAACACAATTCCAGCTTTGGTTTGCTCTGCCCTTCTTCTTTGTGCCAAGAAGCCCTGACCACAGCTGGGGGGTAACAGTGAGCTACTGGGTCAGACAATCTGCTGTGGGAGACAAGTGGGCTGTGCTCAATGCCTGGTTGCTTTGGGCCAGAAGTCAAATTCGAGGCTCAGAAATGGGAGCCTGGTAGGGCCAGGGCAGCCAGCAGCTGCCTGGGGCCCAAGCTTCCTTCATCAAGTGATAGCACATTTTTCTTCCAGGAAAGAAAACAGCATTTTTGCTTTTTCCTAAACTGCAAGGCACGGTCCATAGGTGGGGTCATGAAATTGATTGTAAGTGCATTTGTAATGAACCAAAAAACAATACTAAATATCAGGCTGCATTTCAGGTGATAAGGGATACTGTGACAGGTGATACTCTTTCAGGAACATGTTTCAGTCATACTGCATGAGTGTGTTCATCTGTGTACTGGATTGAGATGCCCAAGGTAGTTCTTACTGGGGCACATGGTTTAAAGAGTTTGAGAAATACTGTTTTTGGCAGTATACCCCCACATGTGGATCAGGGGCCATCAGTGCCAGATGCACCTGGGGGTGTGTTTAAAAAACTCACGTGCCCGCCCCCGACCCAGGCCCATTGAATCAGAATCTCTGGAGGTTGACTTGGATTTGCCTTGTGGACAGATTCCCTGGGGATTCTTAATGAAGCTTAAGAATCTCCTCTAGAGAAAGATTTAGAGTAGGGCCTCCCATTTAATTGTTCATGGCCGTTCAGCGGACTTCATGTCCAAGGAGGGCTGGGGCTGAGGACACAGTGCCCTGCTGGCTGCTGGCTGATTGTGGGAGGCATGAGGTCAAGGTAGCTTCGGAAGGCAGTGTTCTAAGGCACTGTGCCCACCTGGGGACAGAATGCCCAGGTTCAAATCCTGGTTGGTTTTTTCACCTCTTAGCAGTATAATCTTCGATAAGACTATCTGATGTCTCTGAGCCTCTGTTTCCTTGCTGACAAAGGGGAGGAAGACAGCACCTATCTCATGGGGCCTCTGTGAGGTCCAAGTGGGATGATGGAGCCACGGCACTCAGTGCAGCCTCTGGCACATAGTCAGCACTCAGCGACACTCTCCATGACCAGGATTACTGAGGGCAGCTCAGAAGTGGGAGTGGAAGGCTGAGCATCTCCCTCACTCTGTGCCTCTCAGTTTTCTCGTTTGCAAAAAGTGGATAATGATGCCTGGTCTGCCTGCCTTACCAGGCAATGGTCAAATTCAAATGTTAATGTGGCTGAGAAAGTGAAGGGGTTATGAGAGCCGTGATAATGATGATGATGATGATGATGATGATAAAAAAGGAAATGATGATCAACAGTGGCTTCCCATAGGGAGGATGAATCCTTCTCAGTCTCAGAAATGTGTGTTCTCCAAAGGAGGCAGAGTGAGCTATGCATGGAGGTGTTAATGGTTTCACAGACAAAAGCCATGATGCGCTCTGTCAGCTGCTGACATTAGCAGGGACAGACTTTTAAATCTACATCACTGGTTCACATTTCTATTGGAAGAAGCAAAAAACAAAACAACAACAACAAAAACCAACAAGGGGATGTTTCTTCCATGTATGTCTGCAGATTATGAAAACTGCCCTCATATATTTCCATAGAAACAGAGTTAAGGGCTATTTAGACTACAAGCTCAGCTTCGAGCCCCACCACTTCATTCTCTTTATGAGTCACTGAATGACCCTACAAATGGGTTGTTCCTTCAGGACTATAAATTAGGCAATTTATGGTGAGGCTTTTTTCTTTTTTTTTTTCTTTCAGTAATGAGAGGTAAATGCAGAATATCTCTTGGTTTAATTAAATAAACAGTTTACCAGAAATTCTGGGTTATATCCTTTCTCCAGCCCAGTGAGATCGTAGACCCTTGGGGTCAGAAGCACAGAATCTAATAAGAAAGTTCCTTGCTGATCTGTGTTACAGATTTGCGGGATTATCTTTCTGTGTGTTTGTGTGGGTTCTGCTTTCTGTCCTCTCCCCTGAATGGTGGCATTCCCTAACCAGTGCTTCTCAAAGTGTGGTCCCTGGACCAGCAACACTGGCATCACTGGAAGCTGGGTAGACATGCAACTTGTGAGGCTCCACCCCGGGCCTCCTGGATCAGAAATTGTGGATAGGGGCCAGCATCTGTGTTTTCACAGTCTTTCAGGTGATTCTGATGCACGCTCAAGTTTGCCCTAAACTTCAGTTCTCTTTGCTCCCTAAGCATTCTGTAGTGCAGAGCTTACCCATCCTTTCTTAAGTTCATTTTTCTCTCCAGAATGATGACTCTTCCCCAGTCTGCCTCCAGCCCTGGCTGTGTCCCTCACCTGACTCCCAGTCTCAACAGGACAGTTCCTCTTCCATGTCTGCCTCTCAGCACCAGCACACTGCCCTCATCAAAACCGAACTCCTCAAGATTCAGGCCTGATTCAGGCATGTTTCACCCAGCCTCCAGTCTTCCCATCTCCCTCCTCTCTGTAGGCTGTGGTGGAGGGCTAGTGGATCACGCTGCCCTCTCTACAGCCCTTCCCTGATATCTGCCAGGAACTCTTATTTAAAAGGAAGTGAATACAGGGAGGCAATGTAGAACTGCGAAGGAGAATAGACTTTGGAGCCCGACAGATGGTGACTTTGACACTTATGGCTCAAGGGGACAAGTGAGTCTTCAGTATCTCAGAATCTTAGTTTGTTTTACTACATAAGGGGTATACTTTTGACCTGCATGGTTTTGTGAGAATTAGATAATGCTTATAACTGCCTGGCTCACAGTGGCAGCACAGTCTATGGTAACTCTTCTAAGTTGATATGATGATGTCCCCCACAGTTTGGCTATTAACAGCAAACAGCACGGGCTTGCTTTGCAATAAAATGAAGTCATCTGAGGAAAGCCGTCATGTCACTAGATGCTCATGTGCTGTGTGACTTTGGGTAAGTCACTTCGCCTCTCTGAGTCTTAACTTCTCTGTGAAATGAAGGGACAGGACTGGCTGGATTTTAATTTTGAGCACTCCTGAACTTCTGAATCCCTCATGGCACCTGGCATTGTGCTGGGGGCATCTCGAACAGGCAAGGGAAGGCTTATGGATGGCTCCCTGCAGCAGGAGGGGGCCACTGGCACTGGCTCATTGCAGTTTGCCTCCCTCCAAGTGGGAGGGGCTCCCTTACCAAGCAAGGGGGGAAGCCAGTTGACATTGGCTTCACAGTGTGAATCCAAGAATGTGATGACATCCCCAGTTGCCACTGAGGCCCCCAGCATTCGGGTCCTTATCAGCCCTTCCCGTTTCTTGGTTCGAAGAATCCTCACACTGGGGAAAAGGGCCATGTAGTCTTCAAGAGGCTTCTTCAGGTGCTCTATGAGACAGAAGAGGACAGAAGAGTGAGAACAGTTGCTTAGTAGTCATCCTTATGACTCCTCCCTTACATGTGAACTGCACTTCACAGTCTAGACACAGCTTTCCTGTACACTGCCTCACTAGACCTTTCAGACAGGGAGAAGAAGGGCAGTGTTCTCATCACCTGTGTACTACAGATGGAGAAATTAAGGCTTAAAGAGGTCCAGTGAAGGTGCCACGACCTGGAACAGAGAGAGATCTTCTGTCCAAGGGTGTGAACATTTGTGGTTTATGCCTGACTGGGAACCATTCCCTCATCTTCTGGTAACAATATTTTTATTTTTATCTGGGACACTGCCCCTTCCCTTCTCAGTCCATCAGACTTTGGTGGGGCTGACCCCATTCCCTGGGTCCAACATGTAGTATAGGCCTGACCAGTCAGGGCATTCCATTCCCTTGGCCACAGTGATTGTTTCAGGGATGGTCATGTGACCTTATTTGGCTCAAATAATGGGTCCTGAGAATATTCTGCAGCATTATTGAAAAATGAGGCCCTTTCCTTTTGCTAGCTGGTTGGCCCTAAGTTTGGAGCCACTCGTGACATCTTTGGTGAAATGAGGTGATGAGAGGTGGTAGGTGAATATGCTGAGACTGAAGCCAACCTGTAAAAATACGAGTCAAGACATGGATAGAGAGAGAAACATTGTCCTGATGACATTTCAGTTCCCTAGACTCACGTGCCTGAAGCAGACAGACTCCTAGATGCTCTTATTACACAAGACAGCAAATTCCTCTCCTTGCTTATCCTAATGTGGGCTGGATTTCTGCCCCAAGTCTGGATAAATTGTTTTGAATAAATATCAAAGACAGTCTCTTTCTCCTAAAAGTCTCAGCCTCAATGTTGGTGTCTCTTGATTTTAATCAGGCTTGGGGTCCTTTATGAAGACTCTAGGATGGCTGCAAAAGAAACCTACAGCATACATCATATTTAATGACGAAATGTGGAATGCTTTCCTCCTCTGATCAGGAGAAAAGCTGTATGCTTTCACAACATCTATTCAATATTGTACTAGAATTCCTAGCCAGTGTAACTGGTAAGAAAAAGAAAAGGCATAAGGATTAGACATACGGCCAGTAAATTCCTGGGTTTGCTGTGGAAACATGATGGTTTCCTTCTTCTAGCTGTGTTTCCCCAGTTTCTGACAATCATATACTACCATCTAGATTTTTGCCACATTCATCTACTTTACTACAATTTACTTAGTTGTTTTAAAAGTCAACTAAATTTTACAAGGTAAACTTTTTATTAACTTTATTTTAAAAGGAAACTTTAAACACCATAGATGAAAAATTGGTATCATTTCTAATAAAGAGCTAATAATTAAAAATCTCCAACAAATAAGAATTTGTTGTAAGATTTTAGATTTCTACCAGATACTCCTGCCTCTCCACAACTATGAGCTTAAAGTCTGCCCTCTCTTCATCAAGGAGGGAGCTGTGGAAAACCAACCAAGGCTCCTCATTTGAGGTGATCAGAAGAATGAAAAAGAATTGAAAAGAGAAGGCTTTCCCTCCACGTTATCCAGTGTTACTTTTAATGCAAAGTCTCTGAACCACCTGTAATATTTTAGGTGTGACTTAAACTCACTTCTGGGCCAGGCACTGTGCCTATAATCCCAGCACTTCAGGAGGCTGAGGTGGGGGGATCGCTTGAACCGGGTTGAGGCTGCAGTGAGCCATGATCGAGCCACTGCACTCCAGCCTGGATGACAGAGCAAGAACCTGTCTCAATGAATGAATGAATGAATGAGTGAAAAAAATGACTTTTGTGCTGGTACACTTAGGGAAACACTGCTTCCATCACTTTGATTTTTGTCACCAGGAACTTCATTGAGATGAAGTGTGTTTCGTGTTATGTTGTCTGGCATCTTGTAGGCAGGAGAAATTAGAATACAGAGAAAAGATGATCTACATACATACAACCAGAGGCTAGAAGGCTAAAAAATGCTCCAGGTCTTTTCTTGCTTGTGCACAAAGATTAATATGGCTTCCCTCGCCCTTTCCCACTTCTCTTTGGTACAGTGACTCTGTAGAAAGCAGAAATCAATTTGCCCTAATTGAGGGACTAAATCTTTCCAAAAGAGACTTTCTTGGGCAACAAGACAAGAAAGCAAGAGGCATGATCACACTCCAAATATGCTGCTGTTTGGTCAGGAACACTATGTTCGAAAAAAGAAAAAAATCCATAGTCATTGTTTGTGACCACCGCTTCTTCTTGGCTGGGTTCAACTGATAGGTCATTACAACGAGAATGAGATAATCTCCTGTACCACACACCACTACTCCCATCAGAGGGATAAATATCACCCTGGCCGGCTCTAATCATTGAGGCCCCTGCTTGGGCAAAGCCCCATCGCTAAATCACCCCGAATGCAGATGGCCACAGTCATTACAGAGTGACCAATTAAGGCCTTCTGACAGCTTGTGGTAAAGTCAGAGCAATTATTTAGGGGCAATTATGCTTCTCTTGTCCTTATTAGACAGCACATTTACACAAAATCGGGCCGTTGCCCTATTTTACCACACCATCTTCCTAGATGAGGACATTTCATAAAGGCATAGAGTTTTAGAGCTGGGGGGGACTTTAAATGAAGATGATGATGATTATGATGACAATTATAGGGAACAATTATAGAGCCCCTGCTTGCATGCGAAGCTCCCTATTTCATCTATATTATCTCTGACACCCACACCACCACCACAAACTGGCTACTATAGAAGGAGATGCCGAGGCTCAGAGTGGATGATACGAGCTGCTCAAGGAACATAGTTTATAAATGATGATGCCAAGGTCTAAGATTCACCCTGCTTGATTGTAAAAGAGCAGGCTCTTGCTACTGCACCAAACTTCATGTCTGCCTCGCTTTAGTTAGTCCCTTCATTCTACCCAGAGAAGAGCAGGGAGAGCCAGAGAAGTTAAATGTACCTAGAATCAAACAGTGGGTCCTTGACACAGCATGATTATAACCTAGCTCAGAGCTTTTTCCAGCCTCAGATTTACGCCAGCTTCATAAGCCCTAAGGCAGGGCTGACAACCTGCCTTCACCAAAGTGCCTACACTGATGGGTTTGGAAGGGACACCTAAAGCTCTGTTAAGAAAGATTCTGAGGCTGTATCCTGGCTCAGTATGAAAGTGTCAGGACTGAGAAGAGATGCCTCAGCGTCTGACACAGCATCCCTAATGCCACATACTCATCACCCCTATTCTAGGGGCTGCCCTGATTGTAAACAGCACAGAACTGTTTTTATCCTTATTACCCCTAATTTAATAATGACTCAGAGCCATCCAATAGACACCGAGGCTGATTCTGAAGGTGGGAAAGCCCATCATTGTAAGGCATTACACAGGTGTTAGATGAGCACTTATCAGAGCTGACAGATGGATTCTGTGGCACACACATCTGGTGCCCCACCCATACCCCCTCTCAGCATTTGGTCTCATGCCTGCCTGCCTGCAACCTGCCAGCATCTGCCATTCTGCCCCAGGGGCTGCCGAGGTCCATGTGTCGGACCTCGGCCAACAACCCCCGGAGCTCCCTCACCCCTCAGGTGGGATGACACTGAGCACATGCTCCATGCTGGCTCCCAGAATTCTCAGTGGACCATGCATAGCCGCCCGCAGTGCTGCCTGTCCTGCAGTGCTGCCTGTCACAGGCACTCTTCCTGGTGGCCCCTCTTTCTGTTCTTACTTATGTACTTTCTTGCTGATATTTCCTGGCATCTCCTCCCAAATAAACTATTTGCACTGTCCCAGGATCTGCTTCAGAAAACCCAAACTCAGATTCCAAGTAGCAGGCATGACTTAGAAGATCTCCAAAGCTGAATGCATGATTCCATGAAGCTCACAGTGATTACTTCAGCACAGCAACATGTAGTTCTTCGGTGCCCACTTTCTCCAAACAATGGCTAACACGTTTTTTAGTACTCACTCGAACCACAGCCCCAGAAGCTTTACACCTGTTTAATCCTTTAATATTCACAAAACCTCTATGATGCTAGTCACTAATTAGTACCCTCATTTTGCTGATGAGGAAACTGAGGGCACAGAGAGGTTAAGTAACTTTTCCAAGCTCCACACAGTAAGTGGCAGGTATTGGATTAAAACCCAGGCAATCTGGCTCCAGAGTCTGTAGTTTTCTTTGTTAAACTTTAAACATTAAGAATCACTGCAAACATATATTTAAAAAGTAGAATAGAATGATGAACCTTCCATAGACCCATCCTTTAGCTTTATGTCTCTTGTTTCATCTCTGTCCCTGCCCACGGGATGATTTGGAAGCGAATGGAGTCTGTACTTGTAACCACCAAGCTGTAAGAGAAGAGCCCAGGGGATTAACGGAGAAGGATGTAACAACTTCAACTTGTGTAACTCTTGTTCCTCTGCCAAGAACACTCCCAGTAAGTTATCTCAGTGTTGGGCAGGCAGTAACTTCTCAGGAAATACTTGATTATCCCAAGGACTCCTCAGAGCCAATGCAAGGAGAATGGGGCAGGCAGGTAACATCACTTCTGATATTACTGGAGAGAAAACTGAGACCTAGGGAAAGCCTTGCCCCAACTCTCTCAGCTGGTGAGGTCTGAGTGAGGCCAGAACTCAGGGCCCACGCTTCCCACAGTCCTCTCTCTACATGCTGCCCTGAGTGTGTGCACACGTGTGTGTGTGTGTGTGTGTACACACACACACACACACACACACACTGTGGTGTGTCTGGGGCCTCTGGCTCTCTTGATTCCTGTCTTAAAGTGGAGCCTCTCCCTCCTGTCTGGTCTGAAGGGTTCTTAGGACTCTGATGATGGTTCTACCGGGTGGACTGTGGCATAAGGAGGAGTTGTTGTGGCTTGAATCATGTCCCCCAAAAAGACATATTGAAGTCCTAACCCCTGGTTGTTGTGAATGTGGCTTTATTTGGAAACAGGGTCTTTGCAGATGTAGTTATGTTAAGACGGGGTCATACTGGATTAGGGTGGGCACTCATCCAATGGCTGGTATATTTTTAAGAAGAGAGAAATCTGGACCCAGACACACAGAGAGGATACTGTGTGATGATGGAGGCAGAGACTGGAGTAGTGAGTCTATGAGCCAAGGAATGCCAAGGCTTGCCAGCAATACCAGAAGCTGGGAACAGGCATGGAATCCTCCCGAGGACTTCAGAGACAGCATGGCACTGATTTTGGACTTGGAGGCTCCAGAACTGTGAGAGAATGAACTTCTGTTTTAAGCCATCCAGTTTTTGGTTCTCTGTTACAGCAGCCCTAGGAAACTAAGATAGGAGCAGTAAGATTCTCACACACTGGCACTGTGACAGTGACATGGCAGGAATACAGCCTGCTGGCAGCCTCTGCTGAGCCTGGTCTGGAGCACTGCACTCCACGGCCTACTGCACTGGCTAGGGCTCGCCCCTCTGTAGTCTAGTCTGTTTGTAGCAGTTCGAGCAGTCTTTAAAAGCAGCAGTACATTGCATCTTGTCACTCTTCCACTCTCCTGCTTAAATTTAAACCCTTCAATGGCTTCCCCTGGCTCTTGGAAGAAAGGTCATATGGCAAGGTGTGCACAGTCAGTCTCTGTTCCCTCTTCAGCCTCGTCTTGCCCCCTCCCTCAACGATGCTCCCTCCCTTACTATCTTATTTCTGGTGTTCAAAGGCCCCAGGATGTCTCCTTCAGCCTCAGGTTCTCTGCCCGTGCTCGTCCTTCTACCTGGATTGGTTGACATCCCAAAGCCTCCATACAATTCCTCCCAGTTAACTCCTGCTCATCCTTCAGATCCCAGTGCCAATTCAACTCCTTACAAAGCCTTTCCTGATGTACCCAAACCACAGCAGGTTCCTAGGTCAGCCCCTTGCAAAGGCCTGGAACTCATCCTTCAAGGCACTCAGCTCAGATTACCCTGCATATTTATGGAATTCCTCACTGTCTCTTTCACTCAACCCTAAGCTTATGAGGGCAAGTTCTGTGAATGCTCCTCTCACCAGGGTGTCCTCGTGCCTAGCACCCAAGCCAGAGGCGTCTGCGAACCTTCATCTCATCTGATTTTCACAACCCTGTGAGGGAAGCAGGTCCCAGTTCAACACCTTCACTTCAAGACAAGGTCCAGAAAACATTTCTTGTCCAAGGCTACACAGCTAACAAGTTATGTGCTGAAGATAGGACTCAGATATAGTTTGCTTCGTTCAGGAATCTTCACTACTCTGTGTAATCAGATCAATTCCCAAGTGGAATATTTCAGAGTTTCAATCTCTGATGCCACTGAGCCTTGCAGAAACAGCACTGAGGAGCGCCAAAAGTAGAAGAGCTCTACTGTCCCATGCTCTGGCAGGACGCAGAGCATCTGGGAGAGCACCCCATGGAGCAGCCCAAGAGGGAAGAAGAGGAGGAGCAGCAGAAGGGAAGCAGGGAGGGGGCCACCAACCAGATGAGTCAGCAGCATCACCAGCATTGGTTCTCTGGCTGCTGGGGTGCTGCTAACCTTGCAGAGGCTTGGACTGGCTCTGGGACCTGTAGGTGTCCCGGGTCTTGTCAAATCTTGGCTCTGCTTGGCTTCTGCTCTTAAAGCACCATAGTTCATCTGTTTCCTGGGATAGACTTATTCACTTGTAAATCTTGGTGTGTCACAAGGTACTGGCAATCCATTTGGAGAGAGAGGAGGGTACACGTTAGTAAACAGCATCATCTTTTATCCTGTTTTGATACTCCGGTGTTTCCAACCAAAGGAAATGTTAAGATGAGGTGGGCCCTCACCTTTATCATCGTCAAGATTTGTCAGGTGCTTACCACGTGCCTAGGCCCTGTTGCTGTCTATCATACACATTGCTTCATTTCATTCTTTTTGGGGTTTTTTTTGTTTGTTTTTGAGACGAGGTCTCACTTTGTCACCCAGGCTGGAGTGTAGTGGTGCCATCTCAGCTCACTGCAGCCTCCGCTTCCTGGGTTCAAGTGATTCTCCTGCCTCAGCCTCCTGAGTAGCTGGGATTACAGACCTGCATCACCATGCCTGGCTAATTTTTGTATTTTTTGTAGAGATGGGGTTTCGCCACGTCGGCCAGGCTGGTCTCGAACTTCTGATCTGAAGTGATCCACCCACTTCGGCCTCCCAAAGTGCTGGGATTACAGGCATGAGCCACTGTACCTGGCCTCATTTCATTCTTGTGACAACTCTCTTAGTGACCACTCTCTTGTGACAACTTTCTTAGACAAAGAGAAAATGAGTCTCATAGAAGTTTTGTGTGAATCTGTTTTCAGACAGCTGGTAGGTGACAGCCAGGAATCATAGCAGGTATTTCTGATTCCAAAGCTGTTATTATTAACCATGCAACTACACCACCTCTCAATGCCCTCAGTCTCTCTATTCTGCCTGGCAAATACCAGTTTCCAACCCTAGTCCTCTAGGATGTCTAAGGCTTTCCCTTGCTTGAAAAACTTATAGACAGGTAAATATAAACAGCAGGAAAATTAAAAAGACAAGTTGAGAAGGAAAGCTATGTTTATATCAGGACGGGTTTTGGCAGGTGAAATGCACAGGCATTTAAGCATCATTTACTGTTTGGAAAAGGGAAACAGATCAGCCCTTCAGGAAAGACATACTTTTTCTGGCTCAGAGCCCCAGGAGGAATTTTAGAGAGTGGCAGAGCTGAAAGGAAGCTCAGAGTTCAGCTAGAGGACCTTTGTTTTCCTTTGACATGAGTCCGCTTGTAAGACAATTTCAGGCATAATGGACACTTTTGATGAGCAGCTTGGAAAGCCGGCCATTTCTTTTTTTTCCCTTCCTTTCCTCCTCCTCTTCTTTTTGATAACAGCTTTACTGAGATATAATTCACATATTATGCAATTCACCCATTTAAAGCATACAATTCAATATCAACCAGCCATTTCTTGCACCATTGAAAGCAGAGAGCCGACTGAACCTCAGCGAGAGCATCTCTGCTGAGGAGAATTCAGTCCAGTTTAATCAAGAAAGCATTTCCTGAGCTCCTGCTGTGCCAGGATCTATGCTGGGTACATTCCTTTCTGGTGATCTCACACAGTGGTTTTCAAAGTGTGAGTCCAGACCAGATGCATCAGCATTATTTGGGAATTTAGTAGAAATGTCCATTCTTAGGCCTCACCTTAAACCTACTGAAGCAGATGGGTGGGGCCCACTGAGCCGGATTTTAACAAGCCTTCCCTGTGATTCCTAGGCATGCTAAAGGTTTGAGGATCAGATCACTGGTGTGACATAATGCCGAAGGTGAGTTTAGAAAAATCAACCTAGGCCATCTTGATCATATTAGGAACTCTAAATGATCAAAACCAGAATCCCATGTTTCCTGCTAGAATAATAGAAAAATGAAGTTCTTCTTTTTGTTTTTTTTGAGACTGAGTCTCTCTCTTTTTTTTTTTTTTTGAGACGGAGTCTTGCTCTGTCACCCAGGCTGGAGTGCAGGGGCGCGATCTCGGCTCACTGCAACCTCCGCCTCCTGGGTTCATGCCATTCTCCTGCCTCAGCCTCCTGAGTAGCGGGGACTACAGGTGCCCGCCACCACTCCCAGCTAATTTTGTTTTTGTATTTTCAGTAGAGACGAGGTTTCAACATGTTAGCCAGGATGGTCTTGATCTCACGACCTCATGATCCGCCCACCTCGGCCTCCCAAAGTGCTGGGATTACAGGTGTGAGCCACTGTGCCTGGCCAAAACTGAAGTTCTTTAAGGAATCCAAGACTATTCTGCCCCCTACCCCAGCAAACCTGCGAGCGGGTGGGTGCTGGCTTGGGTGCCCTCCCATCCCTCCTCCTGTCTCTGAGCACAGCCCTCAGATTCACACTGGTCCCCACCTAGCCTGGCTGCTCTGTTTCCGTCCTCTCACCTTCAAGTGAGAAAAGGTCTGACAAATGAACACATATCCCAATAGGGCTCACAGCAAAGGTTCTCAAACCTCAGCCCCAAGAACCCCCAGGGAAACTGGTTTCCACACAGATGCTGAGGTAGTCTCACAGATTCTGATTCTACATGTCTGGGAACAGTGGCTTTCAAACCTTTGACTGTGACTCATAGAAAGAAATACATTTTACATCATGACCTGAAACAAATATATACAAAAGTATACACACACATATAACTGAAATACAAGGTGTGATTCACTGGGATACATTTATTTTTTTCTATTCTATCCTCTTGTATTCTATTTTTGTTAAAATCCTGGACATGATGACCCTGTAAACTGATTTTATGACCTTCCAATGAGTCTACTCCTACCATCTGAAAAACCCTGGCCTAGGGCACAGCCTGGAACCTATAATGTTAAAAGGTGGCCCACTTGATCCTGAGACAGGTGGTCCTCTGCCACGGCCCCTGACCCAAGGCTAGTACTCTGCATGACATACCATGGTTACTATTGCTATTGTTACTAGCCTTCTGAGAATGGACAACAATGTGCCCAGGGTTTTATACACAGGACTATCATTGCATTGCTTACCTCAATAGATCATTACCAGAATCATTTTCTGTTGACTTGAGATCTCTGAAGTACCAATAGGTGGAGGAAGAGGTTATTCCCAAATAGCCAATTTCCTTCTCCCAAAGACTCCAGAGGGCCTTTTTTAGTTGTCTTTCCTACCACCATAAGAGTTGCCAGGAAAAGGTGTGTATTGGAGCTTTTGGTATCTATGGGCCTATTGTCTCAGCAGCTGGAAAACATCAAGGACACAGCAGATCTGAGGGAATTGGACCTAACCCCCTTAGTCAAAGACCAACATAGCTCCAACATCCGGCTGACTCACTCACCCTCTAATTCAGGGGTTTTCTTTTTCTTTTTTAAAATTTTTATTTTTACCTCGTAGCTCCAGTTTAAAGGAAAATTCAGGGGTTTTCAACCTTCTCCAACTCAATGCCCCTTTATGAAACAGCTGTTTTATATGGCACCCTTTAATACCTTAAAATAAAATTAATATGTAGTATAACCTGCCTAACACCCATTTCCAAAAATTCTAATAATGTTCCAATTGTGATGTAAAGGAGAAATAATAAAATAATATGTGTTTCAACATAAATGCTTAGGCTGACTACAAGAAGACAGAGAAGAAGCCAAATGCTCACACTTGTAAGTGCCATATATTGGACTGCATATTATTTTACCTAACAGACAGGGCTGGCAACTCAAGTGCCCTAAGCAGCACTGCTGTTGATGACATGATTGTCTAAAACAGCAAACAACTGCTGGTGGAGTTCCAACCAAAACGAGTACTATCTGCTCTTGATATACATGCCTTCCTGGACAAGTCAGTGCAGTGGCAAGCATGGGAGGAGACAGCAAAGAGATGGAGACAATTCCTTTCACTAGAGTTCAGCTTGGAAAGAATAGTGTATTGCCTCTAGGTGGTTTTGGGTGGTAGCTGACAACAAGTGAAGAGGAGTTTGGGTGGAATGCTAATGGACATGTTCCATTAACAAAATAAATTTCTGGGGGGAAAATTTAGAAAAAAGGAGAGAGGAACCAGTAAGGCTGAGTGTGGTGTGGAAGGAAGGGTGAGAGGGCAGACAGTCCCCAGCGGTGTGGCCTAGGGGACTTTGGAGAGCAGGAATGTCTAGAGAGATTGCGAGTGGGCTGCTATAGAGTATGTGATGTAAAACCCCTACTCTGCCTCTTCCATCAAGTGCTCAGTTAAGTTTAAAGTCTTCCTTGATGATGGTTTGGTGCACGTGGGTTCTTTCAGGGGACTCTAGATTACTGCCCAAGATCAAACAGCTCATGTTGGCTTCTCTGGAATTCAAGTCTAAGTCAGTCTCTTTTCACCATCCCTTAACAATCAAGGCCTCCTGGACTGATTGCTTAGATTAACATGTTAAGTTTATTTCTCTGGCCTTTTTTCTGAAAATGAGTGGCTGGAATGACTTGCAACCTAAAGAAAGATTGTACACCTTCCCCAAATATTTGCTTTGAAACCACAGGCCCCCCTGTTCTTAGGTATCACGCTACAAATTAACCTACTCCTCGGGTGCAGGTATTTGGCCTGAACATGCCTTTGGTGATTTTAAGAATGAATTATTCTCCTTCTTCAAGCAGTCACATCCACCAGCCAGCTCCCAGAAATAGAAAGCACTTCATCACACAAATTAACTCCTCTCTCCTATTTTGCAGAAGATGAGTAATCTATTAAAAAAGAGATGCTATTATCTAAACAGGCAGCCCTGTCTGCACTTTTAATTTCAACTAAATGCCTTGGTCCCTTTTCAGCAGTGGGCAGGGCCATAAATCTGTTTAATAATCAGACGACGAATAAAAACACTCCAGAAACCACCCCTATCAAGTTAATTACAGCCTCCTCTGTTTTCTGAAAGTGACTCCCCACCAATCAGCTACAAATAAGAAGAGAAGACCAGGCCCTTTGGACTCAGCCCACTTCACTTTTTCACCCAGTTGGAGCCTATACAGGAGAGCAGATTCATGGGCAATTCCAGTTGTGGGCTTCTGGTAGCTGCTCTTAAATTATGTCAGGTTGTCAGGTGTCGGAGAGCAACATGTATTTCATTTAGGATGCCGGCTTCCATGACTATCGTTTAAGGTGTTATTAAAAAAGAAAAAAAAATCCTTCCACTTCAGCAACAGTGTTGGCCTGTCAGTTTCATATTTGTTAAAGGGCAAAAGTATTCTCCTGGGGGAAGTTTTCCTGCTCAGTGCACAGGAAGAGAAAACTGAACATATGTCGGAACTTTCCTTACGACCTCCTTCAACCACCACTGCCCCCTCCCCATGCAAAACACCCCAACCCAATCCAACACCAAATATTTTGAAACCTCCCATTCAGGGCCTCTTCCTTCTGCTTCTGCATTGGGATCTTCTGCCACTTACAGAAATGTCCCCTACCAGAGACTAATCTGATATGCACAGGTCTTCTGGTATCTAATCCCTCACCTCTCATCTCATTCACACTACCGGTGCTACAGCACAGGTCTACTGATGTCATATGGTGACAGTTCAGGCTTCTCAGGATGGCCAGAACCAACCTTTCCAGAACCATCTCTCATCTCAGCCCTGCCCCTGGTGCATTCTCTGCAGACACTGCTCGACTAATTTCCTTGCTTTCACTCTTTTACTCTTGCAAATCTGTCAGCTCAGAGCATCCTTGTCTGCTTCTCTGTCTCCAGGAATCCTATTCTATTCTTCTCCCCAGGCTCAGCGCAAAGTGCTCCTGAAGCATCATCTGCATGTTCTGATTTGGGACTTGTGTCGATCTGCTTGGCACAAGCTTCTTGAGGGCAGGACTCAGAGTGATTGATTTTCCTCACAGCACCTGGCATACTGTAGGGGCACACAGATGTTCGATCATAACTTAACATATTTTGCTTGTCATTTGCTGCTTTTATTTTATAAAATCCATATACCCAATGTGCTTCCAAAGACTCAACATGTCACCCAGGGGAAGATATAAAGCATGTTTGGGAGGCCTTGTCACTCAGGTACACTTGTGAGTCTCCAAACATAGGAGGTAGCGTCAGGAAGCAAATGCTATCATCTGGGCAGGATATTTATCAATAAAATGACCACTCATGAAGTTCCCACTCAAACCTCTCTCCCCACTTAACATCTCTGCCCGTCACATGCAAGTGTGTTTGTGGATGGTTGTGTTTCAGGTGTGCCCACCCTGTTAATATCACACATGCAGCAAATGCAAAGGCCCTGAGGCAGACTGGGCAGGACCTAAAGCAGTCACTGATTTTGTCATTGTTGTTAGATGTTTGGAGCCTTTTTTTTTTTTTTTTTTTTTTTTTTTTTCAGATAAACGCTGGCACAAAATCCTTTCAGGATATGCCTTGAAGATTCAGACGTCCTGCAGGGAAAGACACACCAAAATTGATACAGGTGGTCTCCATTTTTGGACATAAAATATTCTGGATATTTCATCTTTTTCTTTCTAAAATGGAAAGTCTTGACTATTTTTTTGTGATTCTAAATATGATGCATTTTTGAAAAAAAATGTTTTAACCATCATGGCAGAATGTAACATCTGAGTGACAAGCTGTGCTAGTCACACCCACCAGAGATGGCCACTCTTAAGTTTGCTCTATTTCTCACCCAATATCCCAATCTTCTTATGCTTATTTCTTCTGAAACCTGTTTTGTCCAGTTGACAATATGCCAAAATCATCTTTCTATAACAGTACATGTAGCTCTAGCATGTCCTTTTTCTTTTCACTATCTCACTTTATCTTCAAATTAACTGAAGCCAGGGAGGTAGCCCCACTTTGACTGATACAAAGACTGAGGTTGGGAGAGAGTTCTTCTGCCCAAGTGGACGGTTGGTAGGTTAGAACACTGGGCTCTGTGATTCAACAGCTTATGCCCTCGCCCTGACACCATGCTCTCTGCCTCCAGAAGACAAGACTAGAACCAGAAGATATACTTTGCAGAGAGCTAGAGTTCAGCTCCATGTAAGGAAAAAGCCTTCTGATAAGAAGAGCTGTCTCACAAAAGAATGGGATAGCTCATAAGACAGTGAGTTGTCCATCACCGGAAGAATTCAATCATAGGTGAAACTTACTATGCTAACCATAAAAAAGACTCAAATATTGGAGAAATAGTTGAACTGTGTAGCCTCGAAGACCCCCCTCCAGCATTGGAATTGTATCATTTCACAGTTCCAAGATGCTATGCCTCTCTGCAATTGGTTCTAAGAATGGTGAAAATCCAGCTAAGGACTTAGTCCTTTAACCTCTGAGCTCCTTCTGAGATGCATTAGTAATTAGCGTAGAGAGACTGTGGTTTTCTTTTCATAAGCTCTAGCCTGTTTTATCTACCCCTGTAATTTTCCCCCTACCCTAGCAGTGAGCAATTTTTACTTTTGAATGTTTAATTTGTCAAAGGCCTGAAAGCACACTGAATGCTGCCTCCGAGAGAACTCCACAATGTGGTGTATGTGAGGCAACGTGGGCTGGGAGGTCTATGCATTCTGAACCCAGACCAGTGATGGACAGAAAGACTGTTTGGTCCTCTGGTTATGTATGAGCTGCTCGATGCCCAGGTATTCGATTTGTTAGCACAGGCTCAAACACAAACATGAACAAACACATGCACACATCCCAGTGTCCATTGTTGGAATGAGGGGGATACTTTTCACCTCCTGCTGGGGTGCCCAGTTTGAACAGAAGGAGCTTCTTATATTTGGGGTATCATAAGCTCAAAAGCAAACAAGGAGCACTGGCCTGGACATGCTGTGGCAAAAGACTCTCAGCCCTGGAGAGGCATCTTGTTCCCATTCAGGGACCCAGATGGCTGTCTGGGTGGAGCCATAGATGACCCACATCACCCAGAAGCCAGGTGGTGTGATGTGAGTCTTGCCAGCAATGCCACATGGCTCCTCAGTACCTATTCCATTTGAGTCTGTCACAGTGCCTGACCTTCCACCACTGGTTACCCGATTCTTGTGGGTCACCGCTGTCCTCCTCTGGGGGGCATTAAGAAATTATACAAGTCATATTAATAGGTGCTCATGTTAGAAATTGTTGAAAATCAGATATGTAAACATAAATTAAACACCACCAATTAACCCACTGTCTAGATGGCCTCTTTTAATACCTATGGTCTGTTAAGGCTTTCACGTTCTTTTAGCAGAAAATCCTTATGGACCAAAAGGTCATCCTTCCTTATTCCTCACTGCACAGTTCAGTACAAAATAACATTTAACTGAGCCTCCAGTATTTTTCAGGGATGATATGAGCCGATCAGAAACCAAGTAACCAAGTTCGGGTCCGAGGAAGACATTTCTGCAATGAGAACATGAACAGCTGACACATAGTAAGAGTGTACTCTGCACCAGGCATGTGCTAAGCATCTTCCATGTATTATCTCCCTTAATGCCCTTGATGATTTTACAAGGTGGGACTGTGATCCCCATTTTAGAAATGAGAAAATCGAGGTTTGGAGAGTTGGAGGATCTTATCATTGCTGGTAAGTGACAGAGCAGGGACTGAATCCAGGCCGGGTTGACTCCAGAGCCTGTGCTCCTAACTACTGTGCTTTCCTTTCATAGTGGAAGCATATGCAAAGATCAGCAGCAGCTCTCTAGGAAAGGATTAACTTTGGAGAGGGGGACCAAGGGCAGTGGAGGTCTCCTAAGCAGAGTTTCAGTGAAGCTCACCAGGGTGGACATTCTAGATAGGAAAAAACAACCCATGGAAAGATACAGAGTTTTAAAACATCTGAGTACACAGGGAATTAAGAGTCCCATATATTCTCTCTAATGATAAATCTTTTTAATAAACAATTTATAATTTCTTTCAATTAAAAGGGTGCATTTCTTAAGTATGTGTGAGTATCAAATATAGGCTTTGCTGAGAAACAAAAATTTAGCCTATAAAGGATTAAGACACAAATCTCCAGCTGGGAGGGGAAGATGTTAAATCTCTAAAACATTTCAGGAAATAAATTCTTGGATCAACCACTTTCTTTTCTCCAAGATAGTATTGTTTTTTAATTAAATGAGAAATACATAAACATATTCTCCTTGTGAAAGGAAATAAAACATTATAAATACAAAAAAGGGTGAAGTTTCTTTTGACCATGATCTTTAATCTGGTTTGGCTCCCCTGTCTCATAGGTAACCACTGTTGGGACTTCGGAATATATCCTTCTGTGTCTTTTTCTATATGTTTACACACATATACTTGACACTGAAAAGATATGGTATTGGTTGTATTCTGTGCTGTATTATATAAGTGGTTGTGCAACTTGCTTTTTTTTCACTTTATAATACATCTTAGAGCTCTGCTTATGTCATGTGGATCCAGTGCGGTTTTGTTTTGTTTTTTTTTTTTTTTTAGATGGAGTTTTGCTCTTGTCACCCAGGCTGGAATGCAGTGGCGCAATCGTGGCTCACTGCAACCTCCGCCTTCCGGATTCAAGTGATTCTCCTGCCTCAGCCTCCCAAGTAGTTGGGATTACAGGCATGTGCCACCATGCCCGGCTAAATTTTTGTATTTTTAGTAGAGACAGGGTTTCACCATGTTGGCCAGGCTGGTTTCGAACTCCTGACCTCAAGTGATCCGCCTGCCTCAGCCTCCCAAAGTGCTGGGATTACAGGTGTGAGCCACCGCACCCAGCCCAGTGCATAGTTTTTAATAGATTCATCATATTCCATATTAGAGATATGGCATTGCTTATTTCCCTTAGCCTACTGATGAATACTGAGGTTTCTTCTAATTTGGTACTATTACAAACAGTGCTGCAGTGAGCATCTTTACGTATGCTCATGGTGTAAATAGTGAAGAATTCTCCAGGATAGACACTGAGAAGTAGGATTCCTGGATTATAGAATATGCACATTAAAATTTTTTTGATACTTCCAAATTGCCCTCTGAAGTGGCTTTCCCAATTTTAGTCCCACCACCAAGCAGTTCCTATTTAGAATGGTGAGAAGAATCTTGGGAGGGAAGATGGGGTAGAGTGAGAAGTGAAGCTGTATTTTAAATGGCATACTTGATATAATAAAATACTTAGAAAAATAACTACTGTTTTCATAACACAAACTAGACAGGCCTCCAGCTCTACTTTTAGAGCTGGTCAAAATCTTGGCTTGTGGTGACACACAAAAGGATGGCCCTTGTCAAAGAGGAAGCCATACCCTGGCCCCCCAAGAATCTCTGGTAGGGTGATGGGGAAAGGATATAGGATTTACAAGTTTTTAAAAAGGAAGTGTTTTTTCTTTTCTCTCTCTCTCTTTTTTTTTTTTTTTTAAAGAAAGAAACAGAGTCCTTTTAGGATTTAGGTGAAGGTCACTGACTCAGGGCCGGGAAGAAGGGGCCAAGTGGGTAGACTGCACTCTCCTCCCCAGGCCTCCAGGGCCACCTTGTGTTTTAGGAGGCACGTCTGGTCACCATCAAAATCGGGCTGAGCATGAATTCCCTGGGGCCAGAGGCAGGACTGCTCCACCGACCTCATAAATCTCTCTAGGGTCAAACACTCCTGCCCAGCTGGTCTGAGTGGAGAGGGCTTGTTTAACTCACACAGCCCAAGATTTCAGGGGCAAAATGAGGCTCTAGCAAAAAGCTGCCTCTGCGGATGGCTGTGGTTAGGAGGGTGCGTTTACCATGGCGTTAATGGTACATGAAGGAGGAGACAGCCCTTCAGGAGAAAGCCCCACTCCGCTCCAAAATGTGCACCAATTAAGATGATTACTGGTTTCCTTACAACACAAATACTAATGGCCTGTCACACTCTGGCATATTTTTCTTGGTAACCTTCAACACCGAATGATTAATAAGGCTCTTGTGGCAAAGGCTCATACACACACAGGCAGAAAACAGGGGAAAAAATAATACAACACTCTGACGAAGGCATATTCAATGAGGCAGGGGTTTGTGAAAACAAGTTCTGAAGGACCGTGACTGTTTGGGAAGCCCTGGCCATGATCAGTGGGGAGAGTGTCCTGAGAATGCTCTGAGCAGTTAGGATGAGGACTAGCCATGCGACCCCACAAAGGTCACTTTCCTGCCCTGGCCCTCAGCGTCGTGTCTGTTGAATGGGGCAGTAATCCCTCTCCTGCTTGCCAGGCAGGATGTTTGTACTGAAGGTGGCTTAAAGATGCAGAGAGTGGGAGCACCGTCATTACTGGCAGTGGTGAAAGTGGAAGAGGGCACACAGGAGGAGTGGGAGGTAGCACAGTGTGTGGGAGAGAGGCTCTATGTGTGGGAGAGAGGCTCTAAGAGCAGCCAGACTTAAGTGGAATGTCTACTTTTCCAACAGACCAGCAAGCTCTGCTAAGTTACTTAAATTTCTCTAAGCTTCAGTTTCCTTATCTGCAAAGTGGGAATAATAATAGAAGTGTTTTTCACTGGGTGTTAGGATGATATAAGGTGATAACAGAATGCTCAGCAGGCCCAGTAACTGAGACAGACCAACATTTACACTTGTTGGTGGTGATTGTTATTATTGTTGTTGTTACTCTAAGCCAGGAGAAATGGCACCAGCCTTGGAGCCCCCAAGGAGACCCCACTTTCCCAATTTGCATTTACTAGAGACACGTCCCCCCATGCAGAACATTTCAAATCCCATTCCTTCCCCTTATCAAGATCAGACGAGGCCTCCAATTGTGCTACACACAATTCCCTCCCAGTGTTCCATGGGCTTTATTTAGGGAGAAAAATGGTAAAGAGTGTTTTCCACTTGGCCTTTTCAGAAATGTGAACTGCCGGGTAGAGGTACCAATACCTCACTGATGTTTTTTGTGTAATATTCAGCAATTAATGAGGATGTAGTCAGAAGAGGTCCTGCCTGACCATTCTGGGGTTTTCTTTCCCTATTCATTTTATGTAAAGTACTCTGCAAAGCCCTCTCTTCCACGCAGTTGTCATCCCTAAACCCTTCCCATGAAGAAATTGTGGAGCACGCTGAGCCTTGGGTAAGTCAAATGTCCATCTCAGCTCACACAGGGAGCGGCCCCTGTGGGATGCTTAACGGGCCCCCAGGTTGGAGGGTTGGGAGTCCTGAGAGCAGAAGAGGGGCTCACACACTTCCAGCGCCAGGCAGCTAAGGCATATGTGGGAAATGGGCCATAGGGAAGCCTGCAAACCCACCTGTGGCCTCGTGGGAATGAGGTCTCAGAGATGATATCAGGAGAACTGGAGAAGCAGATTTTTATGGGAGTTCTCAATATTGGCAATTCAATCAGATTTTAAAAAATTATTTTGAAGGCCAAATAAGGAGGTTGATGGGGCTGTTTCCAGCACCTTGAAAGGAACATAAACTCTTCAAAGCCAGAAGTTTATGACCTAGAGCAAAGGAGGAGTAATTCACCAAATGGAGTTCTCTAAGACCAAAGGCATTTAATGGATTGGAAAAAAGAAGACAATAAAAACCACCTGTAATTCTACCACCCAGACCACTATTAACATTTTGATATATATATACTTCCAAGCATTAAAAAATCCACATACATACCTATAGTTAGAGACGTGTTGCTTGGTTTCCATATTTCATAGGAATGGGCCCAGATATACATCCCCATCTGTAGCCTTGGCTTTCCTGCACTTAACCCCTGCCTTGCAATCATCTTTGCAGGCTGTTGTTTCCCGGTAGTTCCCTTACACCAAACCCTCCTTACTACCAAAATTTGCTCACTTGGCAGTTTTTCTGGGATGGGCTGAGCCAATGTTTCCCAAATGTAAGTAATAAGCAGTCCCCTTTAAAAGCAAAAAAAATCTGTGGCCTCTTCTATAAACATACCCGGGAATGTATCTAAGAAATACTAATCAAAGAAACCAAAGTTTCTGTCTTTTAATTGTGAATTTTCACTACAAAGAGGAGTATCATAGTTGGTAAAAGAATCTTTTAAGACACTAAAAATCAAAATAAAAAGGTAAAATTCCTGTCTACCTCTTGGGTGCAGTGAACCCTCATTTGAGAAGCACTGGTCTAAGGCATGATAACGGGTCCCTCAAAACCCAAGGTCCTTGTTGGTTTGGCCTCTGTAGCCCTCTTTATCTGGGCCCAGCTCTGCTGGCCCTTCCTCCCTAATGAGGGACCTTAGAAAGTGCACAGGTCACTGGTTTGCACCCTGTACACCCTGGAGCCCTGGAGTGCAGCCCAGGTTCTCCCAGGGTCTCCCTTCTCCCACCTTCAGGGGGAGTAGGCATCCTTTACAATTTTTTCTACATGAGGCTCCTGGGTAAGATTTATTTTGAAAAACGTTTTTACTATTGAAAAAAGGAAAAAAGCTTGAAAAGCACAAATGTAAGCCATTCTCTTCATATCACAGATGGTGAAATTATGAATCAGAGAGGGCAGGGCTTCCTGGGCCACCAGCAAGTTTGTGGCAGACAGGCCTGAGACTTGAGGCTCCCTCCCCCAGCCCTGCCACACCTCAGATCCCTCTCCCAGAGCCTTTCTCATACCCAACCCCCAGCCCTCACAGTACCCTGCTTCACTGTCTCCTTGCTTTCCCCAAAATAAGCATCAACTTTTAAGAGTTCCCTATGTATTTCCTCTCACATGCAGATGGGAAGACACAAAAGCAACGGGTGCAGAAGTCTCCAAATGGAATCCTGGCATCATCCCAGAGCTGCGTATGCTGAAGGGTCTCTAGCACACAAAGGGAGAGGGAGTTGATGCAGTCGGCAGATCTGTAATTGCAGACATAATCTTTTTAGCTGGAGACACCTTTCTGATTCCACTGAAGATGAAATGAATTCAATTTGAGAATTCATTCCCATTCTAAATACCAAAACAGAGGCTTTCAGGAAATGAAGGCTCTCTCTGTCATGGAGCCAAATGTCTGACAGTGGCAGCCAGGTACTCGGTCTATGACCTGGAAGAGGGAGGGGCTGGGAGGTACAGAGTGGAAGGTAGGTGCCTTGGTGTAGACCTAGCTTCCAGGTAAGGTGAGCCTTACCTCAAACTTGCCATGTGACCTTAGCCTACTCATGTATCCTTCCTGAGCGTCAATGTCCTCATCTCTAAAATGTGTTCACTGGATGTAGTGAGAGTGCAAATGATGGATGGTGCCTGGAGGCAGGCTGATGTGTTTTGTCACTTAGCCCCAGCATGTCAGATATCTCAACTGCAAAATGGGAGCAAACAAATTTACTAATCGGGAGAGAAGTAATACTGGTGTCAGAGATTCTCCATAAATAGGATACCAAAAAAATCACTTCTTTCTTTGACATGCAATGGCAGCTGCTGCCTCAAACATGTCATTTTTTGGCGAGTGCTGACATCACCAGTGAGCTCTAAGGCATGCCTACTCCCGCTGGACCTGGCCCTGGCCCTTCCTTGGCTCCCTCCTGAGCTTGAGAGGCAGGGCCAGGCCCGGAATGGGAGGGGGAGCAAATAACGAGAGGCCAACCATTCAAGCTCCAGGACCTCCAGGGAAGAGAGGGCTGGGCCAGAGTATCAGAGAAGCCTTCTCAGAAGGCAGAGGGCCTGATTGCCCTGGGCCTCTAGGACTAGTGGGACTGTCAGGAGGCAGATAAACAGATATGCATTGGGTCATGAAAGCATGTGTGATGATGAGAGAGGGTGAGGGGGGAGGAGCAGGAAGGGAGGTTGGACAGGAAGGTGGGGCCCCGTGCCTCTGTCTCCTAGCAATGTCAGGCCTGACCTTGGGAGGGCAGATACTGAGCCCTGTCCTGCAGCAGCATCCACCCCTCATCTGTCCCACCCCAGCTCTACAGCGTGCAAGACAGACAGAGTGTGTGCGATACATTTCAAAGGGGCATTCTACATCTATCATGTGGATGTCATAATTCAGTACGATGCACAAACAGTACCACAACGACTTGACAGTCTGGCTGGGGCAATGAGAATTAGATAAGCAAAAGCAATATCCAATTTATCACATGGACTTGGAGCTGAGATGAAAACACATATGACTGATGATGTTCACGGAGTGACAGGATCACACGGATATACCCAGGGTCACGTACAGTTTCCATGCCTGGGGCTATAAGAGCTACAATGGCATCTCTTTTTCTCCCACCCAGTAAAGCACAGGGTACAGCAGATGTGTGAGTGTCATGATATAAAGACGTACTAGACACAAAGATGTGTGCCTTCTGTAATGTCCTTAACTGTCTCCTCTCCCCAACGATACCCCCCCACCCGAATGCCCCAGCATCTCACCTGAATCAGGTCACAGGGAGACTCAGATGAAACATCACACTACACTGGGGCATGGGATGGGGCTTTCTGAGTAGCCACCACAGAACTGGATGACACAACTGGGAAGTCAGTTGGGACTATGACCAATGGGAAGCAGGAGATGAGAGACAATCAGGTAGAAAAACTTCCTTTTCTCTCTGTCTACGGACTCCTCTGAGATGCTGTTCCCCCTGGTGAGCTACTGAAGCAGTGCCCCCATGCTGCAAGAGCATACCTGCTGGGTGTTGGCACTACTGTGAAGAGAAAGCTGCAGTCATCACCCCTTGAAGTTTCCTGAATCACTTTCCCTTTTATCCTCACCATCGCTGTCTCAGGCTCACACTCCCCTTCCCCAAATAAACTGTCAGTGACTTAATCCTGCCTTAGTCTCTGTTTTCTAGAGGACACAGGCTTAAGTATGACAAAGAATAACCATACATTTGATCTAATTTGTAAGATAAAAGTAAGTCATTCACAAACACTGATGCTTTTGGAACGGTCACAAAATTACTTGTGACACCCTTATAGCACGTCCCAGCCCACAGTATCTCACAATGCTAGGGAATGGTAGGTTAGAATACAGAGTACTGGTGGGTTGCGATTCAAGTACTCAAAGGTGCTCTCATACCTATTCATTAATTCAACACTTAATGATGTCGCTATGCATCTGGCATTGTGGCGAGTACTGGGACACAGAAGTAACTAAGACATGGTCTATGGGAGGGTCAGCATGGAAGTACAAGGGCAGGTGCCACATAAGAGCTGGGAGTCAGGAAGGGGGAAGAGGGAGGTAAGGCTGTCTGAGGACAAGAGATGGGGAAGGCATCACAGAGGAGGGGACTCTTGAGTTTGGTCCAGAAGGATGAACAGGATTTGCCAGGAGGAAAAGTGAGAGGGAATGAATCACTCTTCTCCGAACTTCCACTGCCTGTTGCCTATTCTCTCACAGCATAGACTTCATTTTGCCATAGAATCTCAGGCCCTCAGGGCAGGGCCCATGTCTTCTTGTTCATCAGGGTATCCCTAAAGTCTAGCCCAAGGCCTGGTTTGTGGCAAGGGCTCGGCAGAGAAAGACACAGACAGCCCAGCTCAGTGGTCTAGCCCTCCCTTCCACCCAATGCGCCTGAGGGACGTTGCTCATTCCTTCCCACTGGCCACAGTGACTCCAAGGAGCTGTGCTCCCCTTGGAAGGTGGGGTGCTGAGGACGAAAGTCCTTTTTGCAGCTTTGCTCCACTCCTCTGGGTGGCGTGGAAAGTGTTTCCCCTGTGAGAAGCTTAGCCAGGGGTTGGTAATGATTAAATTGAGTATGGTAGGATGATATTTAGAAGGTCGTTTTGCGGGGGGTGGTGTCATTGCAATCTGTTTTCGCTCATAATTGCGGCTTCACTAGCTCCACCACAACCCAAAACATAAACAGAATTCACCTTGAACTCCACTGCCCTCAGAGATGAAAGCCATAATCAACATCAGAAAACAAAACAAACAAAAGTTTTCAGCAAAAACCAAGGTCCTGACACAGCAATCCGTGTGGAGGAACATCTGCTGAGTAAGTAACCAGCCCTCCGAGGCCTCATCCGTGCCCTGGACTGCAAACTCTTCTGGACTTGGGGAGTGGGCAGTTATCAGAGAGGAGGGGAGAAGAGGTCAGAGCTGGTGAGGATTCCTGGATCCAAGTTCACCTTCGGATGACACAGAGCTTGAGACAGAAGGAAATTGCATTCTATGTAAAAAGTTTGCATCTTTGTCCACCTGAGTTGGGCGCCCTGTGAAAATTTCTTCCCTGCCATAGCCATGTCCCGATGCAAGACCGCGGGGTGGTCAAGGTTTCTTAAACCAAAAGGCTTTGCTCAATTAACACAATTTAAAGGGCTCTGTAGCATCACACACTACTAAATGGGCCTCTGCATGAACAAACATGCAGCTGACAAAATTTTCAAAAATGGCACAGGACAGGGACAGGTCCAAGGCCAATTCCTCTCTTCCTGAATGACAGGCAAGACCTCTGGGGGCAAGATGGTAGAAAGCAGTGGTAGGTACCTGGGGCCCACCCAGCCCAGGGAAGCTCCCAGCTTCCGTTTACTAGCTGTGCGATCTTGGGCCAATTACTTAACCTCTCCCAGCTGCAGGGTTTTCATGGGCAAAATGGGGATAATATTATACCTCCCTTACAAGGCTGCTGTGAAGAATTACTGAGATGTGAGGGTAACTCACTTAGAACTACACCTGGGACATAGTAAGCACTTTATCTAGGGCCAGGATCCCCAGGTGGAAACCCAAATTAAACAGGTGAACTTTATGTCCACTTGCAGAGGGGCTGTCAGCACTCAGTTATTCCCACCAGTGGGCCGTGTTGAGTTTGGGGTGTGGAAGAGTAGCTGGAGCCGGGGGTGGCTGAGGGAGCCTTCCCTTGTGAGCCCTGCCTGGGAACAGTCCCTGAGGCCCAGGTCAGGGTGCTGGGTGCAGAGTCAGGCCAGGAATGGCCAATGCTAGAAACTCAGGTATCTGGTAAACAGATACAGAGTGGGTATTTCATAAATATTCCCTAAGTGAATCAATGGGCTTTGGAATCATCAACTGGCTGTGCATCCCTGTACACGGCACACAGCCTTTCTGATTCTCATTTTCACCTCTAAAAAGGTGATGATAATGTCTTCCTGTTGGGGTTGTTGCAAAGTTAAAATGCAGTAAGTAAAATACCTGGCACACAGTAAGTGTTCAATAAATGGTAGCCATTGAATTACACTGTGAACTAGGAGCAGGAACCAGAAAATAAATGAGTCATAACTGAAGGGAAATAACTCTACTTAGGTGTGTAACCTCAGGCAAGTCATTTTCCTTTATTAAAGTCTCAGTTGCCTCATTTATAAAGTGGAAGCAGTCAGATGGCCAAACCCATAGGATTGCTGTGGGGATCAGGTAAGGTACCCAAAGTGAAAACTTCATAAAGTCTAAAGTGAACGGATGCTAGTGGCTGAGCAAAGTCAATCTGGACTGTGGGTTACAGACGAGCGGAAGCCACTCAAACCAAAGGAGCCAGGAACAAGGTGTGTGCACAGTGAACCAAAGTCACAATGGCCTTTCCAATTTATCATGTTTACTATGTTGGATATTTTTTCTGATTATAAAAATATTGCATTGTAGAAAATTTGGAAAACACATAAAAGCAAGCAGTAAAACACAGAAATCTTCTGTGATTCTATCACCTAGAAATAACCATGGGTATTTGGTTGTGTTTCAGTGTGGCACTGCCTTAGGTGAGCCCCAGGTGAGCTCCAGATGAGTGGACACAAGGCTGCACACTAGAGTGGTTTGAGGGCAGGCCCTCAGGTCAGCTGCCAAGTTCAAATCCTGTCTCACATCCCACTAGATGTGTGGGAGAAGATTCCTCACTTCTCTAAATCTCAGTTTCTTTGTATGCAAAATGGGGATAACAATAACATTATTTTCTTCACAGTAATGAGGAATAAACAAGGTAATGCACATCAATTGATTGGCATAGCACTTGTCACATTATACAAATTCAATCAGTGTAGCTATTATTTTCATACATACATACATACTCACAAAATGGGATATTTTTGGTAATTATCATGTCATCAAAGTTTCTTCTACAACAGTAGTTCTCACAGCATTTCCTGGGAACTTGTTAGAAATGCAAGTTCTCAGCCAGACTTGACCTGCTGAATCAGAAACTACAAGTGGGGGGACCCAGCAAACCAGGTTTTAACGAGCCCTCCTGGTGATTCTGGTGTACCCTCAAGTTTAAGAACCACCGGCTTACAGCATATTTTTAATGGCTTCATGGAATTTTCTACCACGATTTACTTACTTGGTCTCCTTTTTTCAGACACTTAGACTATTTGCTAGCGGTGTGCGGGAGCGAGCTTGCACAGGCTCACAAGAAGCAACTGTGAACATCTCTTCCCAGCTCTGTTCCATTGGTAGCTTGAAATCAGCCAAGGTGGGAGTTTTTACGCCACAGAAATCAGCAAATGCAACAAATCAGGGCTCCTCCCCTTTACTCCAGCTTGTTGTTAACTTTTACCAGCATGCTACTGGCTACTTCCATTGGTTTTTGTATGATAAGCAGCATTATGGTGAATAACCCTGCACATACATCTATTTAACTATCTTTGATTGTCTCCTTAGAAAAATCTCTAGAGATGGAATTGCTAGATCAAAGGATATGCTCATATTTAAGGTGTTTTGATACAAACTGCCAATTTGGCCTGTCAATTTATACTCCCACTAGCAGAGTAGGAGTGAGTTTATTTTCCTGCACTGGTTGCAATGGATGTTTGAGCTGTGGACTGCGGACCCAGGATCCTGCACCATGCCCCAGCCATGCTGAAGAACAGAGCAAGTCCTGACATTATAGAACAACCACTGGCCCCTACCCCATTCTCAGTGTCTCCAGTTCTATGGGGACTACATTTTTTTTTTTTTAAAGGAAAGCAACTTTATTAGAGAAGTAAAGAAACAAAAAAATGGCTACTGCATAGGCAGAGCAGCCAGGGACTAAATGTTCACGGCTGTGTCATGTGTTCCACACTTGTCTCTAGAGTAGGGCTGTCCGACAGAATTTTCTGTGATGATCTGTATCTGTGCTGTCTCAGTTACATACGGCTATTGAGCATGTGAAATGTGGCTTGTGTGACTGAGGAACTAACGTTTTAATTTTATTGAATTTTAATTTAAATGTGAATAGCCATGTGTGGCTAGTGGCTACTGTAACAGACAACACAGCTCCTGGAATTCAGGAGGGACCAGGGCTTATGGTTCTTCTATAACTGATAACCACGGTGACCAGACATCCTGCATTACTGGTCTCAGCTCTAATTTCAAATAGTCTGTTCCCACTGACTCATAAACACTAACATACTGAAAGCTAAAAAAAATTTTTTTTTTTCAGAGATGGGGTCTTGCTATGTTGCCTAGGCTGGAGTGCAGTGGCTATTCATAAGCACAATCCCACTACTGATCAGCACAGGAGTTTTGACCTGCTTTGTTTCCAATCAGGCTGGTTCCCTCCTCTTTAGGCAACTTGGTGGTCCCCTGCTCCTAGGAGGTCACCTTATTGATGCCAAACTTAGTGCAGATACCCGATCAGCATAGTGCACTAAAGCCCCAAACTCCTGGGCTCAAGCTATTCTCCTGCCTCAGCCTCCGGAGTAGCTAGGACTACAGGCACACACCACCTTGCCCGGAGAAATTTTTTAAATGTCTGGAAATTCTGATATTTCAGAATTTAAATTACAACTCCCAGACTACTTTTTCTACCTGGAATCTTTGTCAGATTATGGGTCTCCTTGGGGATCAGGAAATGATCTCCAGGCTCAGCAGGGAGGACAGAGGTACAGTAACTCAGGAGGTACAGCCTCCTGACAATCACTGCTCAGGACTGCTGAGAGACCATCCTGCCTCAGTGCTTTTGCTTATGCTGTTCCCTTAGCCCAAGGAACCTCCTTTACTAGGCAATGACACCTATCTAGGAAGCCTTTCCTGATTATTTTTATTTAAAATAATATAAATAAAGGGTTCGCTGTCTCTGTGGCCACTTAAACATGGCTCATAAAGTCTAACCTCAAGTGAGAGCCTTGAGCCACCCCCTTAGGATCTATTTAACCCGTACTTTAGATAATACTTGAAAAACTAATAACTGGGTTTCTTATTCCAGCTGAATTGAAATGGCAAATTAGAAAGCGTACAAGCCTTCTAGGGACAGACACACTGGAGGTGACAAGAAGTAAACATCATCTAAGAGTTTGCAGTAAGGGAGAAGATTTAGAAAAAGATATAACTGATATTAAGACATTGAAAAGTTATCAATTTATAACTCTTAAACTCTAGGGAAGAGGTGAAGAAAGTCATCATAGGGTCCTAGGATTTAAAGCTTGACAAGATCTTAGAAGTCATCCATACTTTGTAGATGCAGACACTGAAGCACAAAGAAGTGATGTAATTTGCTCAAGATCACAAAGCTATTTATTTACTGGTAGGGCTGGAACCAAAGCTTGTCTACTTGTTCTCATACCAACACCTAGAAAAGTCACTAATGGATGTTCTACTCCACAATGCCACTGAATTGATGAGGTATTTATGGAGGAAAAACAATAATTCCCTACCCCTCTACACAAAGATATTTTCTCTTATCACTGATGACAAACTCTGGGAAAGAATACCTCTCCATAGAGAAGCAGGTGTCAAAAAGGAAGAATAAAACAATAGTTGGCATTTATAGCTTTATGGTATGAATAGCGCGACTTGGAGGTGATGTAATATTTGAAAGGGCCTTCTCTAATTGGGGTAATTAATATCTAAGATGGTATTACAAATGGACAATGTGACCAAAGGCTGTAATAAAAATGAAATCCCCCAAACATATGGCTGTCCATCAAAATGCAAATGACAGAAGAGAAACAAATGACTGATGATATACAAATGATTTCAACGCTCTGTACATCACAAGCCATTTATTTTGGGGCTTGAGCCGTGGAGGAAGAATAATACGATTGATCTAAGGCAGCTATGAACCACCACTGATAAATAAATGTACATCTTCTGGCTCTATGCAGGAACAGGTATTCAGAACAAGGTGGTTCACACAGACAGACAGCTCTTTAAATGATACCTTGCAATTACATTACAGCCTTCCAGCAGATAATAAACCTTCAATGAGAGCCTTGAGCCACCCCCTTAGGATCTATTTAAATTTAAAATTTTCCAGTGACATGAAGGTTGAAGGGAAAGAAAATCAGACTCTATTTTAGAGGGGAAAAAATTCTCAGCAAATCAAACTTGGGGATTGATAGCCAAGTAGAAAAATGTCTGGTTTTTCATTCCTTCTCCTTATAGGTGAATATTTTGTCTGGCTCAACCTGGTCCCTGATTTTCAAAGTCAAAGTGCTAAGAGTGAATGGTTCTATGAGAAATAAATGAAGAAAACATAAGGCATTAAATCCTTAGAAGTAGACTGGGTGTGGTGGTGGCTCACGCCTGTAATCCCAGCACCTTGGGAGGCAGAGGCGGGAGGATCACTTGGGCTCAGGAATTTGAGACCAGCCTGGGCAACACAGCGAGACCTTGTCTCTACTAAAAATTAAAAATTAGCTGGGTGTGGTGGTGCATGCCTATAGTCCCAGTTACTTGGGAGGCGAGGTAGGATGACTGCTTGAGCCCAGGAGTTTGAGGCTGCAGTGGGCTATGGTTGCATCATTGCACTTCAACCTGAATGACAGAGCAAGATCCTGTCTAAAAAAAAAAAAATCCTTATAAGTTATTCCTATCACCACATAGGAGGTAACAGGAAGTAGTGCATAATAGTGTATCACTCTTGATCCAAATAAATTTGAGTTTGGATTCTGACTCTGCCATGCGCTTGTCCAGTTTACACCTTCCTAATCCTCAGTTTCACCTCACTGAGTCCTGTGAGGTTGGCACTGTTGTATATCAGACAATGCCAGACAACAATGCCAACCTCACAGGACTCGGTGAGATCATAAATGAACAGATCTTGGCACACATTAGGTGTTAATAAATGGTGACATTTATTACTGTTCTCATATATTATTATTAATGATGGTTTAAGTTTGGGATCTTCAATGTGGAACTAGAAAGGAGGATGAAAGAAAAAGAAGGGATGAATAAACACAGAATTTCCTAGCAAGGAATATGATGGTATCAAGGTTGATAGATGCTCTGAGCCAGCCACTGTTCTAAGCTCTCTACACAAAATATCTCAATTAATCTATAAAACTCTGAGAAAGTAGCCCAGTTTTACTCAATCAGGCACAGAGAGGTTAAGTACTAGCTCAAAGTCTGCTGTCTGACTAAAGCTTGTGTTCTAAGAACACAAGGATTCAAAGCCCAAACAACTTAAGGTTTAAATCTTCCATTTAGCTTCTTTAAAAAAAAAATTGGCACAACTGTGATTTACACTGTTATAAAAGCAGTACTACCTATAGGAGAGTTGCTGGTCATAACATTTGGTTCCTGGTACTGCCAAGGCGGCTCCTGTAATTAAGTTAGCTACAGACACAGCACATTGAGGTATGTCCAAAAAACTTGTCATGAGATGAAATGTCTTTGTTAGATGACTAAAAATGTTCAGTCCTGCTGAAAGTATGTACTGCATGTGCTGTGTTAGCAATTAGCTAAAATGTTAAGACAGGGCAGATACTTGAATGCACTAGTCAAGAAATGTTATTAGAGAATGAGCTTTGGCTCATATTTTCCATACAGCCATTATGGAAAACAGTATGGAGGTTCCTCAAAACGTTAAAAACAGAACTACCATATGATCCAGCAATCTCATTTCTGGATATATATCCAAAGAGAATAAAATCACTATCCTTAAGAGATATCTGTACTGCCATGTTCATTGCAGTACTACTCCCAATAGCCAAGATATGGAAACAACCTAAGTGTCCACCAACAGATGAATAAAGAAAATGTGGTGTGTGTGTATCTATCTCACACACACACACACACACACACGCACACACGAATATTATTCAGCCTTAAAAAAGAAGGAAATAGCCAGGCATGGTGGCTCATGCCTGTAATCCCAGGCACTTTGGGTGGCTAAGGTGGGTGGATCACTTGAGCCCAGGAGTTCAAGACCAGCCTAGGCAACATGGTGAAACCCTGGCTCTTCAAAAAATACAAAAAAAAAAAAAAAAAAAAAAATTAGGCGGGTGTGGTGGTGCACAACTGTAGTCCCAGGCACTTTGGGTGGCTGAGGTGGGTGGATCACTTGAGCCCCAGAGTTCAAGACTAGCCTGGGCAACATGGTGAAACCCTGGCTCTACAAAAAATACAAAAAAAAAAAAAATTCGCCGGGTGTAGTGGTGCAGGCCTGTAGTCCCAGCTACTCAGGAGGCTGAGGTGGGAGGATTGCTGGAGCCCAGAGAAGTCAAGGTTGCAGTGAGCCATGACTGGGGCACTGCACTCCAGCCTGGGCAACAGAGTGAAACTCTTTCTTAAAAAAAAAAAAAAAAAAAAAAAAGGTGGAAATTTGCTGCTTGTAACAACCTGGATGAACTTGGAGGACATTATGCTAAGTGAAATAGGCCAGACACACAAGATAAATACCGCATGATCTCACTCATATGAGGAATCTAAAAAAAGTTGAACTCATAGTTACAGAGCAGAATGGTGATTTCCAGGGGCTCCGGGTGGGGGAAATAGGGAGATGTGGGTCAAAGGGTACAAACTTTCAGTTCAAAGATGAGTAAGTTCTGGAGACCTAATGTGCAGCATGGTGAATATAGTTAATAATGCTGTATTATGTACTTGAAGTTTGCTAAAAGAATAGATCTTAAATATTCTCACTACAAAAAAGGTAGCTATGGGAGGTGATGAACACATTAATTAGCTTGATTGTGGTATGACTTCACAATGTATATATATATCAGATCATCACATTGTACACCTTAAATATACACAATTTTTACTTGTCAATTATCCCTCAATCATATGTGGGGGTGGGGGGAGGATGAGTTTTGATGCATCTTTGGCTCATTATATTAAGTCAGCCAAGGAACAAAAAAGGACCCAACTACAGTGTCCATACCTGCTGCTGGCAGATTTGCCTTCTGAGCACGTGGACAGTTCTGCTGCTGCAGCATGCCCACTGGGGACAGACAGCCTGGACTCGGGGGCTATGACTGTGGGCCTGATTTTTGGAGGGGACTGGCAGCTTGTCAGGGCTATGCCTGGCCAGCAATAGGTGCTCCCTGAAGGTGGAGCACGACTTGTCATTACCCAGCCATATGACTTTAGGAAGTCCCTAAATGTATATTCTCATCTCTAAAATGTACAGGTTGGGTGAAGATTCCTGAAAACAGTGCAGAAATTCCCTGAACTCTGAAGTCATGCTGCCTGGGAAAACTCGGCTTTCTAATATCAGTGGAAAGCCTTGATTTCTTCTAGATTTAAAAATAGACTTTGTGTGTGGGTAACTTGCAAATACCTGAACTTGAGCTTTTGCATGTGGAGGGCTCGCCAAGAGATAGGATCCGTAGGAGTGTAGAAGAAATATTTAAAAATAAAGGTTGAAATGTGAATAGAAGCGGAATATCTGTTCTTGAACTCAGTCTACCACCACCTTTTTTAGAAATGTATTGGCCAGGCGCAGTGGCTCATGCCTGTAATCCTAGCACTTTGGGAGGCCAAGGTGGGCGGATCACAAGGTCAGGAGATCGAGACCATCCTGGCCAACATAGTGAAACCCTGTTTCTATTAAAAATGCAAAAATTAGCCGGGCATGGTGGTGCGCGCCTGTAATCCCAGCTACTCAGGAGGCTGAGGCAGGAGAATCACTTGAACCCAGGAGGTGGAGGCTGCAGTGAGCCGAGATCATGCCACTGTACTTCAGCCTGGGCGACAGACAGAGTGAGACTCTGTCTCAAAAAAAAAAAAAAAAGAAAGAAAGAAAGAAAGAAATTTATTTTGTAGTGGAAGGAACTTATGGACTGGGATACAAACAGGGTCTTCTAAAACCTGGAGGGAGCCATGGGAAGATGAGCATAGATGCACATCCCACTGATGAACCCTTCAAGGAGCGTGATTCTAATGTAATATGAATATGAATTAGCTATCCAGTTAATCATGACACAGCAGGACAAACACACACAGGAGCACAGAGGCAGCCATCAGGATCAGCGACCTGGCCTCAAAGGACACTGGCAGCAAACCCGAGCCAGTGAGTATTCTGAACTAAAGGAACTAAGACCTGGGGTGCCCTGATATCAGCTTTCCTATGTCCAAAGCCACAAAGATGTTAGAAGTGGGCTCATATTGAGGAAGGATTTTGAGGGCAAAAATGTTCATGGGTGAGTTTTATATGTCCCAAGAAGGGCCACATGCTGGAAAGTAGGGCTTTTTAACCAGGTACCCTGAGGTTGGAGGAGATGTAATCTACCCCCCAGAATTGATGGGATGAGGCAACAGAAAAAAGGAAATTTCTGACCGAGGACCAGGCAGGGCCTCAAGCACATTCTTCTATAAAATATTTTTTATTGGACATTTCAGGAGGAATTTATTCCATGCCTAGTGAATTTAGAGTTATGGGCTTGGTTGAGGCCTCAAACAGGTGATTATGGTAATTTAGAGAGAAAGTACTAAGCCATTTCTGTCACAAGGCCGGCCCAACTTGAAAATAATAGTGCCTCCTTGTATTTATAGAGTGCTGAATACTTTCCAAAGTGCTTTCCCATCTATTATCTCATTTGATCCTTACAATGGGCCAGAGATGTCAGCTGTGTCTCTGCCGTGGGGCTTTGAAGGAGAGCTTTCCCCTCTCTGGGTGTCAGTTTCCCTACTGAAAAATGAGGGGACTGTTCTCATCACTCAGTATTTGTTCTCATCAAATATCTCTTGAGAGCTTCTACCAGCAGTAACATCTGAAGGCAGAGTTTCTCAGCTCAGGGTCCCAGAACTGGCTGCATCACAATCCTCAGAAAGCTGGTTACAACACAGATTCCTGGACTCCACCGAGACTGAGGACCTGGACACTCACAGGGCCCGGGGAATCTGCATGTTAAACATTCTTCCCAGGTGATTCTTATGCACACCAAAATTTGAGAACCTCTGCTCTCATATTTCATAACTCCTCAGCTCTGAGATCTTGTCACATAAAACACACGTGGCAACTGAAAAAATCCTGAAAAAGTATAAAATTCTGATGAGTGAGGAGAAAACAGTTTAGTGTTGGCTGAGTGTATCTGATCATCCACATAATAACAGCCTCTCAAGGATATAATTAGTGCCCTCAAAATTGGAATATATGACTGTTTAATAATTTAAGTGAGATCATCAGGATTAATGAATAGCGGCTGAAATTAAATGTGAGACCATAAATCCACACAGGCCTGTTATAGCAAGGCAATTATTTAGGACAAGACATCCTGGAAAACAGGGGTCTGGCCAAGGCTGTAGGCATCTTAACTTATCTCCTCCTAGAAGGGCCATGCGTTTTTGCTGACCCAGGGTATACATTCAAAGACATCACTATCCAAATCTATCACAAAGCACACTTAGTGACCTGCCATGCCTGGAATCCTGTGTTTTCCAAAAGTACGAGGATCTTTTCAACTCTATCAAAATAATCTGAGATGTCTGTTAAGAATGTAGATTCCTGAGGCCCACCCTAGAACCACCGAATCAGTATCTTTATGGGTGGGCCCTGGTAACCTGCATTTAACAAGCTCTTCAGTCGATGCTGATAAGGATAAGAGTTAAGAGCCATTGCTTGAATCCAGATGACCTGGAGACCGCAGGGGCACACTCCAGGTTTGGAATGTCTGCTTTGAAGGTCACATTTTTCTCGGCCACCAGACTAGAAAGTTCTCCTCAGGGTTCTCTCCTTCTGTGAAAATCAGCACCCTCTTGTACGTCCTCATTGCATCGTTTAGCTCATTAATCTTGCATTTTTAATTTCATCTCATTCCCATAATGAGACTTTGAGGTAGACAGGGTAGCGCAGCATTTCAGGTAACAGTAATAATAACAAGCATCACCATAACAACAGCATCATTAACAACAACCACTGAAGGAATGATGACCATGTGCCCGGCCCTGTCACGGTGCAGTACCTTACCCAGTCCTCACCCAACCCGCAAAAGGGAAGACAGTACTTATGGCTTTGGGGTTAGTCCTGACAGAAAATCAACTCTGACTAGTTTACATAAGAAGAGAATGTACTGGCTCATGGGATGGGGAAAGGACGGGGTGGGACTGGTCTGAGGCACATCTGGACTTAGGACCCAGCTGGCATCCTGACTACGTTCTCCATCCCCCTGCAGCCTAAAGGGGGCAAGGACACAGGGGTTTGTGTCTACTACAAAGAATATTCGGCATCACTTTGCTCAGGAAGAAGGTCTATTTACAGGTCATTTTCATTCCTTCATGAGTTCAAGTTCTGTCGTATGGCAACAGAACGTGAATGCTGTGAAGGGTCAGGGCTAGTCTTTCCTCTTGCCTGGTTAAGACAAATCTGCTAGCTGGTGTGGAGGCTCTGGGAAGTAATTGTTAGTTTGAGTTTTCTATTAACAGAGCCTGGAGTGAGGTTATTATTTAGAATATTCTAAACCATATGTTCTGACAGCATATAGGAAAAAAAAGACAATTTCTGAGAAGACTGGACAGAAAGCATAGCCTTATAATTCCACCTGCTTTCACCTTCATTGCAGATTATTAACAATGCCCAATAAATCTCATTCATTAACAAGCCCAGGAATGGAGGACAAATAGGAGATGACAGGAAGTTATTGGTTATTTTGAGATTCCTGGTTGCTTATAAATAAGGTGGGCATCTCTGAAGAGGTCTGCATTTATAAAGTAAGCAGATAAAATAATTTTATTATTATACTAGGAGGAATGAACATTTTTGTCTTTTAGGCGAAGGAACTGAGTGAACATTGAGGATCCCCAAAGGCTGGAAAAGGCAGCCTGCATCTGTGAATACTTTACAGGAACTAATGTCACTAAATCACACGAGAGGAAGGGATGTTACTTTGGCCTTAACACGTGTCTATTTCTTTGTTCTCTATAATGATGTAAAAATTCCATTTTCATGAGATTTCAGTATTTGAGACAGTAAAACAAGAGAAAAAGAGGGAAAAAAGAAATTAAACTTTCAATACCCATGAACACTATATTAATGTACAGTGGTGGAATTTTCTTTTTAAAAAAATTTGAAATAAATAAATGATATATAAATGTGTATATTTGGCCTTCTTGATCTTTAGAGTTGTCAACTGTCGCCTATTTTTGGCTATGAAAATTGGTAGCATTTTAAGCCTCTGATGTAAACAGCTCTAAAGGTGCCTCCAGATTCAAATCAAAACATAATTAACTCTGGAGTTGTGGTTGTCTGATAAAGATGTTCTTGAAAGCTTCAGGGGCTGGAAGTTCTTTAAGGAAATTGGGAAGAAGCTCTGAAGTATCTCTGTTTGCAATGGGTTTACTTGGAGGCTGCCCGTGGGTTGGGTCAGGCAGTAGCTTAGAACTAATGCCTACTTTTTGGCCAACGTGCTTCATTTACCTGCTAGAACCAACATTATTTAGAGGATTTATAATAAATGAAAACAGAAGAACATACCTATTAGACATATAGAGATGTATCAAAGGTCATGCTGGAGCCATTTCATATCACTATTTAAAAGTTTTTGTTTTATTTAGCAGGCGGGGCACACAGAGAAGGGGAATCTCTTGGATTTTGGTTTGAATGCTCTACTAAATGTGAATTTTTCCTTTAGGCAAATGTTGTCTATAAAGAGGCTTCCTATAAAGTGAAACATAATGTATTTAAGTCGCTTACAACAGTGCCTGGCACATAGAAAGTGCTATATAGGTGCTGTGTCGCATTATTATTATTGCTATCACTGCTTTTTTTCCCTCTGTGATACAGGCAAATGAGCACTTTCAGCTCCCCATTTACTGAGCTTGAGAATGTGAATGATGGGAATAGGACTTGGCTGGTGTGCACTAGAGCAGGTTAGTTATTAAGGAAGCTACTGTTAGGTTGGTGCAAAAGTAACTGTGGCTTTTCCTATGAAAGGTAATGGCAAATACCACAATTTCTTTTGCACCAACCTAATACTTTTATTTCAGCCTCAAATCTCATCTCTCTTCAAACCCTGAGTAGATAAGAATTTACATCCGGCCTCAGCTGGCAGGAAGGCCCAGGAGCTTTCCTAAGGAAGACTATGACAGAAGGGGGCAGTTCCTCTGCCCTCTCCCTGGGGATATTATCCAAGGTTCCCCAGTCTTGTGTTCCATTGGCTTTTACTCCCCCACACTATGTTTTTAAGGAAACACTAAAACAGTGGAAAAGGTTAGACTTTAATCCTCATAAGAAAATCAGGAGAATATCCGTGATTTACCACACTCTTACTGCACCAAGTTTTTAAAATGTAGAAGGTTCACCCACGTCAATAGAAGCATCACCTTTCTGAAAATATAATGCAGCTATTTTCCACTACAGAAACAACTCTTTCCAAAACATTGGAGCTTTTGATTCTTCAGATGCAATCTGAGCGATTTATTTGATTTTTTTTTTTTTGCTCTCCCAGTAAATCATTTATACAGTACTTGATTCACAAAATCCTGGGTTTTTTTTTTTAAGATGCACAAAATATCCCATAGATATATTGACTCTTGCATCCTGTGTTTCTACCAGATGTCCACCAAAAGGTTTACAGATTTCCCTCATTATAAACTAATTGATATTCTGTAACAGTTTTAATCTTCTTAGCTGTTCTCTCCTTTGGAGTCTGAGGGAGAAGCGTTTAGGATGTCAAAGATATGAAAGGAGAAGAGAATCGAGAAAGCCTGTAGATTTCCTTAGTGGTAAGGCACCCTGGAGACTGATACTTGAGATGTGGGATTCTTAAGATTACTGAGCCCATTGTGGGGATGATCAATCTCTTCTGTCAATGTGATTCCCAATGAGGAGGAGATGATTATGAGGGTAGGTAAGCAGCTGAGGCCACCTCCCAACCATCTCTCCAAGCCTCAGCTTCATCATCTGGAACAGAAGTCACTTCCCCTGCCCTTGTACTTTCATAGTGGGAAACTATTTCACCTCTAAGGGAGGTTGTGGAGGTGAGGCCAGACAGGCTGAAGTAAAAACAGTCATTGTGCCTGCACGGCTGGCTTTATCTGTCCTCCTTGTGCCATGCTTATTGGCCGACACTGCCCGCCAGCAAGGCCATGGTTCCATACCTGCTAAGCCTGTCCCTGGGTCAGTCAGTTCAGAAGATAAGGGGTACAAAGAGATTCATGTTGTGTTCTCTGGATCAGCCTCTGCAACAATACAGCTGATATTCTGGTCTTGCTTGACACCTGTCTCTATGTCACCATTGTCTCAAAGAAGAAGAGATGGGTAGTCATTTCACAATGACAAGGGGAAGGGACTGTAAAAAGTTAAGTGAAAGAAACCAGGATGCAAAGTTGCATATGATTAAATGTTCACTTCACAAAGTGCCCATAAAAAGGGACTAAATGTAGATTCCCACTATGGAATATTATCTAGCTATTAAAAGACAAATGGGTTTGCTCTGTTTCTACTACTGACCTGAAGGATGGCTGTGATACATTAACAGAAAAAAAAAATTGTAGCTTTCTGCCCATGGGCGCCACTGAGGAAGCACCATTAAAGTCTCCTCCCACTGCCATCATGTCTAAGTCAGAGTCTGCTAAAGAGCCCGAGCAGCTGAGGACACTTTTCATTGGAGGGTTGAGCTTTGAAACAACTGATGAGAGCCTGAGGTCTCAAATCTCAGCCTCAAATTTTTGAGCATTTTGAGCAATGGGGAATGGTCAGAGATTGTGTGGTAAGGAGAGATCCAAGCACCAAGCACTCCAGGGGCTGTGGGTTTGCCACCTATGCCACCGTGGAGAAGATGGATGCAGCCATGAATGCAAGGCCACACAAAGTGGATGGAAGAGTTGCAGAACCAAAGAGAGCTGTCTCAAGAGGCGATTCTCAAAGACCAGGTGCCCACTCAACTGTGAAAAAGATATTTGCTGGTGGCATTAAAGAAGATGCTGAAGAACATCACCTAAGAGATTATTTTGAACAGTATGGAAAAATGAAGTGATTGCAATCATGACTGATCGAGGCAGTGGCAAGAAAAGGGGCTTTGCCTTTGTAACCTTTGACGACCATGACTCCGTGGATAAGACTGTCATTCAGAAATACCATCCTGTGAATGGCCACAAATGTAAAGTTAGGAAAGCCCTGTCAAAGCAAGAGATACCTAGTGTTTCATCCAGCCCAAGAGGCTGAAGTGGCTCTGGAAACTTTGGTGGTGGTTGTGGAGGTGGTTTTAGTGGGAATGACAACTTTGGTCATGGATGAAACTTCAGTGGTTGTGGTGGCTTTGGTGGCAGCCATGGTGGTGGTGGATATGGTGGCGGTGGGGATGGCTATAATGGATTTGGTAATGATGGAAGCGATTCTGGAGGTGATGGAAGCTACAATGATTTTGGCAATTACAACTATCAGTCTTCAAATTTTGGACCCATGAAGGGAGGAAACTTTAGAGGCAGAAGCTCTGGCCTCTATGGTGATGGAGGCCAATACTTCGCCAAACCATGAAACCAAGGTGCCTATGGCAGTTCTAGTACCAGCAGTAGCCATGGCAGTGGCAGGAGATTTTAATTACTGCAAGAAAACAAAGCTTAGCAGGAGAGGATAGCCAGAGAAGTGACGGGGAAGCTACAGGTTATATCAGATTTGTGAACTCAGCCAAGCACAATGGTGGCAGAGCCCAGCTGCTACAAAGAAGACATGTTTTAGACAAATATTCATGTGTATGGGCAAAAAACTCAAGGACTGTATTTGTGATTAACTGTATAACAGGTTACTTTAGTCCCTGTTCTGTGGAAAGTGTAAAGCATTCGAACAAAGGGTTTTAATGTTGATTTTTTTTTGCACCCATGCTGTTGATTGCTAAATGTAATAGTCTGATCATGACGCTGAATAAATGTGTCTTTTAAAAAAATAGTTGTAAAGTAACGTATACAGTATGATCCTAATAAATGGGGGAAAAAGCATGTAAAGCTTAGGAGTAAAGGTTCTAGAATCAGAATGGATGGTTTTAAATCAAAGCTCTGTCTCTTTGAGCTAAGTACACATCAGCAACTTACTTGTGTCCCAGTTTCATCATCTGTAAAATAGGGACAAAAATATTAAATTTATAAGTAGAAAGAAGAGGTCTGATATCATTGAGGCCAGTATGGTTTTCACACTAGGCATGACAGAACCTACCATAGTGCTGTGATAATAAAAGAGTGAATGCACTTAGCACACAGTAGAAGCTCGATAAACATGAGTTCTTTTTATTACATGTTACTATATGTTAGTATGATTATACAGAATGGTCTGGGATGATACATACCAGACTGCAAACATGAATTTCCTCAGTGGGGTGGGACTGGAGGGGAATTGGGAGGGTAGGAAAAAGAAAACAGAAATTATAAAACACTGAGAACAAAAAGAAAATTTACAAATGGCAGATAGGCATACAAAGAGATGCTCTATATCATATGTCATTAGAAAATTCAAGTGAAAATAAAAGTGAGAGACCACTAAGCAGCTATTGACAAAATCCAAAACACTGACAATATCAAATGCTGACGAGGAGGTGGAACAGCAGGAACTCTCATTCATTGCAGGTGGAAATGCAAAATGGTACAGCCACTTTGGAAGACAATTTGGCAGTTTCTTATAAAACTATATATACTCTTACCAAATGATCCAGCAATCACACTCCTTGGCATTTACCTAAGTGAGCTGAAAATTTATGTCCACACAAAATCCTGTACACAAATGTTCATAGTAGTTTTACTAATATTTGCCAAAACTCGGAAGCAGCCAAGATGTCCTTCAGTAGGTGAATGGATAAACAAACTGTGGTATACCCAGACAATGGAATGTTATTCAGCACTAAAAAGAAATGAGCTATCAAGCCATAAAAAGACATGGAGGAATCTTAAGTGCATATTTGTGAGTGAAAGAAGCCAATCTGAAAAGGTTTTATATACTGTATGATTCCAACTACATGACATTCTGGAAAAAGCAAAACTACAGTGACAGTAAAATGATTGGTGGTTGCCAGGGTTTAGGGAAAGGGAGGGATGAACAGGTGGAGCACAGAGGATTTTTAGGGCAGTGAAACTACTCTGTATGATGCTATACGTCATATGGTAGATATATGTCATTTTACACTTGTCCAAATCCATAGAATGTACAACACCAGAGTGAACCCTAATATAAACTATGGATTTTAGGAGAAAGTGATGTATTGATGTGGGTTCAGGGATTGTAACAAATGTACCACTATGGTATGGGATTTTGACAGTGGGGAACTCTCTGTACTTTCAGATGAGATTGGGTGTGTTCAGGGTAGTATGGCCATGGACCTACCTACTTTTTACTTAGTTTTGTTGGGAACCTAAACTGTTCTAAAAAATAAGGTCTATTAAAAGAAAAAACACTGGGGCAAAAAGCCTAAATATTAATACTAATTGCCTCCAAGTGATAAGGTTATGGATGGCTCTTCCTGCATTTCCCACATTTTCTCCTCGACTCCCAGCCTGTGCTTGTCCTGCTCTTTCTGCCTGGAACATTCTTCCCTTCCCTAACCCCAGGGAGTAATATCTACAACACTTTGGATTAAATTTCGCTGGAATTTTCTCCAGAAAGTCTGCCCTGCTGTTCTCTGTACTCTACATTGCCTGGACTTTCACCAGGTAGCACGTATTTCATGGTCTCACGGTCTTACAACTGCCCCTTACCTCCTCTAGGCCTACTGGAGCTGTCGAGGGAAGCCTATTTGATTCCTCTTATATCATAGCACAAAGTACAGCATGTGGCACAGAGTCATGTCATGAATACTGCTGAATACATGAATATGAATTACTTTGATAAATCAGAACAGATGTAGAGAAAAACAAAATAAGCAGCAAAAGAACTCAAAAAGGCGAAAGAACCCAAGCAATAAACTGTAAGTGGGAAATGGCCATGCTAACAAGTTGTGGTGGTGTCAGAAGCAAACTAAGGCTGCTGGAGAGAAGACAAGAAATGGGGAATAGAGGTTTATTGGGCAGTGTCAAGAGTGATGTGTTGAAATGCAAAGAGGGATGGGGCAAAATGGATTTCCGTGATGTGTTCCCATGACTGGCATGGTGTGAGAGTGCAGGTCAGAGTTAATAAGCCCGTTATGGGAAGAGGACTATTGACCCTGGCCTCATGGGTGAGGTGAGCTCACTACCATGTGAACTAACGGGCCCAGCATTGTCTATACTCCTTCCAGCACCAATCACTGCAACAACTTTTCAACAGCTCTGCAAACACCTGCTAAGAACTTCTGCTGGGAACCATTTCCTACATGTGTTTGTTTGTAGAAAGGCAGTTGAGCTGGAGAAAATGCTGTCAATGAGATCATACCATAGCCTGTCACTTTTGTACCTCATCATTCCGGGCAGCCTCTAGTTAATCCAAACACAGTAATTCTTTCCATTACCACATAACTAATTTTTCTGGAAAAACAACACTGTTTGAAAGTGGAGAGGCTAAGGAGAAAGGAATAAAAACAAACAAATTAACAAGACCTCTCTTGTTTTTCCTCATAAAAACATGCCACCCAGGCAGTGCAACCCGGGGACAGGTCTGCCAGCCTATACGCCCATCTTTCCCTTCCACATGTGCAAAAACACCTCAATGTTCTCCTAATCCTCGAGCAAAGCTCATGCATTTGAAGAGCTTGTGGAGACCCCTGGCAAAGTGCAGTGTTCTATTTGTAAGCAGGGCCAGGATTATTCTGGTGTCAGCTTCTGCTTCCACTCGAGTCCTTGATGCTGCCTGCACAAAGCTCTGGATCTTATTTCGAGAATTCATTTGCTCCAATTTTGTCTCCTACCTGAGGTCTCGACCCTTAGCTGAATTACAATTAGTTGCCCTGAGGATCCTGGAGGAGATTCATTTCAGAGGAAAATGCCTTCTCCTAGGCAGTGCCAATCTAGCTTGTAGTTAGCATCTATGAATTTCAGCTCTGAGAACAGCCTCTGCTAATGCAGCCCAGAGAAATCTATCTTGTAGGATGGTCCATATTTGCCGTACTTTAGACAGGCCTCTCCATAATTCTGAAATTGTTTCTCCCAAATCTCGTTTTTAAAACAATCACTGCTGAGTAAGTTTTCTTCCAAAGCTGCCTTGAGAATTTCTTCTTGAAACAAGAATAATGATTGCTTTTCTGAAAAATGCAGGCTGCAAAACATGACAGCTGAGGTGCAAGTCTGAAGGGTGTGAGGTGGGAGTCCTCCTCTGGGCTGGGTGCCTAATTGGTTGAGAAAAGGGGGCAGTGATCAGGGGGCCTCGGTTTTCATTCTCATCTGTGAAATGGGACAGTATTATTTTTCTTCTCTATCTTTTTAGGATTGGGTATGGCACCACATTGAATTAATATTTTTGCTCTCTGGAGAAACAGATGCACTTAGAGAATGATCTTGTTATGAAGTGTACCTTTTCTTTGTCAAGACTGTTATACTTTACTGGTGGGGGAGGGGGTTATTCTGTTATCTTTACCACTATGTACACTGAGGAAATTGGGATATTTAGAGGTACAAACCATTATAGGTCAGGACTAATCATGTTTGATAATGAATTCTTTTCGGCAAAAAGTTTGCACCGTAATACAATGGGAAAGTAATTTATTAAGAAGTGCCCTTGGAAATAGAAAGGAATAACGTGTTTCTGCAGATGTGTCACTTAACCACCCAAGGCGAGTGGGGACAAGGCTGCACTGTGGCCCAGATATGGGGTCTTGTCCCTCTCTTGCAACCAGCTGGCTGTGTGCTCCTGGTTAAGTCTGCCTACTGCTCCAGGCCTCGGGCTTCCCATCTGTAAAATGAGCAGGTTGAGTTACACAGTGGTTTTCATATACTTCTTTTAGCAGTGTAACTCCCCCTAGTGAACACTTTTTCAGAAAGTAAATACAGACCACACCAGGAGAGGCACCTGAACCCCACATGTGCCTGTGAGGTTCTCCATACTTCTCACAGCGTTTCCTGAGACTTCTCTGGGGCCTCTGCTGCTCTGAGGAGCAGGCACAAAGTCACGGGCCTAGATGATCTTGAAATTCTTTTCTAACTGAACAAGGAGAGATGCTTGTTTTGAATCTGGCTGAGGTCTGGTTTATTCCATGTCTGAAGGACGGATGCCCTGTGATACCCAGAGGGGGATCCTGCTGAGTGCTACAAGCCCAACCCCAGGGCAGCTGGTGCTTCAGAAAAACAGGTTACATACAGGGACCCGAGCCTGAAAACACAGATGCGGGCCAGCACCAGTCACTGCAAGAACTGCAGTGTCTTCCACAGCCACATCTGTCTTGCTGGATGAAGATGGCCCTGCTGCTGGTGATGGTTTTCTGTATGCATGGGTAGCTGCCATACATTTCCTCCCTCCCTCCTCATGCATCTATTCACTCATTCACAAACATTTACTAATCACCTCCTTCCAGACCACAAGTGGTCTAGTGGGGGAAGACCGACAATGAATAAACAGCTCAACAAACAGCCATGTAACCGCGCATGCAGCATGGTGAATAATGGTAGTGGTGCAGCCTAAATGATGATGGGATGAGGCGAGCCAGCCATTGGAAGAACTGGGAAGAGGGCGTTCAGGCAGAGGAAGGGCACAGGATCCCAAGGCAGGACAGAGCATGGTGTGTGCTGTGCTCCAGGACAGAGAGCCCTGCTGTGGCTGGGTCTTTGGGGAGTGTGAGAAAGTGAGCGCAGCCCTCACTGCCACTGCTGTGGCCCTGAGAAGGAGTACAACAAGGAGCCTGCTCAGAGCAGGCAGCCCGTACCTGAGGGAAGGCTCAGGTGTTTGTCCCCAGGTGGTGGAGGCTGTTTATGCTGCAGAAAATCAATCACTTGAGCAGTTCGCTCATTTTTTTCCCTTTCTGCTGCCCAGCTGTGAGCCCTTGGCCTGTGGGTGGCAGCTCATGCTGGGAGAAGGATGAGGCTGGGAGAGGAGACTGGGAAACAGAAAGCAGAAGAGAGGGAGCAAGAGGCAGAAGAGGACCCAGGGTCTGGGTGCTGAATCCACAGACCTAGGGGTACTGCTCCATGGCCTGTGATTCTGGGCGAATTACTTAGCTTGGGCACCTCATCTGAAAGGAGGGACCCCAAGGCTTCCCTCAGAGGCTGCTGTCAAGAATAAATGAGAGAATATATGGGCCTGGCATATTGAGCTTCTCCCCAAAATGGGGGCTGCTATTATAAAGAGAGGGGTGAAGGGACAGGGACATATTTTAGGCGGAGGTTGAGACCAGAGACTGTTTGCTCAGTGTTTTACAGTTTGCAAAAATCTTCTTCCCTACAGAAAGGAAAGACATACCTGCACCCACACATCCGTCCTGTACATGCACCTCTGTATACTCATCCCTGACTCCCCTTCCTGCACACCAACCATAAGGAATGTCCACAACAGAAATGATAACAAGCTCAGATGTCTATCTTTAATGTTCACTCTGTGCCAGGTACTGTCCTAAGCACTTGATAGACATCTATTAACTAATTTGACAGTCACAGCCACCTAAGAGGTCGTAGGTACTATTGTGATCCCATTTTATAGATGAGGGAACTAAAGCTCAGAAAGGGGAAGTGACTGGGTCAAGGTCACAGAGATAGTATGTAGCAGGGCCAGGATCAAAGATATAGATATTGCCAGGCTCTCTGCCAAACAGCAGGACTATGGGATGAGGAAGGCACACCCCCACCACCAGCAGGCTCATAGGCCTCGCTTTGTGGACACAGATAAATCTCATATAGTGTGCTCAAGGCTTACTGTTAGTACTTCCAGGGTGGAAGTACTAAGAAAACTGGAGAACCAGGCTCTGGTTCATCAAACACGTAGTAAGCACCTACTGTATGCCTAAGGAGCTGGGATCAGTGGTGAACAGGACCAATGTGGTAGTCCCTGCAATCAAAATAGACAGTCTAGTAGGGGAGGCACACAACACACCAATGTTCACACAAATATGTATTTTAATTCCACCTGTGATAAGTGGTAAGGAAAAGGAAGGAAACGTAAAGGGTAGCACGAGAATGAGTGTATGTCAAGAGTTAGGGAAGACTTTATAGACCGGGTAAGAACTGAGTTAAATGTCTACACACACACAAACACACACACACACACACACACACACACACCCTCTCTGTCTCTCTGAGGCCTCTGTACTAAACGCATGTAATTAAGAGTGCGGTATTAAAACGGGGCGATGGGCAGGTGAGCCGCTCCTGAAACTGTCAGCTGCAATTATTCTGGAGTGCACGCATACTCCCTCTCTTCACTGCTTATTAGTGCCTCTGCAAGAAGGTGAGCAGAGGAAAGGGCTTCTCTTAATTTTGCTGCAATTGGTGAAAGCTTTGATGCAAAGAATAAGCTTGAGGCCACTGGCTGAAGGGCAATTTCCTCTTAGATTTCACTTTTGGCCCCATCTCTGTGTCTCTTAAACCCGAGACTGAGTTATTCCACAGGGTAAGACTCACAGCTAAGAGGCTCTGGATGTAGCTAAGATCACATGCTTGGGGCCAGACATGGTTCGGTCACCACATGACTACATGAGAGCTGTGTGACCAAGGGTAAGTCACTTAACTTCTCTGGGTCTCAGTTTTCTCATCTGTAAAATGGTGTGCCAGACACTGCAATCCCAGCTGGGCTTACTTGACATCTCTAATCCACTTCTCCCTTTCCTAACTCACCAAAGAGGCCACAAACCAAAACACTCACATTCCCTGCCTTCCTTGCAGATAGGGGTGCCCAGATGTCAGAGATCTGGCTGAGAGTCTACAGGACACTTTCCTGAATTAGAAGGCAAAACCTTGACAGATGAAGGCTTTGTGCCCTTTGCTCTCCACCCTTTTCCCTGCCTGAAAGGCAGACTTGCCAGAGGTACCATTTTGTGACCATGAGGATGAGGAAGCAGAAACAAAGAAACAGCCTGGTTCTTGGATGACAGCGCTGAGCAGCCAGTTGTACCAGTCCTGGATCTCTTGTTATGCAATATTTAATAAATAGATAGAGACAGATAAGTGAATGAATCCTTACACTTGTTTGAGTTATTGTTTATCAAGTTTTCTGTTTTTTTTTTTTTTTTGCAGTTAATACATTTCTAAACAGATATGCAGGGGATAAAAATGGCAGTCACTTCATGAGTTGTGAAGATTAAATGAGAAAATGTGTGCACAGTGCAACGTCCAGGCATTTAGCCAATGATGGCCTATATGTTGATGCTGCTAAAGAAGGGAAAACCTGCCATCCCTTTGGTGAGTCGCCAGATGAAGCACAGAGGGTGGGAGGCTGGGTGGGACGGATCCTACCTCGATCACTGAAGTCGTCGACCAGTACAATCTCGGCGACCAGCTCTGGAGGCGAGCGATTGAGCACACTGTGGACGGTGCGGAGGAGGGAGGACCAGCCCTCGTTGTGGAAGGGGATGATGATGCTTGTGTTGGGAAGTGTCTCCAGGTAGCGCTTGCTGTTGCAGCTAGAGGGAAACATAAGGGGAGGCAGAGGACAGGGTCAGCTCTCCTCCTGCCAAGAGAACTCAGGCACAGGGTTTGGCTAACTGCAAACCCCACTTCCTCTCCAGTCTTTAGGGAATGAGCAAAATCCAGGGATACCTTGGTCACACAGGAACTTCTACATGACATCCCAAAGTCCTACCTCCAATCTCTGCATATACAGCACACGCGGATATGTATAAAAGACCTCCCTGAGTTTGAATAGTTGTGATTTCATGTGGAGGACTGCCCTACAGTAACACTCTGGCCTCTCTGTCCAGCTGTGATATTGTGATTTATAATAAGAACTATAGACTTTGGTCTTTGTCCCTGGTTCCTGGCACAGAGCTTCTAAAACTTGTCATTTCCTAAGCAAAAGGAGTGCTAGGAAAATCTTATGTTCTAATATTTCGTCTTTGACCCCAGTTCTTGATGCAGAGCTCCTAAATCTCTTGGTGTTTTCTGGGTGACAGAGGCATCTTTTGTTCTAATGAGGTGACTCTTGGTGGGCTCCAGGAGGCGGGGTGGTCACCAGAAAGAACATGCCATAATTAGAAGCTTGGAACTTTCAGCCCCAACCCACCATCCTCCAGGAAGGGGACAGGAGCTGGAGATCATGATGATAATTGATCATGCCATGTGATGAGGCCTCCACAAGAATGTAGGAGGTCCTTCCCACAGACCCTGCCCTATGCAGCTCTTCATCTGGCTGTTCATTTGTATCCTTTCTAATATCCTTCATAATAAACTGGTAAACGTGTTCCCCTGAGTTCTGTGAGACACTCTGGCAGATAATCAAATCTAAGGAGGGGAACCACCAATTTACAGCCGGCTGGTCAGAATTACCCAAGGTCTGGATTTGCAAATGGCATCTGAAGATTGGGGGTGAGGGATAATCTTGTGGGACCAATCCCTTTACCTGTGGGATCTGACTCTAACTCCAGGTAGGTAGTGTCAGAATTGAATTGAATCACAGGACACCAGGCTGGTGCTGGAGAATTGCTTGTCGGGGAGCCCCCCTCCCTGCCCCACACATTTGGTCACAGAAGTATTCTGTGTTGCATGTGTGAACAGAGAGGAAAAAACAGTGAGTTTGTTTTTTCATATTACACATTCCTCTCCAATGGAGGAGAAATGATTTATCCATGAGTTTGGAAGAATAAACTGGGCTTCAATGGCTCAGCCCCTCCTCTCTCTCCCTGGGCTCTAGTCTCCACCAGCCCCACGGTAAGCTTAGGGGTGGAAGGCCCTGCCCCTTGTGCGTCTTTCATACCATTATAACACCCAGAAGAATTAACATTGTTCCTTAATATCATCAAACATCTAGTTGGTTTGCAAATTTCCCTGATGTTACGTCTTTCTATAGTTGGTTTGTTTAATACAGGATCAAAACAAGGTCCACGTACTGCATACAGCTCATGCGTCTCCTAAGTCTCTTTTATACATAAGCTTCTGCCCTCCTTTTTTTTTTTCCCCTTCGATTTGTTTGTTGAAGAAACTGGGCTATTTATCTTATAGGAGTCCCTGCAGTCTGCATTTTGCTGCTTGCATCTCTGTGGTATCCTTTAAACTGTTCCTCTGTCTGTCCCCCTTTAGTTCTTGTAAACTGGTAGTTAGATCTATAAGCTTGACCTAATTCAATAAGCTATTCTGACAGCCTCTTCAAAGGTGGTGGTACAGGGATCCCTTAGGAGACACATTGTGTCCAGTTGTCTTTCCTTTTGTGATAATCGATGCCTAAATATTTTATTTCATCAGGAGTTTGAAAAACGATTACATTCTAATTCTATTACTCCATCTTCATTTACCAGCTGAAATTCTTCTATAGAGAAAACTTTACCACATCAACTATTCGTTCACCCCAAAGTATAGGAAAGGCAGGGTAAGTTCTTGATTCTTTACAAGTCTTTAGAATGAGCTGGTTCCCCAGCATCCTCCAACGATGGTCAATTATGTTAACTCACAAATGGAAACATAATTAATGTGTTTCAATCAAATGCAGTTATTATTCTTACTGGTTCCCAAATAAACCCATCTTTAGCCAAAAGGAGTCTTCTCAGGTTGGTTCCTGAGTCCTTTGGACATGATCAGAGTACTGATAGCTTCTTTGTTTTACGATAAAAGATACGAAAATATTCCCCAGGCTTAACTCACACATTTCCTGCCCTAACCTGGAATCAGCCATTCTGCCAAAGAACTTTTAATCCTTCATATCATCAATATCACCATTCGGATGCTGCAACATGAGCACTAAGGGTGTTCCTTACTACTAGGTTGGTTATAGTTTCTATGCCTTTCCAGTGGTCAGAACTACAAATATATTTTATTTTTTATTTTTTTGAGACAGGGTCTCAATCTGTCACCCAGGCTGGAGTGCAGTGACACAATCTCGGCTCAATGCAACCTCCATCTCCCAGGTTCATGCCATCCCACCTCAGCCTCCCAAGTAGCTGGGACTACAGGTGCACGCCACCCTCTGCCTGGCTAATTTTTGAATTTTTTTGTAGAGACAAGGTTTCACCAAGTTGCCCAGGCTGGTATGAATATATTTTAAACAATACATTATGAGTTTAAGCAGAAATTTTATATTTAACATATAGAATTACTGAGTTTTACTGAACTCTAATTTTATATTGTATCTCCTTTGTATTGAGATATAATTCACATACCATAAAAGTTACTCTTTTATAATTTAGTAGTTCTTAATATATTCACAGAGTTGTGCAAATATAACCACTGTCTAATTCCACAACATTTTCATCACTCCTAAAGAAACCCTGTGTGTACTAGCGGTCATTCCCCATCTTCCCCTCCTGCCAGCTAGCTGCTAGCAATCCCTAATCTGCTTTCTGTGTTCATGGATTTTCCTAACCTGGACATTTTATATAAATGGATTCATATTTGAGGCTTTTTGTGTCTGGCCACACTTGGTGTAATGTTTTCAAAGTTCATCTATGTTGTAGCATGCATCAATGCTTCATTTCTTTTTCATAGCTGAATAATAGCCCATTGTATGAATTCACCACATTTTATTTATCTATTCATCAATTAATGGATATTTGGGCTGTTTCCCCCTTTTGGCTATTATGAATAACATGAATATGAACATTCATGTGCAAGTTTTTATGTAGACATGTTTTCAATTCTGTGGGTACATAGCAAACAGCTGGATTGCTGGGTCAAAGGTAACTCCATTTTTAACTTTGTAAAGACCTGTCAAATGATTTTCCAAAGTGATAACACCATTTCACATTCCCACCAGCAATGTGAAATGAGATTTCCAGTTTCTCCACATCCTCACCAATTCTTGCTATTGTCCATCTTTTTGATTATAGCTATCCTAGTGAGTGTGAAGTGGTATCTCCTTATGGTTTAATGACTAATGATGTTGAGTATCTTTCCATATGCCTATTGGCCATTTGTACATCTTCTCTGGAAAAATGGCTAGTAAATGTATATTTTACTTTCAGGTTTTTTTTTTTGCTAGTGTGTAGAAATACAATTGATTTTTGTATATTAATTTTGTATCCTGCAATCTTGCTGAGCACATTTATTAGTTCTAATAATTTTGTATAAACTCCTTAGAATTTCTTAGGTACAAGATAATGTCATCTACAAATAGAGGTAATTTTACTTATTCCTTTCCAATATAGATGACTTTTTATGTCTTTTTCTTGTCTAATTGTCTTGGCTGGCAACTCCAGTACAATGCTAAACATAAGGCAAGAGCACACATCCTTATCTTGTTCCTGATCTTAGGAGGAAAAGCTTTCAGTCTCTCACCAGTAAGTAAGATGTTAGTGTGGGTTTTTCACAGATGCACTTTATCAGCTTGGAGCAGTTCCTTTCTATTCCTAGTTTGCTGAGTGTTTTAATCCTCGAAAAAGAAGTGTTGGATTTTGTCAAATGGCTTTTTTTTTTTTTGCATCTACTGAGATGATTATGTAAGTTTTGTCCTTTATTTTATTAATATGATGTATTTACACTGATTTTCATATATTGAACCAGTCTTGCATTCCTGCAACATCCTACTTGGTCACAGTGTATAAACTTTCTTATATATTGCTGAATATGGTTTGCTAGTATTTTGTTGAGAATTTTTGCATCAATACTTATAAGGCACGCTGGTCTATAGTTGTTATGTCTTTGTCTGATTTTATTGTATCTCTTTTGCTAAAAATATAAATTCTTAACATTAATATAGCTACTTATTTGCTTTTTTCTACAATATATAATAGTTTCAGAAAACAATACCAATATTATGGCTAAGAGTATGATTACAGAAAAGTTAAGATATTTGTCTCTAGCATATATATAACTAGGAATCTACAGTCAAATTTTTATGTTTTTAAGTCACTTGAAACAATTCCTCTCAGAGGCACGGTTAGGCCACCAACTCACATACATTGGGCTCATTTATTTCATTTAGCTCTTTATTTTTAGGGATTGCTTTCTGCATTTAGTTTTGACTTAATCTTGTTTTTATAATTATATTAAATATTTACATGGTTCCCAAGTCAAATCCAAAAACCAAGTAATCCAATGATTTCTGGCTTTTATCTCTAATCTTCCATCTTGTTTTTTCCCTCCTTCTAGGACTCCATTTTATTTTATGGTTGATCCTTGCATTTTTTCTTTCTAAGCAAGTCGATTTGGTCACACCACAACATTTTACAGAAATAAGGTTTATCAATTTCATTTCAATAAACTCTATGATTTAGCTTTAGTTCAGAAGAGGAATAAGAGGAGGGCAGCAACTTACTGAGTTCTAAAACAGTGATTCTGAAAGTGGTAGCATCACCGAGAGGTTCTTGTTAGAAATGCGGATTCTCTGGCCACCCCAGACCACTTGACTCAGAAACTCTCAGGGTGGGGCCCAGCAATTTTTATTTTATCAAGCTCCCTGGGTGACTTTGATGCCCACTCAAATTTGAGAATCATTACCCCAAAATATTCACATCCATAACTGGTAGATATTGGGTTCCCTGGGAACAGATCTTGAGGTGAAAATTGTTTTTTGACGGCTTCTTGGGAGGCACTCTGGGGAGATTCACCTGTAAAGAGGTGAGACAGGCAGAGGAGTGAGGAAGAGGCTGCACCCATGTGGCTGCATGTGAGCCCCTGGCCCATTTTACCAGGAACTCTGCAGCTGAGAAGGCCTTTCTAAGTGGTCCTAGAGTGAGACAAGCAGCCTGGCCTTTATATCCAAGCATCAATTAGTCATTGGGAGGGGGCATAACCTTCAGCAAGGCTGTCTAGGGCAATTCCCAGTGGGAAGCACAGCTGTGAGCTGCCCACTGCCCCTCCTGCCAGCAGCTGGGGACACTGCATCTGCACAGAGCGCTGCCTTATCACTCAGCACTGACAGAACCCCACATGGAAGGCATGATTACCTTCCCCATGTTACACACAATGAGCCTGAAGCACAGAGACGGTGTAGAAATGTATGCAGTCACACAACTAGAAACAGTAGGCTCTGAACCTGGTACTCACCCCAGAGCTTGCCCTCTCAACCATGAGGCTGACATTCACAGACCACTTTCACATCCAAATTTTCACCAGAGCCCCAGGGAGCAGGCAAGGCAGGGCTTCTATCCTCATTTCACAGAAGGTGCTGAGGCTCAAGGCAGAGGCGGTGGCCAGGAGAAGGTGGAATTCCCAGTGCTGCGGCACTCCACAGTGTAACACAGCCCTGCCCCTGTAATGGGGCTTGAAGCACTGAACATCGTAGGGGGTGGTAGCAGCATTCTGCCTGCCATACCTGGTTTCAGTACCTGACAGGATTTCAGATAATGTTCAAGACAAGCCTGCGAGGAGGAAGGGATGCTGAGGGAGGCTCAATGAGGCGAAGGAACCTGCCGAGGTGGAGAAGCACCAAAAAATAGGGCTTCCTCTTGGTTCCTCGAATATGAGCAGGGGTTCCCCTGACCTCCCTGTCCATACCTGCCCCCGCTACATACATCACCTGACTGCCTGGCTGGCTGTTCCTCATATCTCCACATCTTAGCTTGAAGGTTGCCTCCTCACAGAAGTCTTTCCTGGCCCCTCCTTCCCCAGCTGTAGGTAGGTCCCTCCTGATACTCCGTCCCAGGGATCAGTCAAAACTATGGTCCGAAGGCCAAATCCGGCAGCCTGTTTTTGTGTGACCCTCAAGCTAAAATGACTTTTACATTTTTTTTTTTTTGAAATGGGGTCTTACTCTGTTGTCCAGGCTGGAGTGTGGTGGTGCAATCGTAGCTCACTGCAGTTTCAAACTCCTGGATTCAAATGATCCTCCCACCTCAGTCTCCTGAGTAGCTGGGACTACAGGTGGGTGCCACCATGGCAGGCTAACTTTTAGAGTTTTAACAAAACGAAACAACATACAAATCAAAGTAGACTATTAAATAGAGACCCCATGTGGCCCGCAAAGCCCGTAACATTTACTATCTGGCCCGTTACAGAAAAAGTTTGCTGAGCCCTATTCAATCTCCTAGAACCCTATGCTTTTCTTCATTGCACTTTATGTATTTTATCTGGGTGTTTACTTGTCTGTCTTCTTCCCTAGAATGTAAGCTCCATGATGAGGGAAATTTTTATGCTTAGCCTAGCACAGTATCAGGCACACAGTGATCAATAAATATTTGCTGAATGAATAAATGATACCAGAGTTCAACTTCAGTCTTTTTATACCATATCCCAAGTTCTTTTGTCTCCGTATCTCTTGATTTGTAGCTGTAGGGCAGTGTGATTCTCTTGCAGGAAATGCTCTTGCCCTTGCCTGCAGGGAGGCCAGGATCCAGGCAGGAGGGGGAGTCTCAGGAATTGTACCAACATGGTGAGCTCTGGCTGAGGACATCAGCTCCTGTGGGAGGATAGGGAATTTTCCCAGGCCCAGAAGAGGGAACCTGAGGACCAGGCAGGCTCAGAAAGAACAACTGCCCACCTGTGTCTCCAGCCAGAAACCAGGCATGGTAAGCAGAGTAGCAGCCCCCAAGGATGGCCATGCCCTAATCCCCGGAACCTGTGAACATGTGTACCTTATGTAGCAAAGGGGGCCTTGCAGACATGATTGAGGTTAAGGACCTGGAGATGGGTTTGAGGAGCCAGGATTATCTAGGTGGTCCCAATGTAATCACAAGGGGTCTTTAAAAGCAGAGAACCTTTCTGTCTGCATTAAAAGATGAGACAGAAGAAGTAGAGATTTGAGCTACGAGAGGGACTCCACCCACGGTTGCTGGCTCTCAAGATGGAGGAAAAGGGTCGTGAGCCCAGGAAGATGGGCAGCTCTTAGCAGCTGGGAACAGTCGGCAGCTGATAGACAGCCAGGGAACAGGAGCCTCAGTCCTCAACCCAGACAAGCAACGTTCCCCTAGAGCCTCCCAGAAAGGAAGGTAACCCTGCCACTGACACCTTGATTTTAGCCTGGTGAGACCCACGCATGATGTATTTCTGACCTACAGAACTGTAAGAATACCTCTATGTTGTTTAAAATGGTAAGAATACATTATGCATTGTGTTGTTTAAGCTTCCAGATCCATGGTAACTTGTTATGGCAGCTATAGAAAACAAATACACGAGGAGTCGTCCTTGATACCCTTTTGCCCAGGGTGTAAACATTATTTGCAAACATTTAAAAAGTGGAAGATTCCATACAAAACCCCTCATTTCTGGTTTTTCTTAAACTTGGGCAACACTGACCCCAGAGTCTCATGCAACAGCAATGGGCTGGAGGTGACAGTGGGTGCCCCTCTCTAGGGGGCAGGTGCTGTCTAGGGGGCAGGTGCTCTCCAGACACTTCGGCTCTCACCACAGCCTCACACCAGGGCAGCTTCAGCTGTTTCATTCCCTCATGTTAGCTCCCAGATCCCTGGCGATGCTGGAATCTGAGAGCCTGGAAGTAAAAAGCATCAAGGGAAGGGGCTCCAGAGACTGGTAACAAGTTCTGGGGGTGGCCAGGTGCAGTGGCTCACACCTGTAATCGCAACACTTTGGGAGGCTGAAGCAGGAGGATCACTTGAGCTCATGAGTTCAAGACAGCCTAAGCAATATAGTGAGACCTCATCTACAAAAATAAAAAAAACAAACTAACAAAAAAACAATTAGCCGGGTGTAGTGGTGGGCACCTGTAGTTGTAGCTACTTGGGAGGCTGAGGTGGGAGGATCATTTGAGCCTGGGAGGCAGACGAGGTTGCAGCGAGCCAAGATTGTGTCACTGCACTCTGGGTGACAGAGCGAGACCGTGTCTCAAGGAGAAAAAAAAAAAGTTTTGAGGAGAAACTTGTGACATCTCAGGGCAATGCATGTAACAACAAAGTCTCTTTGTATGCCATTGCAATCTACTGTTCAACTGTCAAAATGGGCAGGAGTCACTTTGCAACTTACTTTGAAATGCATCAAAACGTATAGTGGATTGAGGGGTGGAGAGAGGGTTAGATAGAGATGTGATCAAGTAAGTAAACCAATGCTAATTATGGACATGATGGGAACATGGGTGTTCGCTGTATAATTCTTTCAATTTTTCTGTATGTCTGATAATTTTTAGAAAGAAATGCTGAGGGAAAAAACAGGTCAGAGTCCAGAGACTTCTTAGTTTCAAATTGTACCTCTGCTAGAGGCACCAAGGGAAACTGTGGGAGGGAAGATATGTCCTTGCCCTGACTTAACCGTTGCATCTGGCAGAGAGCTCATTCCAGCTGTGTGAACAGGACTCCCCTGATTCCAGTAGTCCAGTTCTGATGGAAAAGTCAGCCTCTCTCCCTTTGGGACCTTCCAGACTTCCTTCACATCCTCTCTTGCTTTACCATCTTGCTGGCCTCTTTTTATCCAGTCCCCACACAGCCTTCCTCTGCCCTTTCCCCTTCTCTCTAATCCTTTTGATCATTTCATCCAGCATTCTCTGGGAATCTGCTCCAACTTCATTATGTTGGCCTTCACAAATAAATGAAACCACCCCTTCTTAAAAATCCCCTTTCCTTAACTCAGCTGAATCCTTTGCGGCCAAGAAAGACTGGTGATATCTGGTTTTCTACAAAAGTTCCTGCCTTAACATCTAATTTCACAGGAGGCTTGCTTGATTGAAGCAGGGTTGGGGGCGGGGTGGGGTGTTAGCTATAATAAATTGCCTGGGGTCCACGGGTGAAATACAATATAGCTATTACACAGCAGAAAGCCCTCACTCACTCCAGGCCCAGAGCCGGGCCCCACAGCCTGCAGTTAGACACACAAACACCATCATGCATTAAGGGAAGTAGACAAAGCCACAATAGACTAAATTCACTTCTAATTTAATTCAATCATGGAATTAAAGATTATTCAGAACTCAAATAAAAGGCTCAGCTTGGATCACAGCCCTGAACGTGTGCCTGTCTTTTAAATTTTTTTTGATCTCTCTTTCTCTCCCTCCTCTATCCATCCATTCATTTCCTAAATAAACACAAAACTTAAATTCGACTTTTGCCATGAGCACTAGTCATTAGTTTGGTCCCAGCTTAGTAGAGGTTCTTTGTTTAAATAAAAAATTGTGTGACCTGCTCAAATTAATCTCTCCAGTATCCAGCAGGGTACCTGGCTCTATAGACCTGCCCACAAGCCACCTTCCAGTTGAGAGCCCAAGCAAAGCCCCTTTTCTCCGCCTCTTATTAGGCTGCAGATCACAGCAGACAAAGGGGACCTGGGGACGACACAGAAGAAAATAGAAAGCCGCCACTCACACCAGTGACACTCCCATCTTAGCAGCCCCACTTAAGACTTGTCTACATGTTGTGTTTTAGGATCTCAACACTGGATGGTGGAGTGTGCCCTGTTCTTTTGTGTATGATAAACAAGAAGCATCCTTTTGTCCACATGTCCTCAGAAAGGAGCCACAGGGAAAGGGGCCTAGGGCACTGCTCCCATTGCAAAGAGGCTGGGCATGGCTACCACTGTGGGCCAGGCAATATAACCTCTGCTGCCTCATGGCTTACGCCTGACAGTTTAGAGAGCACTTTTCCCTCTCTCTCCTCTAATCTGTACCATATTCAAATGAGGGAGATGAAGCAGAGAGTGTTAACCCCATTTTCCAGATGAGGAAAATGGAGCTCAGAGGGGTAAATGAGTTGGATTCAGGCCTCAAATCCAGGTAGTATTTATTTAAAATAATATTTTTTAAAAATTTCAAAAGTGATCATTGCTAAGCACAAAAGTCTGGAAGACAGAGGGGCTCAAAGGAAAACTGGCAATAGCAAACATACTGTCCTGCCGCTAACATGTGGGGCTGATCTCTGCTAAACATTTGGGATGTGTCCTCTCTGTGTTCTCCTCTGCACATGTGCATTTGTTTTTACAACATGGCATAAAGCACACAGACTCTTCTGTGTCCTCCCTCTGTTTCCCTCACCCTAGATGGCATCCAGGTCTTTGTGGGCTTCCACATGCAGCGTGGCCTCCTGAGGTGCTTGGAAGAGTCTCTCTGGGGTCAGGACCAGGCAGAGTGATGGTCCAGCTGAGGGTCAAAGCAATGGTAGTCTGAAACTTCCAGCACACAACCTCAATGTTGAGGCCCTCTTGAATCAATACTTCTGACCCCCAAAGGTACTGTGAAAGAAGAGACTTCTGTGGAGTTTAGAATTTTGCAACTGAGAGTTGGTGGAAACATTTTCTCTGTTGCAAAAGCACTTTCACTATCCTTTGGTTTATGGTCTGATTAGGTTTCAACCCTGAATGCGCAAAGCTTAGTGAGAGGTGTACAGCACAGGGACAAAGACACACAATTGGGGATGTTGATTGACACACATTGAAATAGTGAAAAGAGCAGAAACAGTGAATGTCCACCAATAGGGGAAGATTAAATAAAAGATGAAAAATTCAAACTATGGAATGCTGATAAGCAGTTAAAAAATAAGGCAGAAAGTGACAATGACAATAATAGAAAACATCTGTTGAGGATTTCCAATATGCCAGACAGTGCTGTAGGCACTTAATATGCATTAAGTCATTTAATTGTCAAAATAATCTTACAATGTAGGGAATATAATTCTCATTACAAAGAGGAAGAAACAAGATAGAGAGAAGAAACTTGCCTATGGTCAAATAGCTGGCAAGGAATGAAGTCCAGATTTAAACCCATCTGTCTTTTATATATATATATATATTAGTATTTTATAGGGATAATTTATCAATCCTATTAATTGTATCAGCAAAAAAGAATGACTAGCTAAAAAGCAAATATTGAGGAAACTAAGTAGGTGTTTGAAATCGTGGCTTCTAGCCTTTGCTCTGCCATGCAACAATCCAAGTCAACAATCCATGCAACTGAGGTCCCAGCTGGACCTCAGTTTCCTTTTATGTCAATGAGGGAATGGGCAAGTCTGCATTTCTTCTCTTTCTCTTGGTAGCAGCAACCCGATTTTCCTTGGGGAATCTCCTACACCTCACCTGTATAGGGCTGGGGTGGAGCTGACTCATTCCTTGCCTTGAGGGTGGCCAAAGGAGCCTGGCTTAGCCAGTCATAGCATGTCACCTCTCCAGCCCCGTTATAAGTAGTTCTAGGACAGGCACCTGCAAATCAGAGAAAGTCTTTGCTGAGACAACTGGGAAAGACGCAAGTTCTTTTCTGTTGAGATTGAACATGGGAGGATATATATCTGGTCTGCCTGGGGCAACCATGTGGACTGTTCCTTGCCTCAGAATGAAGTTAACAGAGTGGAAAACAGAGCCAAGAGTTGGAGAGAGAGATTCCTACTGGCATCAGTCGGGGACCCGGATCGAGCTATGACTGAAGCCAAGGTCTATTCCTGGCCTTTTCAGTTATATAAACCAATACATTTTCTTTACTTAAGTCAGTTTGAGTTAGGTTTTTTGTCATTTACAACTAGAATAATCTTTGCTGATTTAACTTGATAATCCCCAGGTATATTCCGTCAAATGAATCTGTTTTGGACCCAGCGATGGCTTCTGAAGGACAAAGAGGCACAACTGTTGCCCAGACTTTACCTCTGATCTGAAGTGGGCAGGTTCTGTCTGCTATAGGAGAACTTTGCTTGTTCACCGACCAGGAGAAAGTGACCTGGGCAGAGGGCCATGATGGGATTGGGAGGAAAGGGAGATAACTCAGCTTGCTTGTGACCAAACAGCTCCTAATTTAACACTCCCTAAAGGATTCTGAGCTCTTGGGACACAGAGACATATATAATATACTAAGATGTACCATCAGGGCTTAATGCTGGAGCACTAGAAAACAAAAGTCAAAATACAAGAGAAGTATTTCAAAAATCTTCTCTCTGAGTAAACTTTGAAATAGAACAATCCAATCATTTAAAAGGGAACTATAACATACATTCAATTCCCTGGCATGGGACACCATCCACAGATCAAACTGAAATGTAAGTCAATTGAACAAACCCAATATTGTATGTGCCTAAGGGAGCAAGAATGCTCTGGACCTGGGTTCAAATCCTGACTCTGCTCCTTTGCAACTGTGAGACCCCGGCAAGTTCCTATCCCATGATGAGCCTCAGTTTCCTTATCTATGGAATAGGGATGGTAACACCATGAGAATGTCATGAGAACCAAGTGAGACAGTACATTTAAAACAGCCATGGGGAGGGATAAGTAGCTGGCTGTTCTTGGAGATGGGTAAATGTGGAGGACAACTCACAGCAAAGATTTCACAGCTCCTGATTTCAGTTCTCTCAGAATCAGGGCTGGCCATCCCAGGAAGGGCATGGGGCTTCAGTAAGGCTTCACTGAAGAGTTCTGCTCTAGTAGACAAGAATCCCACTTTTGGTACCTCAGGCTTTGGCCAGCTCATGACTCAAAACATTCTCATTTGCTCACTGCCTTGCATCATTCATGTATTCAAGAAACGTAATACTGAGCACTTACAATGTGACAGACACTATGCTAAGACCTGGAATTAAAATGGCAGGAAACAAGCTGTCGTTCCTGTCCCGTGGGATACACAGTCTAATCAGGGTTGTGGGGGACAAGCAAATAACATAAACAGTAATAAATTATGATAATTTCTTTCTGCCTTCCTGTGTATGGCTGTGAAGTGACAGCAAAATGAAAACAGCCTAGAAAGGCACAGACTGAAGTGTTATTAGTGGCACAGCCTCATGCCCAGGCCTGTGCCTTGCCATCAACAAGCACGCCATGAATAGTTGCTGAGTTGAACTGGAGTTGGAAGGTGCCTCGTCCAACCCTTCTGTTTTCCAAGTAAGGTAGTGAGGCTTAGAGGAGCTGCTTGGTGATCCCAGACAACGTGGCCAGCTGGGAGGTGGACCTGGCTCCTCAGTTTAGTCCCAACACAAAGAGAAAATCTTTTGGAGACCCTGGATGTAAATAACAAATCTAAATCAGACACAGTTTAAAGGAGCCAGTGTCTGCTGTTATGTTCCAAGTGGTGCCTGTTGGCTTGGCAAGTCCATGGGGGGCTGACCACACAGCCTAGAGAAGTGGGATCTTCAAGAAGATTCAATGAACTTCAGCAACTAAAAACTCCCACTAATAAAAATGTGGATGCCCTAAATATGCTTGATGATGTCCATTCAATGTTCATTCTCTTTTCTCAGAAGTAGTTTGGTATGGACTTGGAGCCAAAAAGACCAAAGGTTATTAGCTATATAGCCTTGGGCAAGTTATCAAACACCTGCTTAGTTTCTTCCTTTATAAAATGGACTTGTAGGTTTGAGCTGAGAAGTGAATAAGAAAGGAACATGTTGGTGCTCTGTAAACAGGAGGGTCATCAGGTACCATCTTGGTCCAACAAGGAATTTATATGCTGATCAGGTCAGTCATGGGGCCTACCTTGCCCATGCCTTCCCTTCTGACAGAAATGACCAAGCCCACAGCCCTGGCTGAAGAAGGAGTCCTGGGTGGGCTCTATGATTGCCCCTTACCTGGCCACAGTTGTTTAGGGCAGAAGCAGAACTCTGACTCAGGGCCGCCAATCCATTGACTTGCCAGGGGTCAATGGCCTTGCAAGAAATCTGTGCCCAAATGAGGCTCACCAGACCAATCAAATTCTCTTTCTTGAGGACACAACCTTGATGTATGGAAAGAATGTCACAGAGCTAATGAGGGGAGCAGACAGAGCTACACAGAGGAGAGCTAAGGCCTCTTAATGGTGGAATCCAGAAATTCCTGGTGCTGAGGAGATCATAAGAGAACCTGGAGGCCAGCCTTGGAAAAATTTCCCCTTTCAGGCACTAAGAGGCCTGTCTGTGCCGTGGCTCCACCTCCTTCCCCTGCGGGGCTTGGCTGTGTGGCCTTTCTCACATTCCACCTAGAAAACATTCCCATTTCCCTCTATTGCCCGTGATTCCTTGCATGGGATACTCCATTAGCTGAGGTAACCATGAAGCCAAGGAATTCTGTCCTATCTCTAAATCTGTTCCCTGGATTAAAAAACCAAGAGTAAGCATCCAAAAGTTGTACTACAGCTGAATCAATTATTTTTATTTTTTTTTGATTGTGAAAATAATTGGATTCTTTTAGAGTTAAGATTTCTAAACTTCAGAAGTACCACTAATATGGAAACCTGGACTTCCAGGTCATAGACACTGAGACTGCTAGGACACACTGTTGTTGTTCTACACGATTTGCAAGGCCCTATCAACACTGAACCAACTGGGCCATCATGACATTAAGAGCAATTACTTGTAGTTCACAGCACTTCACCATCTCTATGCTCTGCACATTGTGGCAAATTACTCTTCAGCAATTTCAGTCTTTTTTTTTTAAGGAAATTATCATTTTAAAAATTGTCAAGTGACTCTTGTTTGAAAGCTTTTAGTGCTTGGACTCCTAGATAAACAATCATCTTCTGGAAAGGGGTACCACTTTAGCACTTTCACATGGTAACCAAATCCAACATACCCCCCTTTGCCAAGCAGATGACAATTTTGGATTTTCCCTTAACGAGATGGAGCTGGTTGGGAGCTGGTTTGTATGTTGTGGGAGGCGGGGAGGCAGATAGGCAGACGCCAGCATCTCTTTGGGTTGAGGACCAAGGCAGAAAGCCAACTACCATTCCCAGGCCACATACGGAGCTTTAACCTGAAAGGCCAATCAGAAGCAATGAATATTAAGTCTGGAAAGCCTGACTCTCATATCATTTGTGCTCCTTGGTTTAAAGATGAGGAAACTGAGGTCTAGAATGAGGAGGGACCTTCCCAGGGTCACAGAGGGAGACAGCATATCCACATCTCAAACAGTGGCCCTTGGTCCAAGGGTAAGAATTCTAGGAAGGGCACTTCCTTGGGATGCAACTACAGGTGTGGTGAGGGAAATGGATAGGCTGAAGAGACACTCAGATCTGGGTTCAAAATCCATGTCTGTCACTTAGTGGCTGGGTCACCTTGGGAAAGTCATAACCTCCCTGAGACTTAGTTTCCTCTTGGGTAAAATACATCCTTCCTGTTAAGGCTGTCACAAGGAATAAAAGAGGTGCCATATGTGAATGCACCTGGTACAGCATCTGGAATGTAAATTTAGTTTCCACTTTACAGAGGCCACGGTATAGGTCATTTTCCAGCAAATGGTGTAAGTTCAAAATTCTAGGATTTTCTCCTCTCTATTCTGCAAAAAGGACAGTCCCTTAAAATATAACATTCTCAGAAAGACTATGTCCAGTCGTCTTGGAGCCATCAAGAAACTGACTAAGTGGAAGTCAGAGACAGCTCCACCAGAATAAGAGGCAGAAACTGAGTCTTAGTGGGTAGAGTGTGAAAAGTCCCTGTTCCCTTTCCCCCATCCTCCCTCGAGCTGCAGACTTAGGCCTTCTCCTGACACATACTGATTGTAAGCCTCTTTCCTCAGCTCAAGGCTCAGGCTCAGCTCTCCAGCCCTTCTCTACCCTCCTCTCGGGGATGAGACAGACATGAGCTTTCTCTTTAACACAGTCTGACTGGAATAAAAGGACCCAAAAGATTACTTGACAACGTGTGCCAAGGCTGACATCTTTATGAAAGCCCTTTGCCATTCAGGGGATGCTTTGCTGAGAGCCAGCCAAACCCACCTGCTAGTCCCTGTTCAACAGACAGCTAAGAAACACACAGAGGTTTATTCTTATTATTCATATTGTTAATTATAAACCTCAGCAGTATCAGTTTGCCACTAGTTGTGCACCCCCTGACTAGGACCAGAGATTTCAGGTACAAGGAGTGTTTAAAGGATCTTGGTTTGTGCTTTCTTTTCCTTCCTTTTGAACTTACATTTTGGGAACTGTTTTATTTAGGTCATATCTAGTTTTAAGATGGTTATAAAAACAGTACCTTTTTTTTTTTTTCAAGAGTCTCGCTCTGTCACCCAGGCTGGAGTGCAGTGATGTGATTTCAACTCACTGCAACCTCTGCCTCCCAGGTTGAAGCAATTCTCCTGCCTCAGCTTCCTAAGTAGCTGGGACTATGAGGCACTCACCATCACGCCCGGCTAATTTTTGTATTTTTCGTAGAGATGTGGTTTCACCATGTTGGCCAGGCTGGTCTCGAGCTCCTGACCTCAAGTGATCCACCTGCCTCGGCCTCCCAAAGTGTTGGGATTAAAGGCATGAGCCACCGCACCCAGCCTAACAATAACATTTTAAAAAAATCTAGTGACAGTTTCTTCACACTGCTGTCCCACATGATAAAATTTTTGGCCCTCCTACAGATGTAACATGCAATATATTCCACATACTCAAGCTTTAAACCAAGGATGACAGCAGGAAAGAGGAACTCTAATGGATGAATATGGTGTGCAAGGCACAAAATAACCCTAAGGACCACACCTCACATCCCAGTGAGCTGCCAGCTGCCAGGCAAACATTCCTTAGAAGGAAATGGACTTTAATATCAAGTTTCTTGATGATTCATAAAAGAGGAGAAAAGAAGAAATAAAAATGTAAAGATATGTGTTCCAGGATGTTTTTTGCCACACTTTTTCCAGAAGCAAGGACCTGGAAATGACCTGTATGTCTGTCTACAGAGGAACTGTTGACTAAATTATATTCCTATGGAATATTACACAGCTATTAGAAATATCTTAAAATGTGACCACAATATATTAAGTGAAAAAAGTACTTGTAGAATAAAACACAATAGTACAACCACATTTTTATAAAACAAAACAAAACCCTAAGCCCCATTCATATGTCTCTATATACTGTATAAGCAAAGAAAAAACTATAGAAAGCTACTAAACTGTTACAATTCATTACCCAGGCAGACTTAGGATTGGAGCGTAAAGTGGGGGGATAGAGAGGGGAGAGGGACTATTGATTTCTTCCCCTGAAAGGTGTGGAGAAGGAGGCTTCCAATCAAGAAAGAACTATGTTCTCTTCTATGTAACAGTGCTCCTAAGCTAAGCTGTTCTGCTTGTCTTATCATCACACTGCCCTTGATACCATCTTAATGAAGGGAGAGAACTGATAATCACTCTTATCTTCCAGTCATTATTTTCTTTTTGCTTAAACCCTTTCAAGGCCAACACCACTTAGAAATCAAACTCATCTCTGTAACCAATTTTGCTGAATGCTATTTATCTGCTCCTGGACAAGAACATATTACCTTCTGCATGGTGAATGCGATGCATGCAGAGGAGTCGGCTGGTTGTGTTTGCTGGATTTATGTAGCAAATACCACTCACTAGGCCTGGTCCAAGTACCTTCATGGACAGAGGATTCAGATTTAAAAACGTTTCCCTCCACCGGGTACGGTGGCTCATGCCTGTAATTTCAGCACTTTGGGAGGCTAAGGTGGGCAGATCAACTCAAGGCCAGGAGTTTGAGACCAGCCTGGCCAACATGGTGAAACTCCATCTCTACTAAAAATACAAAAATTAGCCTGGTGTGGTGGCGTGTGCCCATAGTCCCAGCTACTCGAGAGGCTGAGCATGAGAATTGCTTCACCCTGAATGGCAGAATTTGCGGTGAGCTGAGATTGCATCACTGCACTCCAGCCTGGGCAAGAGAGTGAGAATCTGTCTTAAAAAAAAAAAAAAAAGTCTCCATTCTCTGTGAGACACGGGTTTCAGGTCTCAGGTCTCAGGTCTCAGTCTGTGTATGATGCAATAGAAAAAACACAGGCTTGGATCTAGGTCGAGCCTTCTTTGCCTTCTACTAGCAGTGTGAACTGGAACAAAGGGCTGAGGTTCTCTGAGGTTTAGTTTGTGCATCTGTAAAATGGAGCTAGTGATGTTCCCCATTTGACACAATTGCAGAGAGGCTAAACCACAAAATAGTTGTAACAGTTTGTAAACCAGAAGACAATGTTGAGTATAAAAGAAATAAATCATCATCACACAACAATTCTGAATAGGAACAAGTAAGATACAACTGGCAATGTGTTCAGCACAATGCCCGGTACATCGATAAATAAATAGGAGCACTCGACAAATGGTACATGTTGTTATTAATGGAGAACACAGCATCCATTTCTAGAAGACTCAGAAAATGCATCTGTTTGCAGAAATAATAAAAAGAAAACAAGCCACACATCCAGTCACATAGATGTAAGTGGCTTTTATCTAGCATAAATTGTAGGGAGTAGATGCCCATATAATTTTTAGTTGATAGGCAGCCATTTTGCTGTAGATTATTTATCTTCACAATTTCAACTTCAGGGCTGAATTCACTGAACTCTTTTAAAAATTAGAGAAAAGAAGTCAATGTAAGAAATGTTATTGGCTGCATTTTATTTTAAGGTATATGAGCACCTTTAAATCTCAATATTAGGTCCAATGGATCAATAACTGTTATCGTGGAAGAAACACCACTGTTCAGAAGGGAGTCATTTAATTTCAAAGGAGAAGAGCTGATTTAAGTCTCCTAAAAAACCAGTGATGTGGCCAGGCACGGTGGCTCACGCCTGTAATCCCAGCACTTTGGGAGGCTGAGGTGGGCGGATTACCTGAGGTCAGGAGTTCCAGACCAGCCTGGCCAACATGGTAAAACCCTGTCTCTGCTGCAAATACAAAAATTAGCCAGGTGTGGTGGGTGGTATGCGCCTGTAATCCCAGCTACTTGGGAGGCTGAGGCAGGAGAATTGCTTGAACCCAGGAAGTGGAGGATGCAGTGAGCCGAGATCACGCCTGCACTCCAGCCTGGATGACAGAGCGAGACTCTGTCTCAAAAACAAAACAAACAAACAAACAAACAAACAAACAAAAAAAAAAACAAAAAAAACCCAGTGATGGTCCAAAAAAAGAAAAACCTAGATTTTTTCCTTTCCCAGCTTACAAATCATTCCATCTACAGGCCCTCCCCTCCCACAACAGCCTCGCTAACAACCTACCAAAACAGGGAGGCTGCATTGCTCTTGAACTCTGAGTATCTCTGGGGCACTAATCTTATACTGAAGTACTCCATTATAAAGGTGTCAGGCGAGCTTGCTCTACCACATGAATCATGATAAAAAGGGTAAAAACTGCTAATAAGTACTAAATAGTCTTTGAAGCCTGTCTCTATTCTATGGAGGGTCTGACAAGCCACTCTGCACCATGGGGTGGGGGCGGGTGCAGACTCCCGTCATTCATTCCCAACAAAAAGGGTGGAAGGTTATGGGTACCGCTCTCGCCATAACCTGAACGCTGACCACAAACTCCATTACACTGCACGCCACAGACTACGTCCGGTCTTGGGTCATTTTTAGGCTTACTATCTGTTATGCCTCAGGCATTTCCTGATATTCTAGGAAGGTGAGTTAATTAAAACCACAATAAAAACACAGCAACTCAGAAAAAAATCTTGTCACTATTTCCATTTTTCACAACACAAATGAGATCATTTATTCAACTGCCTACTTGACATTGACATTTGGATGTGAAACAGTGTCGCAAACTTGTCTGCAATCAAAATCGTGATTTTCCCCAAAATTGCTCTTCCCAAAGTCATCTCCATTCCTGCAGATGGCAACTCCATCTCCCCAGCTGCTCTGGCCAAAAACCTTGGCATTATCCTTGGCTTCTCTCTTATTCTCATATCCACATTCTTGTAAGTAAATCCTGGCACCTCCATCTCCACCTTCCAAGTATGTCCAGAATTCAGCCATGGCTACTCCACTACTCCTACTGTGGACTGACTCACTCTCACGCTCCCCTGCCTTGCTGTTAACATACTCCTAACTAGTCTCCCTGCTTCCACCCTTGGCTGCCTACAGTCTATTCTTAAAATAGCAACCAAAGTGATCCTTTTAACATGAAAATCAGATCATGTCACTCTCTGTTCAAAACCTTCCAGTGGCATCCCGTCTTAGTCATTTTGGGAAAAGCTCCAGCCCCACTACAACCCGACCACCACCCAGACACCTCTCCAGCCTAACTTCTCATCATTCACATCATCAGGCTCCAGCCACACTGGCCTCCACAAGCCAGGCACAGTGGTCTCAGGGCCTTTGCATTTGCTGTTTCCTCTGCCTGCAGTGCTCTTCCCCTGGTCAACTTTCCTGCTAGGCCTCTCACCACTTCATAGCTCTGTTCATATGCCATCTTATCTGACAGCACTTCCCTGACCCCTGAAATAAAATCTACCCCATTCTTATTATTTTTTCTACCCTTTATCCTGTTAATCTTTTTTCCCCACATCACTTATTGCTATCTAAAAAATCAATCCATTTATTTGTTTGTTTATATTATGACTCTCCCACCCCTACCCCCAGTGGAATGTAAGCTCTAGGAGGGAAGGAGATTTTGACTATTTGCTCATTGCTGATTCCCTAGGACCTAGGCCATACAGTAAGCACACAAAATAGACACTCAATAGATATTTGCTGAATGAATAAATGGCTTTCAGAGACAGTTTTAAGTGACTAATATGCTTGAAATCTCTTCAAGACAGGGACTATCTCTTGATCATTTTAGCATAATAAGCCTGAGTAAGGGCTGGCTGCATTTCAGATGAGCTGCAGACTGGAGGTGGAAGGGTAGAAAGGAGCCCATAACAAACACACAGTTACCGTAGATAAAGTTCCTGATCTAGTTAGCTCTGGATACGTCAGTTGGGTGGGCATGCAAAGCAGGAGCCCGAGAGCACAGGCAGCAGCTCTGCCAACAGCTTCTCCTAGTTCTCAGGGTCTCCGACAGGGATGCACAGCTGGTGATGCCACGTGGGGCAGGAAAGCTCAATTCTTGTTACATCCCTGCCCTTTCTTGCCCCAGGCTTACATCACCATTCGAGAAGACTTCCTTTCTGCTATGGGAATATTTATGAACATCAAGTTTTCTACTCCTCGAGCCAAACTCAGCATCACCAAGGCCACATTATTATGGGGGCAAGTGGGTGGTCCCTGAATAGGACCTCAGCCACCAGCTCTGCTAGGCCCAGGATGCTATTCCCTCACAGTCCACTCCCTCCTTCTGATTCCCCACCATTTTATCTGGGTGTTTTGAATGCCGCAATGGTTGGCAAACCATGGTAACAAATCCCTTTCCAACTACATTCTACCCCACAATTATCTTTTAAAAGATTTAAACAATAAGAAAAATAGCATATATTTACCCACGTGGCTACTATTTGCAGTGATCTTTATTCTTTGTGAATAAAGATACCAGACAGAAATAATAAAAAAAAAAGATACCAGATAGAAATAGAGATCTTTATTCTTTGTGAATAAAGATCTCTATTTCTATCTGGTATCTTTTTTTTTTTGGAAGATATTTTCACTGGGTATAGAATTCTAGGTTTTTCTTTTCATACTTTATTGTTATTATTTTTCACTAAACATACAACCCTGCTCAGGGTGTACCTGTGTGACTTTGGCACACCTCTTTATCCTTTGATCTTCTAGTTGCTGACCTGAAGAAAAGTGAATAATGACGATGATACCACCTGCCCAACCCATTCATGAGGGATATTGGTCTGTAAAATTCTTTTTTTGTAATATCTTTGTCTGATTTTGGTATCAGGATAATGCTGGTTTTACAGTGAGTTGGAAAGTACCCCGTCCTCTTTAATTTTGGGGAAAAATTTGTATAGAATTATTTCTTTTTTTTTTTTTTCTTGAGATGGAGTCTCACTCTGTCGCCCAGGCTGGAGTGCAGTGGTGCGATCTCGACTCACTGCAAGCTCCACCTCCTGGGTTCACGCCATTCTCCTGCCTCAGCCTCCCGAGTAGCTGGGACTACAGGCGCCTGCCACCACGCCTGGCTAATTTTTTGTGTTTTTAGTAGAGACGGGGTTTCACCATGTTAGCCAGGATGGTCTCAATCTCCTGACCTCGTGATCTGCCCACCTCGGCCTCCCAAAGTGGGATTACAAAGCTGGGATTACAGGCGTGAACCACCACACCCGGCCAGAATTATTTCTTAAATTGTTGAAATAATTCATCAGTGAACCCATCTGGGCCTAAAGTTTTCTTTATGGGAAGGTACTTAACTACACTGTCAATCTCTTCAATAGATATAGGACTATTCAGGTTGATCGTTTCTCCTTAAGTGAGTTTTGGCAGTTTGTGTCTTTCAAAGAATCTGTCATTTCAGCGAAGCTGTTAGATGTTTTGGCACAAAGTTGTTCAGAATATTCCTTTATTATTCTCTTAATAGTTATAGAATCTATAGTTATGTCATCTCTCTCATTCCTGATATTGGTAATTTTTGTCTTCTTTTTCTCTTTTTCTAGCTGGTTAGATGTTAATCAATTTAATTGACCATTTCAAAGTGGTAAATGTTTCATATCCACTTGAAAATAATGTGTATTCTGCTCTTATTGGTGGAGTGTTCTATAAATATCAATTAGGTTATATTGGTTGACAGTGCTGTGAGAGTCTACTATATCCTTGCTGATTTTCTGTCTATCTGTATTACCAGTTATTGAGACAGAGGTGTTGAAATCTCATAATTTCATAATTGTGGCTTTTTAAATTTCTCCTAAGTTTTTTTTGTTGTTGTTGTTGTTTTTTGACCAGCTTTTGGTTTCCTTGATTTTCTGTTTCATTGATCCCTGCTTTGCCCTTTTTCACATCCTTTCTTCTGTTTACTGTGATTAATTTGCTCTTCTTTTTCTAGTTTCTGAAAGTGGAAGTTGATGTCATCAATTTTAGACCATTCTTTTTTTCTAACATAGGCATTAATGCTACAAATTTCCCCTTATGTAGTAGTTTAGTGACATTCCACAAATTCTGATATATTGTGTTTTCATTATCATTCAGTTAATAATACTTTCTAATTTTGTTTTTGATTTCTTTTTTGACCCATCTGTTATTTACATGTAAGTAATATACTTTCTAATCGTTTGGAAAGTTTAAAAGGATTATTTTGTTATTGATTTCTAAGTTTAATTTCATTGTGGTTAGAGTGATACTTTGTATCACTTGAATCCTTTTAAATTTATGAGGACTTGTTTTCTGGCCCAAAATATAATCTATCTTGGTAAATGTTTCATATCCACTTGAAAAGAATGTGTATTCTGCTCTTATTGGTTGGAGTGTTCTATAAATGTCAATTAGGTCATATTGGTTGACAGTGCTGTGAGAGTCTACTATATCCTTGCTGATTTTCTGTCTATCTGTATTACCAATTATTGAGAGAGAGGTGTTGAAATCTCATAATCTCATAATTGTGGCTTTTTAAATTTCTCCTTATAGTTTGTTGTTGTTGTTGTTTTCTGAGATGGAGTCTCGCTTTGTCACCCAGGCTGGAGTACAGTGGCGCAATCTCGGCTCACTGCAGCTTCTGCCTCCCAGGTTCCAGTGATTCTCCTGCTTCACCTTCCTGAGTAGTTGGGATTACAGGCACGTGCCACCATGCCTGGCTAATTTTTGTATTTTTAGTAGAGACAGGGTTTCACCATGTTGGTCAGGCTGGTCTGGAACTCCTGACCTCAGGTGATCCGCCCTCCTTGGCCTCCCAAAGTACTAAGATTACAGGTGAGAGCCACTGTGCCCGGCCTCTCCTTATAGTTTTATCAGTTTTTGCTTCATGTATTTTGAAGCTCACTGATTAAGTACATAAACATTTAGGATTGCTATGTCTTCCTTATGAATTACTTTTTTATTATGAATAACTTTCTTTATTCCTGGTAATATTCTTTGCTCTGAAATCTATTTTGACTGATATTAATATTGCCTCTGCAGCTTTCTTTTGACTGGTGTTAGCATGGTATATCTTTTCTGTCTTTTACATTTAACTTATTTGTATCTCTACATTTAAAGTGTGTTTCTTGCAGGGAGCATGTATTTGAATCTTGTTTTCTTATCCAATCTGACAATCTCCACCTTTTAACCAGAATAATTAGAGCATTTACATTTAATGTGATTATTGATATGGTCAGGTTAAAGTCCATCATTTTGGTAGTTTCTATTTCTTCTTCTTCTTTTTTTTTTTTTTTACAGATGAGGTCTTGCTCTGTCACTAAGGCTGGAGTGCAGTAGCACGGTCATAGCTTACTGCAGCCTCAAACTTCCGGGCTCAAGTGATTCTCCCACCTTAGCCTCCCAAGTAGCTGGGACTACAAACATATGCCACTATGCCTGGCTAATATATATTTTTTTAATTTTAGAAATGGGGTCTTGCCCAGTTGATCTTAAACTCCTAGGCTTAAGCGATCCTCCTGCCTCAGCCTGCTGAGTAGCTAGGATCACAGGTGCAAGCCACTGCACCCAGTTCTATTTCTCCTTTGTGATTTTGATTCCCTTCCTTGCTTTTTCTGCCATATTTTGGATTACTTTTTATGATTTCATTTTATCTCCTCTGTTGGCTTATTAGCTATAATTCTGTTTTGTTATTTTAGTGCTTGCTTTAGGGTTTATAGTATGTTTTTAACTCATCAGTCTACCTTCAGATGATATTGTATACTTCATACGTACTATGAGAACCTTACGATACCAGATTACCATTTCTCCCCTTCAATCTTTATGTTGGCACACATTTTATTTTACACATGTTTTAAATCCAGTAATGTTATTATTCTTGGTTACACAGTCAATTATCTTTTAAAAGATTTAAACAATAAGACAAATAGCATATATTTACCCACAAAGCTACTATTTCTAGTGATCTTCATATTTTGTAAATAAAGATCTCTATTTGTAGCTAGTATCTTTTTTTAAAAAAGATATTTTCACTGGGTACAGAATTCTAAGTTGACAGAGTTTTCTCTTTCCATACCTTATTTTTTTCTTACTAACCATAGTTTACTGACATTTCTGTACTTTAAAGATGTTGCTACACCATATTCTTCTTTGTACTGTTTACAACAAGAATTCTCCTCTTATCATTGTTCCTCTCTATATAACATGCTTTATTTCTCTGGCTGCTTTGACATTTTTTTCTTCATCACTGGTTTTTTAGTAATTTGATTATAACATGCCTTGATGTCATTTTCTTTGTATTTCTTGAGCTTGTGTTTCACTGAGTTTCTTGGATGTGGTATTACAGTTGTTATCCAATTTGGAAGACTTTCAGCCATTACTTCCTTACACACACCCTAATTACATGAATATTAGAATTTTTAAACTTGACCCACAGGTAATTGAACCTCTTTTCAATTTTTAAAATCTTTTTCTGTGTTTTGAGTAGTTTCTTTTGCTACATCTTCAAGTTCATTAATCTTTTTTTTCCAGCAATATCTATGCCATTAATCCCATTCAGTATATTTCTCATTTTAGACATTGTTGATTTCATTTCTAGAATTTCGATTTGGATCTTCTTATATCTTCCGTATCTCTACCTAACTTTTTAAACATATGAAATACAGTTACAATTAACTCTGCTAATTCTAATATCTGTGTCTACCCTGGGTTGGTTGATTGAGTGATTATACTTGTCACTGTGGGTCATGTTTCTCTACTTTTTTGCATACCTGATAATCTTTGATTGGGTTTCACATTGCTTAGTAGTGAATATTTATGTATTGATGTAAGTATTATCAAGCTTTGTTCTGGGTGCATTATATATTTGGAAACAGTTTGATCCTTTTGGGTAATAATTTATGATATTTTTAGACTGGTCCAGAGCACTGTTTAGTCTAGGGCTGATTAGATGCCACTAAGGCAAAACTCTTCTAAGTACTCTACCTGATTCCCCATGAGTTATGAATTAGGAGGTTTTCCAGTCTGGGTGGTGGGAAGAGGAACTATTTTTGGCCCTGAGTGAGCACTATGCACTGTTCCCTAAAGCCCTTTAGGGTGATTCCTTTCCCAGCCTCAGATAGCTTCCTCACGGCAGGTGCTGATCAATAATCCACTGAGTGTTTGAGAGGACTCTGTAGATCTCTGTAGGTCTCTCTTTGCACAGCTCTCCTGTCTCCAGTACTGTGTCCTCTGAACTATAGCCTTCTTGATCTCCTTGGACTCTCAGCTCCACTTCCTCAACTCAGTAAGTCTTCTGGGCTCTATCTGGGCTTGCCCTCCCTGTACCATGGCCTGGAAATTCTCCAAAGGCAATAAGCTGGGGCAACTATAGGGCTCACCTCATTTGTTTCAATTTCTTAGAAATTATTGTTCTTCACTGCCTGATGTCCAGTGTCTTAAAAACCAGTGTTTCATGTATTTTGCCTGGCCTTTTTTTTTGGGTGGGGGGTGTTGTTTAGGCAGAAGGGAAAACTTATCTTACTTCATCTTGGCCCAAATGTGATTTTATACCTATGTGTATGTTCCAATTGGGGCACTATTATATTATTACTACAATAAATGTGGTTGACTTAAACTTCCTGTGTTGGCAAGTTGTCATTTTTTAATACATGTTTGTCAAAGGTAATAGGTGATAACTCCCTTCCTTCTTGCTTCTATTACACTTTGTAGCCTGTTAGGGATGTAAAGGTACTCAATATAATACGGGACTATTATAGTAATATGAGCTTATAAGTTCTTTTGAGGACATTTAGTATATGTCATAAATTAACTGTGTTAATTTAACAAAAAGGACAAAGCAAAAAGGAACATGGAAGGAGGGATCTGGTAGACTTGGGCCTTTTGTTGCAACACAGGTTCATTCATTGTGAAGCTAAAACTATGGAATGGAGAAAGCAGGTCAGGATATCTCTGGATATCCTGGATATCCATGGATAATCTTTGCATAGGAGAAACTGACCACCTAACCTGGGGTTTGCACCGGAAACTGCAGATCCCAGGCACTTTAGCAGTTGGGTCTCTGTTGTGCCATCAGCCCTGTGCTCTGGAGGGGCCTCCACGCTCAGTTGCCAAGCAGCCCAGCAGGGCTCCCAGGGAGTAGGGAAAGTGGGCCAGCCCACCAGCCAGCCACTGTTCACGCTCACTTGGCAGGAGGTGCAGAGGGCAGGCCCACTCAGAGCCAGCTGGCTGACTCCCATTTGCAGGTCCAGTGAGTCTGGGCCAAACTGCCTCGCTTCCGTTCTCTGGCTACGCAGTCCCCAGTGCAGCTTCTGGTGGAAGCAAAGGCAGCTGGCACAAACAAACAGCCCCTCAATCTTGTTCTTGACATGCTGTTGCCAAAATTCAGTTTGAAGGAACAAAAGGCAAACATAAACCTCAGCTCCTGCTGGAGAAGTTGTTTAAGCTAAAAGAAACTGAATGGAGTGAGCGGCTCGACTGCTCTAATTTACTCACACATTTCTGCTGTCAAACTGCAGGAAAGATTCCCCTCTGGAAAAAAAGGAAATCTCTTCGAGACATCTGTCAACTCATTTCTGAAAAGTCAGCTTCCACACTTGGTGACTCCAAAAAAGGGGGGTGTCAGGAGCGCTGGCAGTAGTGACATCTTTTGCAGTTAGTAACTTGGATGCTGGCTGGCTGGCTGGGTGGGTGGGCTGGTGACAGAGGTATCTAAGGCCTCCTTAGCTCCACTCCCACCCACCTGGAACAGGAGTTCCACAGCTTATTGATGCCAGAGGTCCATCTGCCAGGCTGGGGGAGCCTGTGGACACTTCTCAGAGCAATGCTCATAATACATAAAATGTACCAGATTTTAAAGAAAACCAATTAGACTGAAATATAGTTATCAAAATTTATTCAAAGCCAAATGTGATGAGGTTTTGCCTGTAATCTCAGCTCCTCAGGAGGCTGAGGCAAGAGGATCACTTGAGCCTAGGAGTTTGAGACCAGCCTAGGCAACATAGCAAGACCCTGTCTCAAAAAAAAAAAAAAACAAAAAAACAAGAAGCAACAAGATCTAGTGGTAAAAGAAATGATAAATTATTGAGGTGATGGATTTCCCAATTACCTTGACTTGATCATTACATATTGTATGCCCATATCAAAACATCACATGTATCTCATAAATATATACAATCATTATATAGCCATGATAATTAAAATTAAAAAGTAAATATCTAGAAAAAAAAAGATCAGTGGTAGTTATAAAAACTACCTCCATTTCAAAGTAGTGATGAGTGTCCATGGGATTCAAGAGGTCTGTAAGTGATGTGAAAGCAAATGCTTTCCTTGGGGGACATCACAGGGCTTTGTTGCCTACATTCACAACTGAAGGGAACACGAAATTTCAGATAAAGGTTAATTTTTTTAAAAAATTCAACGTTTTTCTCATCCAACTTCACAGACTCCCCTGAATTCTATTGAGGGACACATCTGTGGATCCCAGGACTCTTCGATGAAAAAGAGGTTTCTTTTTCTGGACTGTCAGGAAAGAGCACTACAATGGGAGACAAAGGGGCTAGGTCCTCATCCTGGCTCCACTTCCTAAGTCCTAAGCCAGAGAACATGTGCTGTTTTGCCTGGAGGCCTCTGGCCAGGCCACTCTCTCTACCCACAATGCTCTTGCTCATCCCCATCCCCTGGCTAGCCCTAGTTGTTCCTTTCAGAGGCTGTAGATAGCACCCCTCCGGAAGGCCTTCCTAGCTCTTAAACTGCAGACACAGGGTCAGGGGTATCCTCTGTGGTCACAAAGCACCCTGTGCCCAACCCTATTATTGATCTTCTCAACTATGGTGTAATGCCCAGCTCATGTCATCCATCCCCACCCCTTGCAGAAGAGTGGGAGTTCCTTTGAGGCAACACTAATGATTCATTTATCCTTGTGATCCTAGTGTCAAGCACAGGGCTTGGCACATAGAAGACCTACATATATACTATGAATAGATGAAAGAATGGAAGAAAGCTGTGACCACACCCAGCCTGTCTCTCTCTCTCACTGCAGAAATATTCTTCATTGCACACCAGTGATTCTCAACCCTCATTATACGTGAGAATTGCTTTTGGAGATCTTAGAAAATACTGAGATCCAGGTAACAACCTCAGAGATTCAGATTTCAGTGGTCTGGGGTGGGGTCCTGGCCTTTGTAGTTTAAAAAACCATCCAGGTGCAGCCAGGGTTGAGAACCCACAGTACCACAAGAACCGCAGCTGCGGTGAGAGAACAATGAATGAACTCCCCAGGTGAACTTCTTTCCTAGATTCAGAAAGATGAAATTAGTGCAGAATTTGGAACCCTGCAAGGAGCTAAACACATACATTGAGTTTTTGACCCTCAGAGTCAGGTTACAGTTCCAAATCCAGTAACATCTGTCATAGCTGAACTACAAACAGTCTAGACTTACATGAAAAAATCTAGGGCTTGGCCAGGCACGGTGGCTCACATCTGCAATCCCGACACTTTGGGAGGCTGAGGCAGAAAGATCACTTGAGTCCAGGAGTTCAAAACCAGCCTAGGCAACATAGCGAGATCCTGTCTCTACCAAAAATACAAAAAATTCACCAGCAGTGGTGGCACACACTTGTGGTCCCAGCTACACGGGAGGCTGAGATGGGAGGATTGCTTGAGCTCAGGAGGCAGAGGTTGCAGTGAGCTGAGATCGTGCCACTGCACTCCAGCCTGGGTGATAGGGCGAGACCCTGTCTCAAAAAAAAAAAAAAAAAAAAATCTGGGATTTGACAGTGAAAACCATGAAACAAATGGCAAAGCCCGTGGGAAAGCACAGTGAGGCCCCTCCTCTGTTCCCTCGCTGTCAGGCATCTTTGGGAAAAGGGCCCAATCCTAGGTGACAGCACATCTTTTACATCTACAAAGTAGAGATGATCATGGTAATGCCAACCTCAAAGTATTGTTGTAGGAACTAAAGGAGGTTATGGGAATGAAGGCATTTTGTAAGCTGCCAAACATGTTACCAAGATGAAGTCTTTAGCACTGCATTCTACTGATTGAGATCTTATAGGTGGAAAGACTTTTATGGTTCAGTGATTAAAACCACAGATTCTAGAGCCAGACTCCCTGGGTTCAAATTCTGGCTCCATCTCTTTTCAGCTATGTCATCCTATGCAAATTACTTAATCTTTTTGTGCCTCAATTCCTCATCTATGAAATGGTTATAATAACCTCACAGGGATTTTAGAAGATTTGACTGAGTTAATATACTTAAAATACCTGAAACAGTGGTTCTCAAATGCAAGCATGCATCAGAATCTCCTGGAGGCCTTGTTAAAACACTGATTGCTGGACCCTTCCTCATAGCTTTGATTTGGTAAATCTGGGCTGGGGCCCAAGAATCTGCAGGTCTACCAAATTCCTAGGTGATGCTGATATTGCTGGTCTGGGAACCACACTTTGAGAACCACTGGCTTAGAAAAATGCCTGGCATACAGTAAGCAACTAATAAATGTTAGCTTTTATTATCTTTTCCTGGGCTCTATTTTGTTAGTCCCTGAGCAAAACTTATATTCCAGTGCTACTCAGTACTGCCTTCATGTAGAAGCAATTCTGAAATCTACTTGCAGTGATTCTCAAAGTGTGGTCCCAAGATAAGCAGCGCCAGCATCCCCAGGGAGCCTATTTGAAATGGAAGTTCTTGGGCCCCCATCCAGACCTACTGAATCAACAGCTTTGAGGCCTCAATATCCTGTGTCTAACAACCCTCCAAGTGATTCTAACGCACCTCAAATTTAAGAACGGCTCTACCAGAAAATCACCATCATCACCACAATGACCCTTACTGAAAATGTACAGGGAGGCAGGATAACTTAAGGTCCAGAGTATAGTTTTTGATTGAACTGGAGTCTAAGGCCTGTCTTATTCTGTCAATCAACTTATAGCCTTAAGTGAGTTATGACCCTCCTTTAAGCCCCAGTTTTCTCACTGTAAAATCGGCATCATTACAGGACCTACCTCACAGCAACCTGAGATGATACAAATAAAGCGTTTGGCACATAGTACCGGTTCAAAGAATGTTAGATGCCATTGTTGTCATCTTTATAATCATTCTGATATGTCTGCTCTCAATGTGATTAGAGATGGTTTATAACAAAGATACAAATATATAGAAAGATTTTTTTTAAAAAGAAATAAAAACATCACACAGAAAGTGAAGAGAATGAAAGTTAAAAACTGCATGACAACTTGTCGTCTACACTGGGGTCTGAACTTCCCTTCAGCCCAGAGCAAAAGGGGAAATGCAGAGGCTACATAGTTCCACCTCCTGAAAAGAGGAAGGAGGCTGGCTCATCTGGAGAGACAGTATTATCTCCTACCCCTCAACACCATGAACCTTTGCACAAATGCCTGTGAAAGAGGAGGGTGTCTCCGTCAGCAGGGCTCCATGTACCTGCTTCCTTAATTAATTCTCAACAACAGCCAGGGAAACATCCTTAGATCTCAGAATTTGAGAGATGTTACACTCACTTTGGGTGCCGGATATCTGGGAGAGAGCGATTCAAGGAGATTTTATCACTGACGTAGATGTTAAATCCATTTTCTCGGTATGCCTGATCCACTCTCTCAGCATCGGTCATGGGGTAAGGTCTTCCTTGTTCTCCATTTCCTAGAAGCAAAGAGCAAATTCGATGTTGCTAATGATGTATGGGGTACTGTATATGGAGTGGGGAAAAAGGATGAAAAATATGATTAAACCTCCAAGATAAAACTTGATTTGGATATAGAGCATAGCTCAGTTTTTGCTCAGTACAAAGAGTAGGAGGGGAGCAAGCATTTATTCAGACACTTTGCACATCTTGTTCTCATGTAATCACAGCAGCTCTGCGGGGTGGACATGAGACCTCTCATTCCACAGAATGATAATCTGAGACTGAGAAAGGTTATCAAATCAGGAGTATGGATTCCAAAACCCATGCTCCCCTCACTCCGTCAGGAACTCCAAAGACCCCTGCCCTCGCAGACCAGTCACTGGACAGCTAGGTCCACCATCTGTGAGCTGATCAATCTTGGGCCAAGTCCCACCAGCTCTCAGAGCTAAAGCTTCCTCCTCTGATACCCACAGCACACTTGAAAGAGTCAAATGAGAGTTGCCTATTTGAAAGCTTTTTGTAAACTACAAAACACCTCATAAACACGAGGAAAGATGATTACTGTAGATAAGGCAAACTTTATAAGTAAATCAAAATTGCCATAAATGATGAAAGATGCTTTGATTTTATTTTTGTTTTTAGGGCAGCAAACAAATTAAGATCTGCCTACTCTAAACCAGGAGTGCCTGAAAAGTGTGGCTTTGAGTCATGGATTTGGGTGGGTTAAAGTGCTAGCTTTCCTTTCTCTGCACAACCCATCTGGAGAAGGAGTGTGATACTCCAGGAAATTTTTCTCTAGGTTCCCAGGTGCATATGGTAAGTGGGAATGTCCACATCGACCCCTGCAATAGTAGCTTAAGAATCTGTCATTGGTGAGGATCTTGAAGAAATGGCAATAAAATCAACGGGTTAAAAATCATCTTGCCTTCTGGAGCTTGTGGACTGAGCAACACCTATTTACTCTGCAAAGTAAACATTGACAAAGTCAGATTTCCAGGAAGGTGCAAGCTGAGACGTGGAGCCCAAGGGCTCTGACTACTCCAATCCAGTCAGGCAAGAAACAGGTCTCTGTCATCTGCAGCTTGTAATGCTTCATAAGACATCATGGATTAGACCCCAGGACAGATAACATGAGGGACCCAAACACAGTAAGCAGGAGACCAGAAGTGTTTGCTCAGGGAGGGAAGCTTCAGAAGGGCAGTACAGGAGACCAATGCAGAGTTCAGGCCCTGGAGCCAGATGGAGTGGAGTTCCAAGGCCAGCCCTACCATCCCCAGCTATGTCATCTTGGACATGCCTTCAGCCTTTCCGAGTCTGAAGATTTTGCCCTTTGTATTAATTAGAATGAGAAGGTTCAATGTGAATGATGTGATGATTAAGGAGGTAATGCAGGCAAGATGCCTGGCACATAGTTAGCGTTCGACAGATGCAGGTTATTATTATTATTAATGTCTCCACTGCTCGTTACTCTTGTCTTGCTGGTTAGCCCAGTGTTAATAATTCTAGTATGTCTGGCAAATCAGCTCTTCCCAAATGTTTTCTTTCTTAATTTAAGCAGCACCGGCTGGGCATGGTGGCTCATACCTGTAATCCCAGCACTTTGGAAGGCCGAGGTGGGCAGATCACCTGAGGCCAGGAGTTCGAGACCAGCCTGGCCAACATAGCGAAACCCCAACTCCACTAAAAATACAAAAATTACAAAAATTAGCCTGGTGTGGTGGCACAGGTCTGTAATCCCAGCTACTTGGGAGGCTGAGGCAGGAGAATCATTTGAACCTGGGAGGTAGAGGTTGCATTAAGCAAAGATTGCACCACTGAATTCCAGCTTGGGTGACAGAGTGAGACTCCATCTGAAAACAAAACAAAACAAAACAAACAAACAAAAAAAGAGCAGCACCCATTCCCCCTTCTCATTTTCTGGCATCTCCAGATTTCTCTTATCATCAGTTAAGTTATTGCACCAGCTCTATTCAGAGCCTTGTGGTAAGCTGGTTTTGTCATAATGTAACTTTAAAAAATCAATAGTGGTGGGAGGCTTTAATGGAGATAAAAATGAATAAAATATTAATACCAATCCCTTAGATTTCTACAGTGCTTTCTAGTATTGCAAAGCTACTACATACTCATTGCTTTATTTGGCACCCTCACAATAACATCCTGAGGTTGTCAAAGCAGGAAGCATGAGGCATGAGTCCCACAGACAGATGGAAAAACTGAGGCTCTGGGAGTATGGACTTTATCTATTGATTAGATGGCTGTAAGTGGCATCAGAGCTGCTCTCCTGACTCCTTAGTCCAGGCTCCCTAGAGTTGATTCTCCATATAATTTCTGTACCACCTTACCCCAACCCTTCCCAACTCACCAGTGTAAACGGAACTGCTCCCAAGACTAATTAGCCAAAGAAAACTTTAGCTGAAGCCCTCTAAGTTGACTCAGTCTCATGGCTGCAGTGTTAGGTAGGAATCAACTCTGCCCTCCCTCCAGACCTGGGTTCAAATTCCAAGTTTGCCTCTCTTTCTGTGCAACAGTGGGCAGATTACCACCCCTCTTAGCGCCACAGGCCCCTTCTTATTAAATGGGCCATAAAGGTTGATCTGAGGTTTCACAGAGGAAATTTCCAAGTACAGAGCATCGATCTTCCTCACCATAGGTGTTCAATAAATGCTGGCTCTTATTACTGCTCCTTGTTTTAGTTGTAATCTCATAAGGGAGAGACATTTCTATCCTATAAAAATAAAATACAAAATATCCTTTATGAGGGAGACATTTTCTATCACCCAATAAAGGTGGCAGGCAAATTCTTGCAGGCAGCAGATCTGGTGATGGCAGTGGAGAAAGGGGTCAGCTAACTGGTGAAGAGGGGCATCTGGGAATCAGGGGAAGGGATGGTGGCTGACAGGGAGGGAGCCAACAGGAGGTCCAGACACCCCTGCTAAACACACACATGAACACACACACACACACACACACACACACACACAAGCATATGTGCATATGCCCTTCACAGAGCCCACCCATGGCCAATCCTGCCCTCCGTACCTACGCGCTGAGCGTCCCTCCGGATGGCCTCCTTGTCATGCCAGTCCTTCAGCTTCTGCCCATCTCCCAAGAAAAACGTTTTCTTTTGTCGACTGTGTGAGCCCTTAAAAAAAGACAAAAACTATGAAAAATAGAAAAGGGCAAATCAGTAACACAGGCCCAGGAGTTACACTGCCTAAGGGAGCTTTGTATTGACCAAATGCCTGTCATCCTGGGTTCCTTTATCCACTCCCTCAGCATACCTTTGTTGGTGCCTTGCCATGTGCCAGCTAGGTTTGCAAAGGTCAGCAAGATGTCAAGAATGCAGCGTCTACCTTTCAGGAACTCACAAATCGGTGGTGGAGAAAAAAGATGAACACACTCTTTTCACCCAAGGGAGAAAGTGTGCAGTGTGGTGCTACCCAACAGAAATATAACGTGAGCCACATGTGTAACCTGAAATTTTCCAGTATCCACATTTAAAAAAGTAGGTGAAGTTGTTTTAATAATGTACTCTACCTAAACTATTACCACTTCAACATGCAATCAATGTAATACACTGATTAAGGTATTTTACATTCTTTTTTTTAGGGAGATGGGGAGTGGGAGACAAGGTCTCACTCTGTTGGCCAGGCTAGAGTACAGTGGCACTACGATGGCTCACTGCAGCCTCGAACTCCAGGGCTCAAATGATTCTCCATCCTCAACCTCTGAGTAGCTGGGACTACAGGTACGTGCTACCATACCAGGAAATTATTTATTGTAGTGATAGGGGTCACCCTATGTTACCCAGGTTGGTCTTGAACTCCTGGGCTCAAGCTGTACTCCCACCTCAGCCTCCCAAAATGCTGGGATTACAGGCATGAGCCACCATGTCCAACCTACATTCTTTTTTTTGTACTGCCTTTGAAATCCAGTGTGTATTTTACACTTGTGTTCATCCTGATTCAGACCCATTTCAAATGCTCAACAGTTGCATGTGGCTTGGATAGGGCAGGGGCTCAGAGAATGCACTACATGAGTTCAGTTCCACTGGGGAGAAATGGAGAATGTTTCATGGACCTGAGTGCATTTGGGCTGGGCCTCAGACAGGTCGACAGGAGAGGCAGGCAAGACAAACATCCTGGGCACTGACTTGTGATGTTTGGGTAAAGAACGGCAAAGCTGTGTGTGGCCCAAGGAGAAGGAGTGCCGCAAGCAAAAGCAGATGGCAGGTCTTGGACATCTGTATGGTCTTGAGGGCCCAGACCCAAAGAGAATAAACATGTGGCAAATGGGCATGGAATGTATGAAGAAGCAATTGAATGGCTGAAAGGAAAAAAAAAATATATATATATATATATATCAGCCCCAAGAGAGCAGCCCCCAGGGGCTGGGCTTTGGCAGCATTTATCATTTACCTGGGGAGGTGAGCCCACCCTCATGCGCCCATTAGGAAGCAGTTTCCCTAATTAAAGGAGGCTGCATTCCAGTGACTGGGGTCAGCAGAAGGAACCTGATACTTTCTCAAGCCAACAGTCAAGTCAAAGGCCTCCAGGCCCAGAGCCTTCCCCAGGTAATGCTGCACCACACAGCTACTTACATATCTTCCATGTTCATGTAAATACTTTCTGAAACACCTTGCCCATTACAAATCTTGCAGACTTGTTCTTGCCACTGTGGCAGGCAGAATCCAATAGTGCTATTTCCTATATAATTAACTTCAAAGGCCCTGATGTGTGGTGTGCTGGACATTAGTGCTAACAAGAAGCCCCCTGAATAAAATCGTCCCTGCGCTTGTTTATTAAGCCTCTGGCTGATCCCTGTGTTAGCAGGTTTTCCACAATGGCTCAACATCTTTATAACAGCTCTAGTAATAATAACAATCCTTTGTATTCTTTCTCCTATAGACCTCTCTGAATTGCAAGAAGATAATTCTGAAAGTTGGTGTGCTAGATGTCTTGGTTAGAGAGGGGAAAAAAAAACTACAAAAACTAAGGCGGCATGCTTTCAACAGTTCTCAGCATTCTTAGAAATCACAGAAGCTGAGCTGGAAGGTCCTTATGGAACCATCTAATCAGTTCAGGATACAGTTCTACAGGAGGGGACCCCGGCACTGCCTTGGGAAGAGGAAGGCAGAGAGTAGGGGCTTGCTCTGCCTGCTCTTCAATCAGAGCAACAACACATCTGTTTTATGTACTGGGGTTCCATGTGGGATTTCATTTGAAGACAGCTCTTCTGCTAAAAATAAATAGATATCAAATTTCCTACACAAGCAAACAAATATATCTGGAAGCTGAGCTAGGACCACTTCCCTATACCACAGACAGAGAAACCAAGCCTTGGGGTAGGCCAGGAACCTGCCCAAGGTAATATTCTGCTTCTGTGATGTCAAGGTTGATCAGTTAGGGGCTAGTTAGCTCTCCTTTCTCCAGCCCTCCCTCCCAATCTCTTTTTCCTCTTCTGCTGCCCACAGATTGGAAACTTTGGTTGATTACTTCAGCCCTGGTGGGACTAGAGGCTCTGCAAACTGAGGATCTTTTAATGGAAGGCACAAAACTAAAGCCATGGTGTTCAAAGTGTTGTATCTGAAGAGGACAGGATGGGTGCCACCTGGGAACTTGCCAGAAATGCAAATTCCCAGGGTCTTACCCTAGACCTCTAGAAGCAGAAGCTCTGGGGATGGGGCCCAGCAATCCGTGTTTTAGCAAGCTCTCGAAGAGATTCTGATACACGCTGAGGTTTGAGAACTGCTGGTCTACAATGAAGCAGATGATAATCCTACCTGATCTGTGTTGTCACATCAAGTTGAGCAGATAATTATCATAGAAGGCTGCAAAACCCTGAGGCCCGTGGGCCAAATGTGGTCACTGGCAAACAACCTGGTGGCTTTCAAGGTGCTTTTCGTTTTGGTTTGGTTTTCTTAATTCTAGTGTGAAAATGGGGAGATTTCATATTGTTTTATCAAGATTTTTGGCTTCTCTTGAAAACCTAAAAGACATGCCAGTACTGGGCTGACTTCCCTCAGCTCATCAGCTGGGCTGTGTGGATGGGGCACGTCTCCCCAGTTTGCCACAGTCCCTACCATTCCTTATTGCATTTCACCTGCCTCCCATATCTCATTTTTGTTACCTGCCTGGCCCTGGTGAGCTTGAAACATGCTGGGATATTCAGGAATGTATCCTGGTTGGGAAAGATTAGAAACTATGAGGACTAGGAGATAAGAAGCCCTGGAGGACATGGGAGAAGTTATTTTGTTCCATGAAGTCCTAAGGCTACACTAAGGGCCAATGGTAGATGTTACTGAATGATTGAGGGGCCTCAGACAGAGAAGAAATTCCAAAAGTTGGGTCGCTGCTAGGATGAAATAAAACCATTTGGAAGAAGATATTAGAAGTGGCCAGGAATAGAAAGATTGAGTGTTCATCAGGATGTGAAGGAGAAGAATCAAGTGCAGGGTTGGGACTAGTGCTTCTCAAATTTTAATGTGCAGGAGAATCATGCATGGATCTTGTTAATGCTGATTCTGGCACAGTAGGTCTAGGGCGGGGCCTGAGATTCTGCATTTCTAACAAGAACCCAGGTGATGCTGACGCTGCTGGGCCAAAAAAGACACTTTGAGTAGCAAGGGTTAGGCAACCTTTAAAGGGCCCTTCAAGAGTCTAAGATTCCATGAAGGATACTATTTCCTCTACAAGCTTGTGAAAGTCTTCCAGTGCTACTGGGAATGGGGTACAGGGATAAATCTCACTGTTTTGACCTCACAGAAGTAAACCCCTAGAATCATGTTCTCAAAATGAAACACTGGATTGCTGAACTGATGGCATTGAGAATTAAGGCTCCAAAATCCTGGGAGTTTCATACCTAACTCCACTGCCTTTGCCTTATGATGCACACTGCTCCCTCTATCCCTCCCTCCCAGGGTCTGCAGAGATGAACTATGCTGTTTTAGGTCTCATTGGTCCTTATACCTTCCCTAAACCAGGAGGACTTTGGAGCCTGCTGACACAGGGAGTTCTACATGTCTAAGCACGCAGCTGCTAGAGTCCTCAGCCATCTGAGCTAAATAGCTGCTCAGAGACAATTAGTACACCTCCGCTCATCTTACAGATAAAGGAACTGAAGTCCAAACAAGCCAAGCTACCCAACCAAGGCCTCACAGCAGGCAAGAGGATAAAAACCATGTCCTTTGACTCCCAGGTTAGTTTTTAGTGGGAAAGAACCCTTGAGTGTGACCTTGCATGAGCTACAGGAGTCACAGGTACCTCAATTTTCCCACCTGGAAAATGGAGACAGCACTACCTGCCCAAAGGTACTTTCAGATGAACGGAGACAATCACAAACAGTATAGCCTGAGCGCTCTCCTAATTTACACATGGATTGAGGACACTGACTCCTTTAGGATTTTAAGAATCTACTGTAAATTGACATCTCACCAAATCATGTAGATATAAAACTCAAATTTTATTGTATAGGTTAAAAAGTATCCCAGTTATAGGTCTGGGCCTTCAGTAGGGTGGAAAACTAGTTTCAGTCTTAAAATTATAGAGTTGGTCAGGTGTGGTGGCTTACGCCTGTAATCCCAATACTTTGGAAGGCTGAGGTGGGCGGATCACTTGAGGTCAGTTTGAGACCAGCCTGGCCAACATGGTGAAACCGTGTCTCTACTAAAAATACAAAAAAAAAAAAAAAAAAAAAAAAATTAGCTGAGTGTCATGGCACACACCTATAATCCCAGCTATTTGGGAGGCTGAGGCAGTAGAATCACTTGAACTCAGGAAGCAGAGGTTGTGGTGAGCCGCGATTGTGCAACTGCACTCCAGCCTGGGCAACAGAGTGAGACTCCGTCTCAAAAAAAAAAAAAAAAAATTACAGAGTACATGGAGCCTGAAGGGCCCTAAGAATCCTATCCAAAAACCTTAATGGAAATTGTGGTCAATTTCAGGTGGTTTAGGAGCCTCTGAGGACAATCCATGGAATTTCTAGAGATAGTGCAGATTAAGAAACCCCAGATCATCTAAACTATCACCAAATGTTTACTGACACCTACTCTGTACAAAGCAGTGTGTCAGGCACCAGGGATTCAGGTTTGACAGCACAGATACTGTGTAGGCCTAATGAGGTTTACAGAAAGATCAGTCTCTTTCAAAAGGTGGTTCTTGGAGAACCTGGGCCCTTATTATAGATGCAAATTCCTGGACTCACACCCTGAACCTACTAAGTAAAAATGTCTACAGATAGGAGCCCAGGAAGATACCTTTTTTAGAAAACACATTCTCCATGTGATTCTAATTCACAATAAAGTTGGAAGACCTTTGGTCTAAATCTAGCTGCCTCATTTTACAGATACGAAATCTGAGGCTAACAGAGTAGAATGGACTTGCCCTAAATCCTACAGCTTGTCAGCCCCAAGGACCAAACCAGAGCTTGCAGTTCTCTCCCTGGAATAGACTGTAAGCTTCTTGAAGGCAGGGGCATTACACCACTGCACTTTCCTAGGCCAATACCTGACTAATCTTAGGCCCTTGAAAAATACCAGCTGAATGAATGAATGAATGCTCATCAATGGGAAAGGTAGTCTAGTTTAATGACTTGGAACATTCTGGTTCCAGAGTTAGGAAAACCTAGGTTTTACTTCCTGGGCAGGTGGAGCCCAATTTCCCTGACTGATAAATAGAGAAAACTAACAGAATAAGAGTATCTGTTGGGAGGATTAACTGAGCTAATCCGGGACAAAGTGTCCCAGTGTCTGGGACAAAGTTAGGTCCTCTCCTAGTAAAGGTGAGCAACTATGAATACATTATTTTTAGGGAAAGTTTATGAAAACACGGTATGTTCCAGTGTTTGTGATAACCATGTTTGGAGGAATAGGAGAGCGAACAGGAAACTAATAAGGAAAACTGTGGGTCCTGCAGAGGCAACCTATCTACCACCTGATTCAATTCAACTGGCTCTTGCTGATAACAGGATTTAGAATTTCCTCATTAACAGGATGTCATATGCCCACATCGAAACACAGTGTTCTTCAAGGAAAGAAAAAAGTCTTAGTTAATAGTGGCATTCTACAATAGAAACAAATGCCACAAGACCATTAACAACAGAAAAGGCAGGAACATTGCTTCTCAAAAGACAGCAATTATGCAATAGCAATCACTTAATATTATGTAAAAGATCACGTCTGGATTTTTCAATCCAGAGGTAATTTTAAGTTTCTTTAATTCTGTAAGCTCAAAGATTTGTCTACAAAAGCTGTAATTATTTTCCTTCAACAACCATCTTTTGCTACTTTGCTTTCTCTTGGTTTCCAGATGTCCTTCTGCTACAGGAAGCAAAGGGGTTAGGAAGGAACATGGCAAGAAGTGAGGGAGAGTGTGTGGAGGAGACTGGCAGAATCAATGTGGAAATCACATTAAATAATAAATTGGCAATGGATTTTGACTGGCTGCTCTAAATAACTGCTTCTGGTATCTGCATGCTTTTACTTAACATTCCACTAAAAGAATCGATTAGTGTTCAAACACACACACACACACACACACACACACACACACAAATGGAATTTTAATCTTTGTTTAATCACTATTTAGCAGGCCTGGCAGCCTTTGGAGGTAGGAAAGAATGGTGGTGAAGCAAGCCAACTACATTCTGCTCAAGAAGGAAGATTTGTTAAAGTGCATACTCTAATCCCAAGACTGCAGACTTGGCAAAGAGCATCTCTGGCTGAGCTGGCTAGTGTCTTCAAAACAAGGAAAGGGCTGTATGCGCTCAAACAGCAATGTTGGAAGGAAAGCTGAGCAGGTCATCTGCTTCATCCACAGTCTGAGGCTGTGTTAGAGACCAGGCTCTGCTGCAAATTTTAGGATGGCTCCCCTCCACCTTCCTCTCAAAGAACCCTACAAAGGCAATGAAATGATTTTGCTTTGAGGTTTAAATAACTATATCATTTCAAACATCTGTTTATCTACCAAGTAGATTAATAAACTTCTCTCTCTCTCTCTCTCACACACACACACATGCACACACATGCACACTCTCTCTCTCTCTCTCACACACACACACACACACACACAGCAAAGCAATTTCTTCAAGATTACCTTCAAAGAGGACCAGGTAGGGCTTAATTTAGCTCAAAGCATATAAAGTTTAAACAAGGGAGTTTGGACAATTAGATAAATGTACTTTCTTCATGAGTTTTGAGGACATAAGCTGGATTGTTTTTATTAATTCATTCATCCAAACAATGATTATTGAGGGCCTACTATGGCCAAAGACCTCTGGGAGAGACAAAGATGAACAAGGTAGTCCATGGCCTCCACAAACAGCTATGAGACAAGTATTTAAGGAAGGAAAACACACATACACACATACAAGCCTATAACATAGTGCCTTGAAAGCTGTACAGATAAATTCGATAGATATTTACAAAAGCCAAAAATTAAATTCTACCTGGGACGATCGGGGAAGAATTCCTGCAGAAGCAGAGTCTTTGACAGGAACCTGAGAGAAGGGGTAGGATTTTAACTGGTAGCAGTTGAGGGGTGGGGGTTGGGGGTGGAATCCAGCTAGAGGGAAAGTATGTGGAAAGAATGCGAGTTAGAAAGTGAAGGGCATATTTACTTAAGGGCAAGGAGCCTGATTTGGCTGGAGTGAGCAGGATGCAAAAGTGAGTCACGAGCAATAAGACCAGGAAGGAAGTCTGGACCAGAATTGGAGGGCCTTACATTTGAGCTGCTTGGCAGGTGGGCAGCCACAGTAAGCCTTTGAGCAAGGAACAGGCTGAAGTAGAACTCCAAGAATAAAATACGTTACTACCTTTCCACTTTCAATTAATCTCAGAATCCTCCTCCTCCCATGAGAAATGCAAGGAGAAAGATGATTTTGTTTTCATTCAGAGAAAATGTCCCCTTTTCATAGGCTGAGGATCATTCATTCTGGTACCCCACAGTCAGACTTAAGTGAGGCTGACCTAACCCTAGCACCTATTCAGTAGGCTGCTGTTTTGAGAAAACTTAACTTTCACTATAACCAGGACCAAGCTGTATGAGAAAACAATCAAACCTGAATGGCACTATTTATGAATGGAAGGAGGCATTACAACCCAGCAACCACGAGTCTATGTCTGCTGGGCCCACGTCAGGCAAGTCCTGCTGTTCCAATCAGCAATGGGGCTGTGTCTGTTGTCCCCACTCCAGTAACTCCATTGTCTCAACACCAGGATGCTGAAATCTGAAATCTGGCCCTTCTCTAAGAGGGGAAGGTCACTCACAGATAGGAGCCATTGTTTCAAAGGGCTGATCCTGTGTTTCCAAGGGCAGAACCATATCAACCCTCCAATTCCTTTGTTTGGTGTAGGTGGCTCTAGAAAAGGTCATTTGCTACGTAAGGCATGAAAGCTCATTAAAAGATTTTTTAAACAGCAGGGAGAAAAAAAAGCCAAGATACTTTGGAATGTCTGTTATCTAAAGGGCAAATAGAACCTTCAGTAGCTTTTCCCTTCCATTCTAAAAGAACAATTTCAACACTTTCTTCAGGATAAGTGCCCAAATGTTTTATCACTGGGAAAAAAAAAAAAAAACAAATCGACTCTGATCAATAATTTGATAATGTTCATCTGAGTCTCTTACCTATCAATCCATCTGTCCATCTGTCTGTCTGTCCATCTGTCCATCAACTTAAGTGTATGATGAACACAAGCACAAATCAAGCCTTGTGCTAGGTGCTGAGGATATACTGGTGAGGAAGACGGACGGGGTCCTACTCTCATAGAGCTTATAGAAGTATGTGTGGTGGTGGGGAAATGTAGACTTTCATCCGAAACTACAGGTAAATTAAAAAAGCTACAGTGGCAGGCCATAAAAGAGGGGTACATGGTACAAAGATAGTCCCTTTCTTTCAGATCAGACTGGGGGGATCTGATCCAGCCTGCAAGGTTTTCTTGAGAAAATTGGATTACAGGTTAACTCAGTAGAAAGAGGAGTACACAGCATTCCAGACAGAGGGAAAAGTAAAGATATGCAAAGATTCTGTGGCTGAGCAAACATGAATCATAGGAGGGCCTGGAAGAGCAGTGTGTGTGGTGCACAGAGAAGCAGGGAAAGTCTGGTAGGAATGAGAGGTGGACAGGGGTGAGGATTCTGTCTTTCCTCCAGGAGCATTTAGAAATACAAGTGTTTTCTATAAGGAGGTGATAAGATCAGGTTGCATTTGGAAAGCTCTCTTGTAGCCAAGTGGAAAAGGGATTAGGAGGCCAAGAGGAGGGGTGGAGGCTGGGAAGGAGGCTATCACAGTGGTGCAGGCAGAGATGATGTTAGCTTATGCTGGGAAGGCAGAAGTAGGGGTGGGCACACACAGATTTTTTTTAAAAATAGGGTTACTAGGGTCCTGTGGGTTTGAGTCAAGAAATAGAGCCTGAGAACTTGGACAGTCAGGTGAGAAGTTCATCTGTAAGAGCTGGATATCAATAGTCCCACAGATGCAGGTGAAACCCACCTGGGACCTGAGCCCAGCTCTCCCCTCACCTAGCCTGGTGTCTGTGTCATCACATGTTACTTTTAAGTTTCAATACTGTCCATAGAAAGCAAGTCAGGAGATCAGACCTAATGAGATAGGATTTTATGTCTATTTCACCTTCAAGAATTCAGTGACACATAGTCAAGAAAGAAGAGAGAAATCCTACAAGGGTGGTGGTGAGCCTCCCGTGCTCATGCAGAGTGTGCCTTTGCCCTCACAGTGTCCCTGGAGGCCCCAGTTCTCTCTGGCCCCTGGAAGTGTGAGCGCTCTGTGCTGGGGGAGCCTACTCTAGGAAGATAAGTATTTTCATTACCTCAGAAGGCACTGTGATTACTTCAACCAAAGAAACAGTTATCACTGGTGTTCAAGCTGGATTTAAAACTGCCCACACTGGACTTTTGAGAGGTGGTGTGTCTTCATATTCCATGAGCGATTGTCAAGGGTGATTCTGATTTTGTGTTATTTTCACCTTAAGTGGTGGGTTTATTATAGCCTAACTCTTTCATGAGATTAGACTTGACTATATTATTATCGTCATTATATCCACTTTGTAGATGACAAAACTGAGGCTTGGAGAGAAAATCGATATGAAAGCGTTTTGCAAACTGCCAACCACCACATGAGTGTAATCATCACAGCTAATAGCACCTACCACATGTACCTGCCCATTCCTTCCCAAACTCAGTATCTAGAAAGGCTGCAGGAACATAGCCCTCAAATATGGAAAACGTGCTGAGATGAATCATACTTCTGTACCAAGAGGGCAATTCACAAGAGGTTTTGAAAATCTCAGTCTAGCTGATGTGTGATCAATCACAGGAAAGCCCCTAGAAAGTGCTCTTCTTAGAGGCTTGACGGGCTGGGCAGGAGCAAGGGCTGCAATATTGCTCTGCACAGCAGCTGTGGATGGGTAAAAAGAAAAAAAGGAACTGGAAAGCTCATCAGAAGGCAAGTTCCTACTTTTCAGAGAGAGACTAAAAAATGACTGCAAACACATCCTATTAATCTCCTAGCTGGGTAAGTAGGGTTGAGCCACGCAGTAATAAAGTACTTGCTCTAATAATAGTAATAATTATAATCATAATCCCCTACATTCTGAAGACAGCAGACCAAAGTGAAGAAGACCATCTGCTTTGGCATCAGAAATGCCTAGGCTTGTGCCACAGTTCTGTTTATTAGCTCTGTGATCTTGGGCAAGTTACGCTATTTTCACAAGCCTTGGTTTCCCAACTGTAAAATGGGGGAAATTAATAGTACCTAGCATAAAGGTTATTATGAGGATTAAATGAGATGCAGCAAGTATAGCTCTTAGCAGTGTTTGGTATCTAGAAAGCACTAGCAATGCTAGCTACCATTATTAGTTACTATTTGGTAGTATTTTATAATTTACAAAGCATTTTTATATTTATGTCCCATTCCTTCCTCTCAGTTGCACCAGGGTAAAAGCAGACATCACCAACCTATTGTAATATCCTTCCTTGTGGATCCCAGACTTTGAGAATCTTTCTCAACACTGTGCTCCAAGCAGCGCTTACCCATCAGCTGGCATTGGTCAGGGGACAGGACCCATCTGCCACAGCTGCCTTAAGCTGGAAGAGTGAATTTCCAAGTACACCTGGTAGACAATGACCCACTGGTTGATTTCCACAATCTTGGCTCTTTGGGCTGGCTGGCTGCTCACTGCTTGCAAAGGTCCCCCAAGAGGGGGAGAGGGGTAGGGGCATGGGGAAGCAACATGTGACTGATGGTAGTCCCCTCCTCTTTGGACTCCTTCCTGGCCCAGGAGGAAAGTCTCTGCCTGGACAATGATGTTGGCCTCCTCCATCTCCCATCTTGGAAACTGAGAACTCTCTGAACTCTTCTTCTTTGTTTCTCTTAGGGTGGAGGCCACAAAAGGCTCTGAATCTCCTGGGCAGCACCCAGCCCCTTACCTATCCCACCTCACTCTCACTCTGTCACTCTGGTATTCTTGTTTTTATTTATTTATTTTTTTTAAGAGATAGGATCTTGCTCTGCTGCCCAGGCTGGCTTGCAGTAGCATGATGATAGCTCACTGCAGCTCCAGCCTTGACCTCCTGGGCTCAAGCAATCCTCCTGCCTCAGCCTCCCAAGAAACTAAGACTACAGGTACATGCACCACCACACCTGGCTTTTTTTTTTTTTTTTTTTTTTACAGACGAGGTCTTATTATGTTGCCCAGGTTGGTCTCAACCTCCTGGCCTTAGGTGATCGTCCCACCTGGGACTCCCAAAGTGCTGAGATTACAGGCGTGAGCCATCATGCCCAGCCTCTCTTGTTCTTATATAACGATTTCTTAGATATATGGTGTCCCAGGCAGGATGTGTGAGGTGCAACCACAAGAGAGCACAAAGGACAGTCTTCCCAGACCACAGCAAACTGCTATGAATGCAGATGCTCCCACAGGAATCATCTAAACCCTCAGGCAAGCTTCCCTAACCCCTCTGGCTAGATCACTGCCCCTGATATGGGACCTTACAGCATCCTCACTGCTCCTTTGTGACTTCACATTCATTTGGATGATCATTTGAATATTGTCTATCTCTCCCCAAATTGTGAGCTCTATGAGAAGACATCAATTTCTGTTGAATGAATGAATAATGAATGAATGAGTGGAGACATCTTTTATCTTTTCCAGATGAAGGAAAGGTCACTCAAGGATTAGACATGTCTAATATAGTCCAAAGATTTAATACCATAAAAGGGTTCTGAGGATTGACTTTATCCTATGACTAAATGGCTTCAGGTCAACTTAATGGGCTACAAAGCTCAAAAGAGAGCTGGCTCACCTGATCCTAAAATAATTTTTAAAAAGATGCAACAGGCTTTGAACTCTTCCACCTTCTTCCTTCTTTCATTTTCAAATGGTTTCCTTTCTGGATTCCTAACTAAGGCTTGTGGCAGAAATTGCTGTATATCCCCTAGGAGCTGTTCTTTTCTTCCACAGTAATAAGAATTTTAGCTGGGAATATGATTGCTCAGAATAAAGATGATATTTTCCTGACATCCTTGTAGCTAGATGTGGCTTGATTGGGTTCTGTCAATGAGAGGCGAGTGGAGGAGCTGCATGGTAGCCTGCTATGGTTTGAGCATGATCCCCAAAGTTTGTGTGTTGGAAACTGAATCCCCAGTGCAACAGTATTGGGAGGTGGAACCTTTAAGATGTGATTAGCTCATGAGAGCTCTGCCCTGACGAATGGATTAATGCTGTTATGGAGAGAGTGGGTTAATTACTGTGAGAGCAGCATCCTTATAAAGGATGAATTTGGTCCCAACCATCTCTCTCACCCATGTGATGCTTTCTACCACCTTATATCGCAGCAAGAAAGCCCTCACCTGATGCTACCCTTGATCTCGGACTTCCCAGCCTCAGGAACTGTGACCAAATACGCTTCTTTTCTTTATACATTATCTAGTTTCTGGCATCTGTTATTATAGCACAAAACAGGTTACGAGCCAGCCTCATGGAACTTACCAGAAAAAACTACTAATGTGCACTTTTGCCTTTCTTGTTTATCCCTTCCTCTATCTTGCTGCCTAGAATGCAAAGGCCACCATGATGGACCACGAGGTGCCTCCATGCCCTAGGGATGGCTGAAGCCATCAGAAGGGAGTACAGGTTCTTGAGGACTTCAGGGGGCAGAACTATGATACTAGTCCTGGACTTCAAACCTTCAGACTTTGAAGTGAGAGAAAAATACACTATCTTGTTTGAACCATTCAAATATAATCGTAACCAATATAAGATTCTTCTCTTCAGGCTTGAAAGACTGAGGAACAGCTTAGCTTAGGTTAGGGTGTGGAGAGGTCCTTGAAGGAGGACCCAAAAGACACAGGCTTCAGTTTCCTGGCTGTGCATTTATGAAGAGCAGGACCTTAGGCAGGTCCCCTTGTCTTTCCAGGTCTCCATTATTTGATGGTAGAATGGGGATCAAAATAATATCTGCCCATGACATGATTATCTATAAAACAAATGCTAAGGAATCTACAAAAAAGCTAGTAGAGCTGATGAGTTTAGCAACGTCAAAAGATATAAGGTCAATATACAAAAATCAATTTTATTTCTAAATACTATCAATGAAACATCGAAAACTGATGTTAAAATACTGATTTCCATGGTGTCAAAAATATCAAATAGTCGAGATACATTTAACAAAATGTGTAAGACCTATACACTGAAAACTACAAAACACTGCTACAGAAATCAAAGATCTAAATAAATGGAGAGATATGTCATGTTTATTGGTCAGAAGACTCAATATTGTTAAAATGTGAGTCCTCTCAAAATTGATCTATCAACTCAAGTTACTCTTTATAGAAACTGATATTCAACAGACCTGGAAAAATGCCAAAATAATTCTTTTTCAAAAGAGGGGCAAAGTTGGAGGACTTACATGTCCTAATTTCAAGGCACTCCTGGGATACAGTGACCAACAGAGAGTGGCCCTAAGGTAAGGACAGATATGTGATCAATGGAGTGGACAGCTCATAACTATATGCATTCAGTTGTTTTTGAACAAAGGCACTAAGAAAATTCAATAGGTAAAGGATAACTTTTCAACAAATAGTGTCCAAACAATTAGATATTCATATGTCAAAAAAATACACCTCACACTTCCTCACACCCTACATGATATAAACTTGAAATAGATCATAGACCTAAGTGTAAGAGCCAAAACTATAAAATTTGTAGAAGAAAGTATGTGAGAAAATCTTAGTGACTTTGGTTTAGGCAAAGGTTTCTTAAAGAGGACACAAACTGCAATAAAATATGAATAAGTTGGAATTCATCACAATTGAAAACTTCGGTTGTTTAAGGGACAAGCCATGAACTGGGAGAATATATTTGCAAAACATGTATCTTTTAAAATAATATTTTTAATGGACACATAATAATTGTACATACTTATAGGGTACAAAATGATATTTTGATACCTGCATATAATGTATAATGATCAAATTAGGGTAATTAGCATATCCATCACCTCAAACCTTGATCACTTCTTTGTGTTAGGAACATTCAAAATCCTCTCTTCTAGCTATTTGAAAAAATACAATAAATTATTGTTTACTACAGTCATCCTACAGTGCTATAGAACACTAGAACTTAGTCCTATCTAAGCTGTAATTTTGTATCCATTAACCTACCTCTTCCTATCTCCTCTACCCATTCCCTTCCCAGTCTCTAGTAACCACTATTCTACTCTCTACTTCTATGAGGTCAACTATCTTAGCTCTCACGTATGAGTGAGAATATGCGATATTTGTCTTTCTGTGCCTGGTTTATTTCCCTTAACATAACTACCTCCAGTTTCATCCATGTTGCTGCAAATAACATAATTTCATTCTTTTTTATGGCTGAAAAATATTCTATTTTGTATATATACCACATTTTCTTTATCCATTTATCTGCTGATGGATACTTAGGTGGATTCCTTATCTTGCTGCAATAAACATGAGAGTACAGATGTCTCTTTGACAGGCTGATTTCCTTTTCTTTGGATATATACCCAGAAGTGGGATTGCTGGATTATATGGCAGTTCTATTTTTAGCTTTCTGAGGAACTTCCATACTGCATAAAACACGTATTTGATTAAGGACATATTCAGAATGCATAAAGAACTCATACCAGCCTGGGCAACACAGTGAGACCCCATCTCTATAAAAACAAAATAAAAAAAAAATTTGTCAGGTGTGGTGGCACATTCCTATAGTCCCAGCTACTTGGGAGGATGAGATGGGAGGATTGCTTGAGCCTAGGAGTTTGAGGCTGCAGTGAGTCAAGTACACAATGTCACTACAGGGAAAGGCAAATCAAAACTACCATTAAGCCAGGTGCGGAGGCTCATGCCTGTAATACTAGCACTTTGGGAGGCCGAGGCAGGTGGATCACCTGAGGTCAGGAGTTCGAGACCAGCCTGGCCAACATGGTGAAACCCCGTCTCTACTAAAAATACAAAATTAGCTGGGTGTGGTGGTGCATGCCTGTACTCCCAGCTACTTGGGAGGCTGAGGCAGGAGAATTACTTGAACCTGGGAGGCGGAGGTTGTGGTGAGCCGAGATCGTGCCATTGTACTCCAGCCTGGGCAACAAGAGCAAAGCTCCATCTCAAAAAAAAAAAAAAAACAAAACAACAACAACAACAACAACAACAAAAACTAGCATTAAATATCATTTTACACCTGCTAGGCTAGCTATAATTTAAAAAGTGGAAAACAACAAGTGTTAGTGAGGATGTGGGTGGAGAAATTGAAACCTTTGTGCACTGCTAGTAAACATGCAAAATGGTGCAGCTGCTGTTAAAAACTTTTGTGGTTTCCAAAAGGTTAAATGTAGAACTACCATATGATCCAACAATTCCATTTTAGGTATGTATCTAAAAGAACTGAAAGCAGGGACTCAAACAGACATTCCTAGGCCAATGTTCATAATAGTCACATTACCACAATAGGCAAAAGGTAGCAACAACTCAAGTGTCCATTAATAGATGAAGGTAGAAACAAGATGTGACATATATATAAAATGGAATATTATTAAGTCATAAAGAAGAATGGAATTTTGATATCTACTACAACATGGATAGACCTTGACCATATTATGCTTAGTGAAACAAGCCTGACACAGCAGGTCATACATTGTATGATTCCACTTATATGAGGTACCTAGAATAGGCAAACTCATAAAGACAGAAAGTAGAACAGAGGTTACAGGGGAGTAAGAACGGGGATTGTTGTTTACAGGGAGTTATTGTTGGGAATCATTAAAAAATTGGGTATAGATAGTGGTAATGGTTACATAGCATTGTGAACATATTTAATGCCACACAATTGTACACTTATGAATGGTTAAAATGACAACTATTATATTCATTTAGCACAATAAAAAAATACCTCCCTTCTCCTCCCCTCTAAAAAAGCCAATTCTTCTCATTTTCAACTCTTACATATTCTAATACCCTTCTGGTGATTCATAAAGTATATTAGCATATTAAAGGCTCTTTGAAGTCACACAGAAAAGAAAGCTGTCTAACTTTGTTTAATCCAGCATTTCACAAGTTTATTTGACTAGAAGTCCCCAACTCCAACAACCACTCATCTACCCCCACCCACTAGACAATGATTAATACCCTAGGAAGCTCACAGACTTTTTTGATGCTTATAAGATTGGGTTGATGAGGGAGAATACAACATGATTCTTCCCCTTGGCAGTGTGCAATCCAGTTTTGTTTTGTTTTAAAAAAGCTCACAGACATGAAACAACTACACCAAGATTTCAAACTGACATACTAACTTGGAAGGAGGGAAATAAAGTTTATGTTAACATTTTCCAAAGGAAGGTTTCAGTCAATTTCTGAAGCATCCGTCACCCATCTGGTCCACTCATTCATCCATTCATCCATCTATCCATTCACCTAAAACATGTTTATTGTGCAATTACTATTTTTTTGGCCTTAGGTTAGGTACTCCAGGGAATATCATAAAAGACAATGATTTATGTCTATGATACAGGACAGATTGGAGATCCTTTCATTTCAAAAACTGCTACTGGGACCTGGGAGAAGAACCACAAATTCTCAGAAGCCAGAAGAATGGTTCTGGGAACAGTTTTGCAGAGGAGCACCGGGGCTGGGTGTTGATAATGAGTACCACATGAGTAAAGGTAATAAAGTTGCCCTGAAATACTCCTCTTTTGTCTTTCACTCACAAAGAAGACTGTAGACTATTTTATAAGCCTGGCTTCTGATAACTCTGGTTTATGGGTCACTGTACCTTTTCCAAATGGTTTATTACATGCAGATTTCTCCAAAAGCCTTGGCTTAGCTTGAGAAACAATGCATTTGAATTTCTTTCATTCTAGAGTTTAGGAAGATTTCTCAGGATTACTATAGTAGATTGTGAAAGTGGTCTCAATCCTCCATCCCAGGCCCTTTGCAAAGGGATTGTGCAGCTCCTCCCATCAAAAGTGGGTCTCTTTCCACACCTATTGAAGTTGGTCTGGCTCTGTGACTTGCCTTGGCCAAAAGAATGAGGTAGAAGTGACAGTGTGCCAGCTTGAGTCCAAGCTTCGAGAGACTTGTACTCTTTCATACTTATTTCTCATCCTTCTTCCTCCTCTATGAGAACAAACCCAGCCTAGTATGCTAGAAAGATGTTAGAGGCAAGCAGAAGATAAGACATGTGGAGAAGAACTGAGGTAATCCTAGACAGCTGACAGAGAGCCAAGCCCCAAGGATATGAGAGACCCCAGCCAAGTTTAGCAGAGCTGCCCAGCCCAGCCCCAGTTGACCAGAGATACATGAGTCAGCACAGCCAAGGCCAGAGAAACCACCCGACTGATGTGTAGTCCTTTGAGCAACAACATATGGTTGTTGTTTGAGGTCACTGAGCTTTGGAGTAATTTGTTATACAGCATTGTTTATGGTAAGGAGGAATCAAATGACCTTAGAGAGGATTCAGTTCCGTTCTGTGTTTGCAAGCTAAGGTGCCAAAATAGAAACAGAACTGTTTGTATCTTGTCCTCCCACCTCATTTTTTAAGATCCAAACAACACCTATCTTCTGAGGTTCAGTTCAAACACCACATCTTCAAGAGGCCCCACTTCTATCCCCGCTCCGCTTACAAAATAATCTCCCTTCCACTGACCTCTCACTGCACTCTGTCTGCCTCTCTCTTTTTGGAAGTTACCACTTAAAGTCTTAAACTATAGCCATTTATATACATGTTATTCCCTCTTACTGGACTCTAAACTAGTGTTTTTAAACTATCTGTAATGAAGAACCACTTCAATTTCTAATTCACTGTGAATGAAACCATCTGTGGTAGGCAGAATTCTAAGAATGACTTCCAATGACCTTCATCCTCCTATAATCCCCTCCCCTTTGAGTGGAGATGGAACCTGTGAATATGATGAGATATCACTCCTGTGATTACATCAAGTTATATGGCAAAAAGGAGATTATCCAGGTCGACTTAACCTAATCACACACAAAAAGCTGAGAGCTTTCTCCATCTGGCGGTACTGAAGGAAGTCAAAGTGATTTGAAGAGAGAGAAGAATTAAATATGGCATTGCTGGTTTTGTAGATCAAGGGGGCCATGTATGGGTAGCCTCTAGGAACAGACAGCAACCCCTGGCCTGCACAAAAACCAGGGGCCTCAATCCTGAACTGCAAAAAACTGAATTCTGCCAACACCCTGAATGAGTCTGGAAGTGGACTCTTCTCCAGAGCCTCCAGATAAGAGCCCAGCCTGGCTGAAACATTGATTTTGGCCTTGTCAGACCCTAAGCAGAAACTCCTGTTTAGTCAGCTTAGTTAGACTCATGACCTGTAAAACTCTGAACTAATAAATTCTTATTGTTTTAAGCCACTAAATATGTAGCGACTTGTTACACAGCAACAGGAACATGATATACTTCTCAATAGTATGGCAGATTGTATTTTCAAAGGCTAGCTGCAATGAAATCTTCTGTCCCTTGTGCTCTTCTACAACCTTTCCACAAGCTCACTGAGAGATGGAATTTCCATCCTCTGCCTTTGAACTTGGGCAAACCTTTGTGAATGCTTCAATCAATAGAGTTTGGCAGCAGAGATGCAAAGTGACTTCTGATTTCTACATGACTAGATCATAAAAGTGCCAGGCACATTTTCCTTGTTCTCTTGGGACATTCATTCTTGGATCCCAGCCACCATGCTATGAAGAAGCTCCTCTATGGAGAGGTCGACATGGAAAGGAACTGACAGCCAGCACCACCTCACCAGTCATGCGAATGAGCCATCTTGGAAGTGGATGCTGTGGCCCCTGCTGACCCACCTGGCAGGCGCTGTGTGCAGCAGAGATAAAGTGTTCTGCAAAGTCCTGCTCAAATTGTAGATTTGAAGAAATGAATGACTGTTGTTCTTTTAAAGCCACTAAGTTTGGGGGCAATTTGTTAAGCACCAATAGTAACTGAAACAAGTGTGCAGCTTGTGTCACATGCAATTCACCACACGAGCCTGACAGCATGTGAACTGCTCTATGTCTATTCAACAAGATAAGTCTACTGAGCATGCACCTGGCTGTCATGGCAATATCAAACTACAACAAAAGTTTCTGAACAACTATCCTCAATTCCCCTATCTATCTCATTGTGAACTGGTGCTGGTCTGCAGACTACATTTTGAGAGGCATTGCTATAAAACATCTCTGGGCCAGACCCATTTTTATTCATCTCTGTATCCTCCCACGTGCTTTTTAGAATTCCTGGAAATAGGAGCAACTCAGTAAATGTTTATGAACTGAATAGAAGACCCAAAGAAAGCTGAGTCTGGAAGCTCAACTCATTCGTTTTATAGACGGTGATGTGGTAGTCCAGAGAGGTGAAGGAGTACACTCAGGGTCATGGAATGAGCCAGTGTCAGAACCAGGAGAAAGCCACAGAATTCCTGAAACCTTCCAATCCAGACGTTGGAAACTCAGCTGCTTATGTATGTTGTGAAGGGGGAGTGGCCAGGTGTAAGGCACTGCAGAAATATGATGGCTGGGGGAGAGGCGAGTGCATGCATGCCCATGTGAGGGGCAGCTGCTACCCCAGCTCCAGCCAACTGTTGCCAAGTGAGGGCCAATGGAACTAGATGTTCATTTTTCAAAGAGCAGCTGGAAAATTCAGATTTCTAGGGGCTATTTCTTGATTTTTAGTTTATTACATTAGATAAACAAACATGTTTGCAGGCTAGATTTTATCTAGCAGGCCACCAATTTGCAATTCCTGAGCTGGTTGAGTACCTGTAATTTACAGATAAGGAAAAATGAGGTCCTGAGAGGTTACAGGTTTCACCAAGAACACGTAGGAAGAGGTGGCAAGGCCATTTTCTGACTTGTCCAGGAATTTGGTGACGATGATGGTGACCCACATTTATTGAGCTCCTATCATGGGCAAGGCAATATACCAGGCACTTAGACCTATAGTTTCATTTAATCTTTTCAACAGTTGCAGGAAGCAGGCACTAGTAGTTCTCCTTTTTACAGACTCCAAGAAGCTAAGTAACTTGGCAAGATAGTAGCATAAGTAAGCAGCAGGTCTGTGTTCATAAGCATGTTTTTACAAGGGGAATGGTTTTCTATCACCTTACACCATTTCAATGTCTCTTTAGCATCCTACCTATCAAAGCCCCAGGTTCAGTTTTACCTGGAATTGTTGCAAAATCCACCTTCTAACATTGTCTATCATTTCAACCCAGAAGTAACTCAAGGTTGACCTGTTTCCTGTCCTCCAGAATCTGAATGACATTCAGCCTGTACACAGCTCATCCTCCCCAACTGTTGACTCTCCAAAGGGCCAGAGTGTGTCTGCAGCTACTGCAGTACAAGCAGCAGCTTAGGCTACAGGGCTAGAATGCCCTAGCTTTCTTTGCTAAATAGAAGGGAAGCATAGAATTGAAGAGGTGAAAGAGGCTCCAGAGAAATCATATAAACCTATTATTTTCAAACTACATTCAATGGATCTCTGGAGATGCAGCAACTGGGAGGCGGAGGGGGAGCCCGGCAAGAGGGGCCCCAATTTCTTCTTTGTGATACATTAATTAGGCTTTCAAATAAGATTATGTGAAAAGTGTTCCACTGCTTTAAAAAACAAGTTTGAAAACCAATGATCTAATCCAACTCCTTCACGGCATTTTTAAAATGCCAAAAACCCTATAATTTGATTTGCAATTATAAAAGTAATAAAGGCACATGGTGAAAGATGCAGCCAAAAGGGTACAATGAAAAATAAAAATTTCTCCCTACTCCCAACCCTTACTCTCACCCCCTAGAGATAACCACTATTAACAACTGCTTGTGTATCCCCTCCAGATTTTTTAATAAACAAACTGAGCCCCAGGGATTGGCTTGTCTGAGGTTATTTGGCCAGGCTCAGGGCTATTTACTGGACATTATGCTCCTGGCAACCCTCTCTCCTTTTATAACTTGCAAAAGTCTGAAATGTTTCCACAGATTGCAAACTCTCTCCCCAGTCCACTTGCAGCATGAGAAACCATACATTATGCATCTGCTGGCCTCACTCCCTGAACAGGAAGCTTACACGTCTTTTTCATGTGACTTTATTTCTCCACGATCTTTGTTTCATATGGTGGAGAAACCACCAGAATCAGGTTCTCAGTGCCGGCCAGTGTTCAAGCCAGGAGCAGCAGCTATAAAACTGCATGCTCAGCAAGTAACTGGGCCACTAGACAGGAAGTCAGGCTTGAACCAAATTCCTGCAAGGGGCCACACCTCTATATCTGTGACCTCAGAAGATCCTCCTCCAACAGCTTAGGTTCTTCTCTGAGTGCAGTGTTAACCTCTCCACTCCTCTCCTGGCTCTGAGGCCACTCTCTCCCTAGTCCCAGTCTTCCTGCCTGCCCTCTTGGCCTCAGCTGACCCCTCGCCCTCAGCATTCCCCATCTGCAGCCCCCTTTCCTAACCACCAGAAACTGCAGATCCACCTCCAGGCTGAGCCCATTTCCTACCGTCTAGAGTACACAATTCAAGGTTGCAGTAAGCTATGATCTGGCCCCTGCACTCCAGCCTGGGTGACAGAGTGAGACCCTGTCTGTAAAAAAAGAGTACATATAAGACAGAGCACTCCGAGCCTCTTTCTCCCATAGAGAAGACCTGAAATGCTAACACTTATTGGACTCTCTATGTTCCAGGCTCTGCGCTAGGCAATTTCAAGTCCTTATCTTCACCACAAGCCTAGAGGGTGGCACTATTATTATCGTTCCTATTTTATAGATGAGGAAACTGACATGGAAGTGGTAGCTGGGATAGGAACATGGAGCTGGCTAACGCAAGGTTCAGGAGGGATTTGCTCAAGTTCCTGATGCAGGTGAGTGGCGCTGACCCCCAGGCCTCTGATGTCTGCCCACTATACTCCATTACACTGCCCACGTGGTGTTCCTGGAGGGACAAAACACCCACAGGTAACCCTGGCTGACTGTTACCAATTCCCCTCCCTGTTATCCATAGCCTAGTTCCTTTTTGAGGCTCCTGAAGAGGACCCTGAGCCTAAAAGAAGGCCATAGATCTGGGAAGAAATTAATCCCACATTACTTGTCAGCAGTGGCACAGACTCCCTGCCATTACCTAGGTTACCTGACTGGAGTTTAAGCCACTACCGATCACTCCCCTATTTACCTTAATTAATCAGATTGGCATGGCTCCCTCAGGAGGGGTGCTCAGACCTCCCTGTGCCCCTGGGATAAGTGAGGAAGTTGGGGAGCGCTTCTTGGCGAAAAGACCTAAGAATTGCAGGGAGGCAGCCCTGGAGGCCAGGGCGGGTAGGAACACTAACAGAGGGGCCGCCTGCACCAGGTGGGACAGAAGAGGCTCATTCCCAAGGGTATTTACTTGCCAGGAAATATCAACTATCACTCAGAAGGCAAAAATATGCTGCCAGGCAAAGCATAATTATAAGTTGTATTATTTGAGCTATTCATAAGGAAGGCATGAGACCTGAGAAAATAGCTGTCTCATACGTGAAGGGCCTCATTTCATTTTGCATGCTTTAAAAAATTATGCAGGAAGGAGGCAGAGCAGCAGCTGGAGGTAGGGAGGAAAGCCTTTCCTCTGCATACTGCAGAAGGCTTATTTTCTAAGAAACACTCTATTGGATGACCTGAACCTCAGCGTGGACTCTACCTGCATTTCTGGCTTTTGACTCTTTCCTCTCTAGGTGTGCATTTTAGTTTCCTGAAGGAGTCACAGATGACTGGACATGTGGCATCCACTGGGACATTGTCTAAAATATGTCAAGGCTCAAAAGATGCAAGATTTATAGACATAATGACTTCTGCTTCCTCACCAGATAGAAATGAACACATAATGAGAAGGACAGACAGACAGACACACCCACACACAACCCCTTGGACTTAGAAAGCTTGAATGCAGCAAAATCATCTAAAAGAGGCTTTGGCTCTATTATTTTTATTTTATGTATTTATTTTTTGAGACGGAGTTTCGTCCTTGTTGCCCAGGCTGGAGTGCAATGATGCAATCTCGGCTCACTGCAACCTCTCCCTCTGGGGTTCAAGCGATTCTCCTGTCTCAGCCTCCCAAGTGTCTGGGATTACAGGCACCCGCCACCACGCTGGCTAATTTTTGTATTCTTAGCAGAGACGGGGTTTTATCATATTGGTCAGGCTGGTCTCGAACTCCTGACCTCAGGTGATTTGCCCACCTCAGCCTCCCAAAGTGCTGGGATTACAGGGCTTTGGCTCTATTATTAAACCCTTACAGCAAGCACCACCAGATCTACATACAGCCCCAGCCTCATTTACAGGACTCAAATATCTGTCCAGGCTATTGTTTCTTTGGACATACTACTTGTCCACTTTATCCTTTTTTAAGGCATCCAGTGGGCCACACAAGCAAATGAATTTAGACTGGCCACTTGGTATCCCTTTTTTTTTTTTTTTTTTTTTGAGATGGAATCTTGCTGTCACCCTGGCTGGAGTGCAGTGATGTGCTCTCGGCTCACGACAACCTCTACCTTACAGGCTCAAGCGATTCTCCTGCCTCAGCCTCCCGAGTAGCTGGGACTACAGGTGTGCGCCACCACTCCCAGCTAATTTTTATATTTTTAGTAGAGATGGGTTTTCGCCATGTTGGCCAGGCTCCTCTTGAATGCCTGACCTCAGATGATCTGTCCATTCAGCCTCCCAAAGTTTTGGGATTACAGACATGAGCCACTGTGCCCAGCCAGGAGTTCCAATTTCACAAGTGACCCTGAACATGGTGTGTAATGACCAGGCCTCAGTCTCTTCATCTGGAGAAGAAGGAGGATACTTCATCCAGCTGACTGGAGGATCAAAGGGCAACATGCATAGGAAAGCGTTTTGTAACGTGAAGGACCATGCACATGGAAGTGCTCATCATCGTCCTCTGAACTGGGTCACCCGTGACACCAGTGGTCTCATGTTGTTCAACCAGGGATGCAGAAATCACTCCATTTGCCTCTTATTGTTCTGTAAAAGGCCTGTCAAGCACGTGGGTCCAGGCCATCTCCAGCCTGGCCCTGCCCTTGTTCTTAAGCAGAATGATGCTAACTTTGATTAACCATATAACTGGGTATCCAGTCACACAATTAGACTACATAGAACTAAGTAAAATAATAGAGCTAGATCTAGTATGCATGAGGAATGCCTACTCTACTGTTCCAACTTCAGGGCACACCGCAGGAAATAGATGTGTGGGTATAGGCTGAAAGATGTGAGATGTAAGCTTTTGTTGGGCAGTAGAGTTTGTAGAAGCTCCAGTTTGAAGCCAGATAGCTGACATGCATTTATCAAGTATAGTCACACATGAATGAGTCAAATATGTTCTAAAAGTTGAGACCCCCTTCATCTCCATTAGGAACCTCAGCCAAGCCACTTGGCTTTGAAGGTTAGTCTGGCCTTTGATAAGAGAAAGAGTAAGACCTCTGGACCCGAGGTTGTGGGGCTCAGTATCCCTGCTTGGGTCAGACTACCTGGACTTGTTCTGCTAGCTTCAGTGCCCAGACTCTTTCCTTCTTCCTTCAGACAAGGTCCCACCTCTCACCTTGGTGTCACTGTGGGCTTCCCCTTGGTCTTCTGACTCAAGAGCCCAGTCCCTCCTACCCTCTGCCAGTCCAGCCCCTAATTCCCTTCCGAAGGATGTCCCAGACTCTCTAATGTCCTGTCTGCCTCAACCATACCAGGCTCCCTCCACTGACACTGTTCTCTGCCCACCAGCCTATAACCACTCACTGTTAGAGGCCTGGAGGCAACCTTGCTTGGGTTGTGGAAGCCAACCTAGTTCAGTAGGCCTGCCAAGTCCACTGGCCCCAGCCACGTCCAGCTGGGCCCGGCTCTGGTTCTGACAGTCTCACATTTCTGAAATATGTCAGGGCTCAAAGGACACAGCATTTATAGATATATTGAGCCAGGCTGCTTTTAGTGTCCTTCTGATACCACATGAAGGAGGAAGCACATCATAATAGACCAAGTGGTTCTAGTATATTATAGATTCTGCTTTCAGAATACCAAATGGATCAATAGGACTTTTTTGTGTGTATTTTTAAAAATTAAGTATTCACAAAATCCAATAGAAGAGTCAATAATGTTGGGATGTAGTAGAAAATTCTTGGAAAGGAACAATAATAGCTAGCATTTATTAAGCTTAATACTTTTTAGCAGCACCTGTGCACTTTGGGAGGCTGAGGCAGGCGGATCACGAGGTCAGGAGATGGAGACCATCATGGCCAACATGGTGAAACCCCGTCTCTACTAAAATACAAAAAATTAGCCGGGTGTGGTGGCAAGCGCCTGTAGTCCCAGCTACTCAGGAGGCTGAGGCAGGGGAATCACCTGAACCCGGGAAGTGGAGATTGCAGTGAGCTGAGATGGTGCATTTGAGCCACAATGAGATGAGGGCATCTCAGATTCTTTATATTTTCCAAAATAAACTCTATTTTTTAAGTAGGGATGGGGGGTCTCACTATGTGGCCCAGGCTGGTCTTGAACTCTTGGTCTCAAGCAATCCTTTCGCCTTGGCCTCCCAAAGTGTTGGGATTACAGGCGTGAGCCACTGCACCTGGCTCCAAAGTGAATTTTAATATTAATAAGTTCCCTGGAAACTTCTTGAGAAATCCATTTCCTCTTCCTTTTCTCTTATGAGGTGCTCTTAAGACCTATACCAGAGTATAATTTAAACTTTATTAAATGAGAAATAAATCTCAGGTGTTACAACACTGATAATTCAGGTTTGATCTGTTATACCACCTAACACTACCAATAAGAATGCAAGTCCAAAGTTACACACCAACACACTTCCTTGAATAGATTTTTCTGAATGCGATTTAATATTCTTTTGCCATCTTTATAAACTTAAGGATATCCTAAATTGTTACTCAGATGTGCACACTGTTTATCCAGACCTGTCTGCTCTACTGTCTCTTCCCCTTGAATGTTGTCATTTGGGGCTCCTTAACTCTAATGTGATATTTAGTCTGGGTGAGAGCCTGAAAGTACAGCTACCTCTGTGGTAAGAAGTTGCTTGGATGCTGTTTGGCTGAGTCTCTTTAGCCAACCCAGGGAGTGTAACCTTTTATGGTGGACTCGTAGGAGTCTGAAGCTCCATGAGTGGGTTGACCCTCTAACACTGTGGTATTCAGTGAACTTCAGTGTCAATGGACTGTGCTGTGCCCAATATTTGAAATGACGTCATGGGTGAACTCTTCACGGGTAGGGACTTGCTCCCTTACAAGGTGCTTGGCTAACTTTGCTTTGGTGATGGAGTCTGTTAATTGTATGTACCATCTGACCTTGCTAATAACTGCTCAAGCTGCAAACCTGCTTCTAAAGTCACTATGTTATAAGCAATTATTTGGCTCTGTGCAAAAATGTTAATTTCATGCTTTGTAAACATATCTCTTGTAAAAGACCAAGCTGCCTATAAAATTTGCTTTTGACATTCCCAAGATAATCTTCAGGGGAAAGGAAAAAGGGGATATCCTGTTAATCAGTTTCTACAACCTTCTTTTTCTTGAGACTTTTTCTTTTTTTAATGACAAACTAGAGGTGTCAAGTTTCACTGAGGAGGCAGGAAAATACCCAAAGTGAAGACTGGCATCTAAGGATGCTTAAATTCTTGCAAGTTCATTGTGTACTTTCAATTAGGTACAAGGAGTTTGGGAAATCTGGGAAAATCACATGCTTTTGGCTGACTAAACCTAGTGTCTTAGAGTTAGAAGGCTCTTAGCAATGATTTGGTCTACATACCTCACTATGTTGGCAAGGAAAAGGTGACCCAGAAATGAGACATCCTGCCAGGCTTACACAGAGGTCAACACTGGGGCCAAAAATTGAACCCAGAGGCCTTAATTTCTAAGTAGCATATTTTCCAGCAAGACATGGGCCCTAGGGCAGACAGGGAAAACCTAAACTGTTTTTTAAGAAATGAAGAACTCCAATCATCCTCTTCTCCAGTGATTTTCTACAGGGCTATGTGTTTCCTGGCATCCTGCTGGGCAGGGACAAGAAAGCAGCTGAAGAAGCAGATCACCGAATTCAATTCAAGAGGCATGTCTGGGTCACCTACAACAAGTGCTTCTCACACTTTCTGCCACCCTCTACCTGCTACCACTTTCCCCAAAAAACATCATGTGCTTAGAGCAGGAGCATCTGGGAAGCTTTTGGCCCCAAGTAGCCACAGCTACTTTGCTTCACCTTAAATATTCATCCCATATTGCAAATCGTACTTACCACGCCATGATTTGGATGTTTTATTTTAACTTTATTTTAATATAAAAACGTGTTTCTCTTCCTGTCTTCTCTAAATAGTTTGGGTCATCTTCATGCTTTTGGAAGGAATGTTGTGATTATCCAGCATGAACTCACTGTATGAAAGACCATACAAAGGCATGGGATCCAATTAACTCCAATATTAGCAGAAGGTGCTAAGATCTACAGGGGACTGAAAGCCTAGGTAATGAGCTATGGGTACACAGGAAAAGGAGAGATCAATTAAAATTTGGAGCAAAGTTCTCCAGAAGGATGAATAAGTTCTGTTTGTTTTAGAGGGTCTTGCTCTGTCGCCCAGGCTGGAGTGCAATGGCACAATCAAGCTCATCGCAGCTTCTAACTCCTGGGCTCAGGCAATCCTTCCACCTCAGTCTCTTGTGTGGCTAGGACTACAGGTAGGCACCACCACACCCCGCTAATATTTTTTTATTTTTATTTTTATAGAGACAGGGTCTGGCTACCTTGTCCAGGCTTATCTTGAACTCCTGGTCTCAAGGGATCCTCTCACCTCAGCCTCCCAAAGTGCCAGAATTAAAGACTTGAGTCATCACACCTGGGAAGCTGTTTTTTTTTTTTTTAATGATAGTCTTTAATTTTATTTTCCCTGACTGTAGATTGTTGGGAAAAGAGAAAAGCACAAAGGAGAAAATTTAAATCCTCTATAGGAAACTAGGTAAAGGGTTCATAGGATCTCCCTGTAATTTTTCTTACAAGTGCATGTGAAATCCATAATTAACTCAAAATAAAAAATTTAATTAAAGAAATCCTCCATAATCCTACCATCCAATAATCATCACTGTTAAGAATTTTGTAGTTCCTTTATTTATCTTGTTTCAATGCATGTGCCTGAAATCTGAAATCTAAAGACCTAATTGGAGGTCTGGAGCCTGCTTTCTTCACTCATGATATGTCAAGAGAAATTTCCTGCTATTAAAAGTTCTTTGAAAGTATTTTCAAAGAATGTATTATATTTGAATACATGGAATATCATATTCCCTAATGCTCGATATTTACTTGCTTCCAGTTTCCTACTATTAAATTGTTTTCATGTTACATATATTTTGCCACAATAGAAAAATTTCTTTAAGTTTCAATAAACATTCTATACATCCCACATTTCTGATTATCACCTCAGGCTGGACTCTCAGAAAGAAAGCTTCTGGATGAGTTTTTTAAAGTTCTCATTGCATGTTAATAAATTTCTTTTCTGATGAGAGTGGAGGAAGGTGGGCAACATTTTTTTTTTTAATGAGATTGAAACATGTCTCAATAGAAAAACTCCAGGTGACTGCAAAGTGCCTAATTGGCGATTTTCAAATGCATGGCCATCTGGGAGCTGGGTAAGAGGGTCCAGAAAACCGAAAACCCACCTGCTTGCAAACTGGGGTAGGTGCTTCATCCAGCTGTCACGCTTTCCTGACATCTCAATGCAAAGTGATCTTTGAAGAGAGATGCACTAAACCAGGACATATGGGACTGTCTTTTGTAAAAGGAGGCTGTTCGCTCTTCTCCTAGGAGGGTAATAACTTGGGAAATATGCATAAACCATTGCTGCTAGGATATAAACAGCATAAAATTATCCAAACTTGGAGCCATTAAAGATGCACATTGTGAATTTAGAATCAAAACACTCTATAAATTCATAGCAAATCTGCACATTGAAAACTCAGTCTGTACACTGTAAAAGCAGTAGTTGGTTTAAAGACTTTTGCAAATGCTCCTGAGTGTATTTCCTGGGTAGCCATGAGGTGTGAAATCAGTGGGCTTCTCTTGTGAAAGGCCTTGTCAGCATCAGGAAATTGAAGACATTCTGAGGTCCCTTATTTCCTGAGGTCCCTTCCAGGTCTACTGTTCTCAAGTAGGGTTTCACCCTTTGTTCTGGAAGGGATGTGCACAAATTTTCCTTCAAGACTGCATGACACCCTGCTGATTGTCTGGGGGAAGGGGAACAGGGAACTAAAGTCTTGATATGTTACCACAAGGCTCCCTACATCCATTCCCAAACTATAAATACTGCAAGAAGGGGAGAACATGTAAGGTTTAGAATACTCATCAAGAAATCTGTCTCTCCAGAAATTACGCTCGCTGGCTATTTTAGTGTTTCCCTTAGAGACTGGTAAAGAAAGTCAGCCTAACTACTGCCCCTGGAATGATCCTAGAATGAGGTCAGGAAGGGAGCTCTGACTGGTGTTCCCATTGGCTATAATTTCTGGCCCACTGGAAGTCATAAGAAAGCCCACTCTTTTGACAGTTGGCATGAAGAGCCCACAGTATTGGGCTGTAGATTTCAGGCACTCTCTGAGAACTGCTAAGTGGGGGTCTGTACGGCTTAGAAATGCAATTGATTTCATCCAAGAAAAGAGGAAACAAGTGTTCATTTATCCTTGTCTTGGACAGAGACCAAAGGGTCACTGTGGACAGCCAAAAGCCCTTTGACTTATCTCTGTCTCTTGGTATTCTAAAAATTCCACCTCATTGTCTTGTAAAAATACTATGTGTTAGCCTACAATTTTGAACAATTTCAATAGAAAAGTTTTAAAAAGAGTAAAAAGATTTACTCTTCTTACTCACCAAGATTTACCGATTGTTAATATTTTACCGCATTTGCTGTCTGCCTATATATACATTATATACATTTTTTTTCTGAGTCACATGGAAGTAAACTGCAGATATCATAATGCTTGGTCACTGAGTACTTCAGCATGCATCTGTCGAGCAAAGGAACATTCTCCTATATAACCACAATTCTATTATCACATTGATATAAATTATTATCTAATACATACTCCATATTCAGGTTTCCCATTGTCCCCCAAATCACTTTTTTTTTTTTTTTTTGGAGACAGAGTCTTGCTCTGTCTCCCAGGCTGGAGTGCAGTGGCATGATCTCAGCTCACTGCAACCTCCGCCTCCCAGGTTCAAGGGATTCTCATGCCTCCACCTTCCAAGTAGCTGGGATTACAGGCATGCACCACTGCGTCTGGCTAATTTTTGTATATTTAGTAGAGATGGCGTTTTGCCACATTGGCCAGGCTGGTCTCCAACTCCTGGCCTCAAGTGATCTGCCCGCCTCAGCCTCTCAAAGTACTGGGATTACAGGTATAAGCCATCACACCCAGCCTTTTTAAAAGTGACATATAAATCACATAACACAAAATTTACCCTTTTAAAGCATACAATTCAGTGTTTTTTAGTATTCTTATAAAGTTGTATAAACATCAACGCTATCTAATTTCAGATTATTTTCATCATCCTAAAAAGAAACTCTGTACCCATTATGAGTGCTATGGTGTGAATGTTTGTGTCCCCTCTGGAATTCATATGTTGAAATTCAAATCCAAAGGTAATGGTATTAGGAGGTAGGGCCTTTGGGAGTGATTGGGTCATGAGGGCTTGGATTAGTGCCCTTAGAAATAAGACCCTAGAGAGATTGCTCATCCTTTCTACTATGTAAGGGCACAAATAAGAAGGCACCGTCTACGAACTAGAAAGCGGGCCCTCATCAGACACTGAATCTGCCACTGCCTTGCTCCTGGACTTCCCAGCTTCCAGGAATGTGAGAAATAAATTTCTGTTGTTTATAAGCTATCTAGTTTGTGGTCTTTTGATATAGCAGTCTGAATAGACTAAGACAATCAGTCACTCCCCTTCTCCCTCCCCTGAGCCCTTAGAAACCATAAATCTACTTTCCATCTCCAGGGATTTGCCTATTCTGGATATTCCGTATAAATGGAATCATGCAATACGTGGTCTTTGTGTCTGGCTTCTTTCACGTAGTATAACGTTTTCAAGGTTCATCCATGTTGTAGTGTGTATCAGTACTTCATTCCTTTTTACAGCTGAATAATATTCCACAGTCGGTATATATACACATATTTTATAAATCCACTCATAAGTAGACATTTCAGTTGTTCCCACCTTTTGTCTACTATAAATAATGCTGCTATAAACACTCATGTACAAGTTTTTCTGTGGCCATCTGTTTCCATTTCTCTTGGGTATATACCTAGGAGTGGGACTGCTGGGTCATATGGTCACTGTGTGTTTAACCTTTTAAGGAATTGCCAGACTGTTTTCCAAAGTGGCTACATCACTTATAGAACCACCAGCAATGTCTGAGGGTTCCAATTTCTCCACGTCCTTGCCAACACTTGTTATTGTCTGTCTCTAAATTGCTTTTATAGCTTTTTTTTTCTCAAACCAAGATCCAATCAGGGATTCTGCATTATATCTAGTTACCATGTGTCTTTCATTTTCTTTAATCTGGACCAATTCACCAGTCTTCTTTTGCCTTTCCTGATGTTAACATTAAAAGAATAAAAATGGGGTCTAGTTCAGAAGAGGGATTTATTCCTGATTCTGATAGGATCCTAAAGCACCCTTCTCTTGCCCATTGCACTGACAACTTGAGGGTCTTGAGGGTGCAGCCTCCAGGGAGATAAAATGGAGCCCAGCTTAGTGCTGAGCACAATGACCTAGTGGCTCTTACCTGGTAAATGCTTCTCAACCTCTTAAAGCTTCTGTTCAGCATCAACAGGGAGGCTCAGGGGAAGGACAGCAGGTCAGACTGAGGTGGAGAAGAGCGTTTCTGATGGACTCTAGGGAATCTGAGTACCTGCTTCAAGTGGCCCTTGGTGATGCCTGCCTGGCTGGGCTGTCTTGAGTGATGGAGTTAATTGGGGTCACTGAACTACAATGGGGTGTAGCACTGGAGAATAATACCTACCAGCCCCACTGCAGTAATGAGCGCTGACATATATCACATTTCAGACTGTAGCTAATTAAATACTCTACAGCTTCTCCAACAGAAATGAAGATTTGAAGCACTGAGCTGAGAGGGACAGAAGGAGGGGTCCCGTGACCTAGCTCTGGCTTAGCCAAATTCCCTGCATTGATGCCAGGCAGGTAAATCAACCTGTCTGGGCCCCTCCCTAATCTACAATGCGGGAGAAAGGAATGCACATGAGATTTCTTTAAATGTTAGGGGTCTCCCATTCTAGGCAGGATACTGTCAGTTAATGTTACCGAAAATAACTCAAATGTATTCCTTGTCAAAGGAAAATTTAGGAAGAGCTAAATGCAATACAGCTAAAGCCTACAAGGTAATACTACCAGTAACCCACATGAACTATCTCTTCTCTTTTATGGAGTATCCCACGACTCTTCCATACATGCTATCTCCTTCATCCCCAAATAGGGCAGATAGATGTTATCATTCCCATTTTGCAGAGGAAGGCTCACAGATCTGAGGTTAATTCATTCATTCTGGGGCAATAATCATAAAGCATCCACCAAGTGCCAGGTGCTATGCTAGACCCTGATGGCACAATCGTAAGCTAAATAGGTACGGATTTTGCATTTTTGCTGTGAGCTTTCAACTGGGCAGGGAAGACAATAAGTAACAATAACAGGTAAGCACCACTTTCCTAAGGGAAATACAGGGAGTCCATGTGTGGGGCCCTAACCTTGGCTAGGGATTTGCCTCAGGTGTCATTCACAGAAGGTATGAGACCTCTGGTTCCTTCCTTCCATTCTACCAAGGCAGCAGGAGATATATACCTCCGGTAGTAGGAATAAAACTCTCACCTAGGGCCTGCTTAGCTGGTGGAAGAAAAGCAATGGAACACATTTTCCCTTGTTTGGTGCTAAACACAGAACTGTGGAATGAATGCACTTTAGTGTCCAAGGGGCTCATCTCCTAAAGCAACAAGTCCAGATAAGACTCAAGGGATCTTAGGGTTTGAGTAACACCCCCGAGGTCTTTGACCTCACCAGTAGTATGTGGTGTTGCTGGACAGTGTGGACAGCCTGGGTCCCTCCCTGCTCTGGAGCTCCGTTTCTCCACCTGTAAGGTGAATAGGTTGAACTAATGCTGTTTTTTTTTCTTTTAGCTTAAACCTACTTATGAGCCATCAGAACTTTCTCTCTTCCTTTCTCCATCAAAAGCAAAGACAAGGCATGATTGATGAATTTCAATGGTGTCTCCTAAAATGAAATTAACAGTGTCAGAAATCTTTATTGACCTGTGAAGTCAGACTCTTCAAGGTTGATTGGCTGGACACAGCTGTTTAACAATGGGTGTCCCCACCCCCGCCCCAGCCCAATTTCACACTCCTTTGCAGTTAATAGGGCTATCCCATAACTCATCCCAAGCAAGTGGAGACAGAATGGCCGGTGTCTACACTTTCTGCAGAGGCTGGTTCATAAAGCAGTATTTATACATTCCCTTTAACGTGACACTGCATTAGATCTATTACCAGTTAATTAAATTGTAACCATTTTATACATGGACTTCTGGTTGTGATCAGCATCTAAATGTACACATCCATGAGGCTGCATTGACTCACGTGAAGAAGCTAAATAGTATTCACTTAAAAGAGCATTACATTATGCAGAACCATCACGAGCAGTCAACAAAGGCTTCATGTTAAACAGAATTTAAAGGGATGGTATTTGCTACTTTACTCCCTTGAGAAACATATGCTTTTAAAAGTTATTTCCTGTCTCTGAATTCCCTGCAACTAGAGTGGTTTTGAATATTTTCTGATTTGTTTAAAATGAATGATTATAAAACTTTGTTAGAAACATTTGCATTCATTTAAAAAGGGGTGCATCCTGGATTCTGCCACTGTCATAAAGGGAAAAGAGACAGGAGACTAATTAAGTAACAAAGGCTCAGCCAGAAACCTCAGTTCCAGAGTCATAATCTCCTTTGCCAGGCACGGGGCAGATGACTGGCTGCACGCTTGCTCCAGCCTTCTTGGCCTAATCCTCCCTCCTCAGCAAGAAGCATTCCGACAGTGTCTGGAATAATAATGTAATTATGGACAGCTAAAACACCTCATCCATGAAGGACAAGGATTTGGATCCTTTCAAATATGGGAAAGAGAATCAAAGGCACCTAAGGGTGGGTTTTTTTGGGAGGGTTGGGGGGAGGTGGTTAGAACTGTCTCTCTCTTTTATTTTCTGCTAAAGAATATATGCTTCTCAGAGGAGAAATAGTACTTTGACTATGACATGACAGCCATTTAGGCCAAAGTGGCCCCTGCACACAAACAAAAAACAAACAAAACATCCACAAGTGTATTTCCCTCCAAAAAGCCAATTTGTTTGTTTGTTTGTTTTCTCCCTTCATATTTCTTCCTTGGGTCTAGATTATAAAGTCCTCACTGTTCTGAAAGAAAAGATGTAGGATTGCTGGGAAGAGACTGTGTTTTATGAATTTTATATTCCCTAGATTTAGCACAGTGACTGGTATACAAAAGGTGCTAAATACATGTTTGCTGATTGGTATCAGTTATACTTCATGTTGTTGGTTAGAACTAACTTTGCTAATTTCAATTTGGAAGAAAACAATTTTGTAGAACATTTTGAGTGCAGGGGCTTATAACATATGTAAGAATTGTAACAACCAAAAGCCAAAACCAACACCTAGAGCCATGATTTTCAACCAGCATTCCACAGAGACTTAGGGGCTCAACAGAAGTGACTCAGTGGTTGTTTTAGGGGAGGAGGTGGGAGAGGCTGCTGGGCTGCTGCCCTGTCTCATGTCCATTTCAATCAACATAACTCACTTCTACCTGTTTTCTTTGCTACACTTTCACATAAAATATCATTTGAAGAAATAGTTCCTGCAACTGGATTTTCATATAATCTCAAAGCACCTCCAAAAAAGATACCTATTAATTGCAAAGAGGAAAATGGTAACTTTACGCTGGCAGACATCACCTTAACTAAGTGATCAAAGTTATATCACCCATAATAAGATGTCAGGACTATGCCCTGATATGATGCAAGGAGAAGGTAAACATCTCACTTCTGTGTTATTCTTGCCTAAATGTGTCAAATTAATCATGAGAGAACATCAGACAAAGCCAAACTGGGGGATATTCTGCAAAATAATTGGCTACTGTTTTCCAAAGTGCCAACGTCATGAAAAACAAAAGACTGAGGAGATGTCACAGGTTGAAGGAAACTAAAGAGATCCCAGAACTAAATGTAATGGGTTGAATGTGTTTTAAGAAAAAGAAATAAAAAAGGCATCAATGGGAAAAACTGCTGATATTCAAATAAAATCGGTATATAAGTTAATAATATTGTTTCAATAATTTCATAGTCTAGATAATTAAACTATGCTTATGTAGGATGTTAACATTAGGGGAAGCTGGGTAAAGGGTACAAAGAATTATTTTTGCAACTTTTTTTGTAAATCTAAAATTATTTCAAATTAAGAGTTTTTTTTTAAAAAAGTTTCTGTAACTAAAAACACTTTAATCACCATTCATGAGAAACACAATTGGACTTTTGTTTGGATTGGCCTTTAAATATGGCAAAGGCAGGCCTCAGTGGGGACCAAAAGCAATTCAACCTCATGATCAAAGCCATGAGTTTCAAATAGTCATGAATAGCCAGGC